>NC_000003.12:90772458-91072458 GCF_000001405.40 Homo sapiens | reverse complement strand
ACAAATAGGTCCAAATATCCACCTGCAGATTCTGCAAAAAGAGGGTTTCAAAACTGCTCCATCAAGAGGAATGTTCAACTCTGTGCGTTGAATGCAAATATCACAAATAAGTTTCTGACAATACTTCTGTCTAGTTTTTATGTGAAGATATTTCCTTGCCTACTGTAGGCCTCAAAACGCTCTAAATATACACTTGCAAATTCTCCAAAAACAGTGTTTCCAAACTGCTCTATCAAAGGAAGTTTAAACTCTGTAAGCTTAATGCAAGCATCACAAAACAGCTTCGGAGAATGAATCTGCCTAGTTTTTCTGTGAAGATATTTCTTTTTCTGCCATAGACCTCAAACCGCTGTAAAAATCCACTTGGAAATTCTACAAAAAGAGTATTTCAAAACTCTTCTATCAAAAGGAAGTTTCAACTCCATGAGTTAAATGCACATATCACAAATAATTTTCTGAGGATTCTTCTTCCAAGTTTTATATGAAGAAATCCCGTATCCAAAGATGGCCTCAGAAAAGTCCCAATATACACTTGCAGATTCTACAAAAAGAGTTTTTCAAAACTGCTCTATCAAAAGAAAGGTTGAACTCTGTGAGTTGAAGGCACACATCACAAAGTAGTTTCTGAGAATCATTCTGTCTAGTTTTTCTATGAAGATATTGCCTTTTCCACCATAGGCCTCAAACGGCGCTAAATATCCCCTTGGAAATTCTACAAAAAGAGAGTTACAAGACTGCTCTGTCGAAAGGAAGCTTCAACTCAGCGAGTTGAAAGCACACATCACGAAGAAGTTTATGAGAATTCTTCTGTCTAGTTTTGTATGAAGAAGTCACGTTTCAAACGAAGGCCACAAAGAGGTCCAAAGGTCCACTTGGAGATTCATCAAAAAGAGTTTTTCAAAACTGCTCCATCAAGAGGAATATTCAACTCTGAGAGTTGAAGGCAGGTATCACAAAGTAGTTTCCGAAAATGCTTCTGTCTAGATTTTATGTGAGGACATTCCCTTTTGTACCACAAGCCTGAAAGCACTCTAAATATAGAATTGCAAATTCCACAAAAAGAGTGTTTAAAACCGCTCTATCCAAAGAAAGGTTAAACTCTGTAAGCTGAATTCGCACATCACAAAGTAGCTTCAGAGAACAATTATGTCTAGTTTTTCCGTGAAGATAGTTTCTCTTCCACATAGGCCTGAGACCGCTCTAAATATTCACTTGGAAATTCTGCAAAAAGAATATTTCAACACTCTTCTATCAAAAGGAAGGTGGAACTCTGAGAGGTAAACGCACACATCACAGAGAAGTTTCTGAGAATTCTTCTGTCAAGGTTTATATGAAGAAACCCCGTTTCCAATGAAGGCCTCAAAAAAGTCCAAAAATTTACTTGCAGATTCCACAAAAAGAGTGTTTCATAACTGGTCTATCAAAAGAAAGGTTAAACTCAGTGAGTTGAACCCACACATCACAAAGTAGCTTCTGAGAATCATTCTGTCTAGTTCTCCTACGAAGATATTGCCTTTTCTACCATAGGCCTCAAACGGCGCTAAATATCCACCTGGAAATTCTACCAAAACTGAGCTTCAAAAGTGCTCTATTGAAAGGAAGCTTCACCTCTGTGAGTTGAAGGTACACATCACAAAGAAGTTTCTGAGAATTCTTCTGTCTAGTTGTAAATGAAGAAATCACGTTTCAAAAGAAGGCCACAAAGAGGTCCAAATATCCACCTGCAGATTCTACAAAAAGAGTGTTTCAAAACTGCTCCATCAAGAGGAATGTTCAACTCTGTGCCTTGAATGCAAATATCACAAGTAAGTTTCTGAGAATACTTCCGTCTAGTTTTTATGTGAAGATATTTCCTTTCCTACTGTAGGCCTCAAAACGCTCTAAAGAGACACTTGCAAATTCCACAAAAAGAGGGTTTCAAAACTGCTCTATCAAAGGAAGTTTAAACTCTGTAAGCTGAATGCAAGCATCACAAAACAGCTTCGGAGAATGAATCTGCCTAGTTTTTCTGTGAAGATATTTCTTTTTCTGTCATAGACCTCAAACCGCTGTGAAAATCTACTTGGAAATTCTACCAAAAGAGTATGTCAAAACTCTTCTATCGAAAGGAAGTTTCAACTCCATGAGTTAAATGCACATATCACAAATAATTTTTTGAGGATTCTTCTTTCAAGTTTTATATGAAGAAATCCCGTTTCCAAAGTTGGCCTCAGAAAAGTCCCAATATACACTTGCAGATTCTACAAAAAGAGTTTTTTAAAACTGCTCTATCAAAAGGAAGGTTAAACTCTGTGAGTTGAAGGCACACATCACTGAGTAGTTTCTGAGAATCATTCTGTCTAGTTTTTCTATGAAGATATCGCCTTCTCCACCATAGGCCTCAAGCGGCGCTAAATATCCACTTGGAAATTCTACAAAAAGAGAGTTACAAGACTGCTCTATCGAAAGGAAGCTTCAACTCTGCGAGTTGAAAGCACACATCACGAAGAACTTTATGAGAATTCTTCTGTCTACTTTTGTATGAAGCAGTCACGTTTCAAACGAAGGCCACAAAGAGGTCTAAATATCCACTTGCAGATTCAACAAAAAGAGTTTTACAAAACTGCTCCATCAAGAGGAATATTCAACTCTGAGAGTTGAAGGCAGGTATCCCAAAGTAGTTCCCGACAATGCTTCTGTCTAGATTTTATGTGAGGACATTCCCTTTTGTACCACAGGCCTGAAAGCACTCTAAATATAGAATTGCAAATTCCACAAAAAGAGTGTTTAAAACCGCTCTATCCAAAGAAAGGTTAAACTCTGTAAGCTGAATGCGCACATCGCAAAGTAGCTTCAGAGAACAATTATGTCTAGTTTTTCTGTGAAGATATTTTATCTTCTACATAGGCCTGAAACTGCTCTAAATATTCACTTGGAAATTCTACAAAAAGAATATTTCAACCCTCTTCAATCAAAAGGAAGGTTGAACTCTGAGAGTTAAATGCACACATCACAGAGAAGTTTCTGGGAATTCTTCTGTCCAGGTTTATATGAAGAAATCCCGTTTCCAATGAAGGCCTCAAAAAAGTCCAAATATTTACTTGCAGATTGTACAAAAAGAGTGTTTCATTACTGGTCTATCAAAAGAAAGGTTAAACTCAGTGAGTTGAACCCACACATCACAAAGTAGTTTCTGAGAATCATTCTGTCTAGTCCTCCTACGAAGATATTGCCTTTTCTACCATAGGCCTCAAACGGCGCTAAATATCCACCTGGAAATTCTACAAAAACTGAGTTTCTAAGGTGCTCTATTGAAAGGAAGCTTCAACTCTGTGAGTTGAAGGTACACATCACAAAGAAGTTTCTGAGAATTCTTCTGTCTAGTTTTAAATGAATAAATCACGTTTCAAACGAAGGCCACAAAGAGGTCCAAATATTCACTTGTAGATTCTACAAAAAGAGTGTTTCAAAACTGCTCCATCACGAGGAATGTTCAACTCTGTGCGTTGAATGCAAATATCACAAATAAGTTTCTGACAATACTTCTGTCTATTTTTTATGTGAAGATATTTCCTTTCCTACTGTAGGCCTCAAAACGCTCTAAATATACACTTGCAAATTCCACAAAAGGGTGTTTCAAAACTGCTCTATCAAAGGAAGCTTAAACTCTGTAAACTTAATGCAAGCATCACAAAACAGCTTCGGAGAATGAATCTGCCTAGTTTTTCTGTGAAGATATTTCTTTTTCTGCCATAGACCTCACACCGCTGTAAAAATCCACATGGAAATACTACAAAAAGAGTATTTCAAAACTCTTCTATCGAAAGGAAGTTTCAACTCCATGAGTTAAATGCACATATCACAAATAATTTTCTGAGGATTCTTCTTTCAAGTTTTATATGAAGGAATCCCGTTTCCAAAGGTGGCCTCAGAAAAGTCCCAATATACACTTGCAGATTCTACAAAAAGAGTTTTTCAAAACTGCTCTATCAAAAGAAAGGTTAAACTCTGTGAGTTGAAGGCACACATCACAAAGTAGTTTCTGAGAATCATTCTGTCTAGTTTTTCTATGAAGATATTGCCTTTTCCACCATAGGCCTCAAACGGCGCTAAATATCCACTTGGAAATTCTACAAAAAGAGAGTTACTAAACTGCTCTATCGAAAGGAAGCTTCAACGCTGCGAGTTGAAAGCACACATCACCAAGAAGTTTATGAGAATTCTTCTGTCTAGTTTTGTAGGAAGAAGTCACGTCTCAAACGAAGGCCACAAAGAGGTCCAAATATCCACTTGGAGATTCAACAAAAAGAGTTTTTCAAAACTGCTCCGTCAAGATTAATATTCAACTCTGAGTGTTGAGGGCAGGTATCACAAACAAGTTTCCGACAACGCTTCTGTCTAGATTTTATGTGAAGACATTCCCTTTTGTATCACAGGCCTGAAAGCACTCTAAATATAGAATTGCAAATTCCACAAAAAGAGAGTTTAAAACCGCTCTATCCAAAGAAAGGTTAAACTCTGTCAGCTGAAGGCGCCCATCACAAAGTAGCTTCAGAGAACAATTATGTCTAGTTTCTCTGTGAAGATATTTTCTCTTCTACATAGGCCGAAACCGCTCTAAATATTCACTTGGAAATTCTACAAAAAGAATATTTCAACACTCTTCTATCAAAAGGAAGGTTGAACTGTGAGAGTTCAATGCACACATCACAAAGAAGTTTCTGGGAATTCTTCTGTCAAGGTTTATATGAAGAAACCCCGTTTCCAATGAAGGCCTAAAAAAGTCCAAATATTTACTTGCAAGTTCCACAGAAAGAGTGTTTCATAACTGGTCTAGCAAAAGAAAGGTTAAACTCAGTGAGTTGAACCCACACTTCACAAAGTAGCTTCTGAGAATCATTCTGTCTAGTTCTCCTACGAAGGTATTGCCTTTTCTACCATAGGCCTCAAACGGCGCTAAATATCCACCTGGAAATTCTACCAAAACTGAGTTTCAAAAGTGCTCTATTGAAAGGAAGCTTCACCACTTTGAGTTGAAGGTACACATCACAAAGAAGTTTCTGAGAATTCTTCTGTCTAGTTGTAAATGAAGAAATCACGTTTCAAACGAAGGCCACAAAGAGGTCCAAATATCCACCTGCAGATTCTACAAAAAGAGTGTTTCCAAACTGCTCCATCAAGAGGAATGTTCAACTCTGTGCGTTGAATGCAAATATCACAAATAAGTTTCTGACAATACTTCCGTCTAGTTTTTATGTGAAGATATTTCCTTTCCCTCTGTAGGCCTCAAAACGCTCTAAATATACACTTGCAAATTCCACAAAAAGAGTGTTTCCAAACTGCTCTATCAAAGGAAGTTTAAACTCCGTAAGCTGAATGCAAGCATCACAAAACAGCTTCGGAGAATGAATCTGCCTGGTTTTTCTGTGAAGATATTACTTTTTCTGCCATAGCCCTCAAACCGCTGTAAAAATCCACTTGGAAATTCTACAAAAAGAGTATTTCAAAACTCTTCTATCGAAAGGAAGTTTCAACTCCATGAGTTAAATGCACATATCACAAATAATTTTCTGAGGATTCTTCTTTCAAGTTTTATATGAAGAAATCCCGTTTCCAAAGATGGCCTCAGAAAAGTCCCAATATACACTTGCAGATTCTACAAAAAGAGTTTTTCAAAACTGCTCTACCAAAAGGAAGGTTAAACTCTGTGGGTTGAAGGCACACATCACAAAGTAGTTTCTGAAAATCATTCTGTCTAGTTTTTCTATGAAGATATCGCCTTCTCCACCATAGGCCCCAAACGGCGCTAAATATCCACTTGGAAATTCGACAAAAAGAGAGTTACAAGACTGCTCTATCGAAAGGAAGCTTCAACTCTGCGAGTTCAAAGCACACATCACGAAGAAGTTTATGAGAATTCTTCTGTCTACTTTTGTATGAAGCAGTCACGTTTCAAACGAAGGCCACAAAGAGGTCCAAATATCCACTTGGAGATTCAACAAAAAGAGTTTTTCAAAACTGCTCCGTCAAGAGGAATATTCAACTCTGCGAGTTGAAGGCTGGTATCACAAAGTAGTTCCCGACAATGCTTCTGTCGAGATTTTATGTGAGGACATTCCCTTTTGTACCACAGGCCTGAAAGCACTCTAAATATAGAATTGCAAATTCCACAAAAAGAGTGTTTAAAACCGCTCGATCCAAAGAAAGGTTAAACTCTGTAAGCTGAATGCGCACATCACAAAGTAGCTTCAGAGAACAATTATGTCTAGTTTTTCTGTGAAGATATTTTCTCTTCTACATAGGCCTGAAACCGCTCTAAATATTCACTTGGAAATTCTACAAAAAGAATATTTCAACACTCCTCTATCAAAAGGAAGGCTGAACTCTGAGAGTTAAATGCACACATCACAAAGAAGTTTCTGAGAATTCTTCTGTCAAGGTTTATATGAAGAGATCCCGTTTCCAATGAAGGCCTCAAAAAAGTCCAAATATTTACTTGCAGATTCTACAAAAAGAGTGTTTCATAACTGGTCTATGAAAAGAAAGGTTAAACTCCGTGAGTTGAACGCACACATCACAAAGTTGTTTCTGAGAATCATTCTGTCTAGTTTTCCTACGAAGATATTGCCTTTTCTACCATAGGCCTCAAACGGCGCTAAATATCCACCTGGAAATTCTACAAAAACTGAGTTTCAAAAGTGCTCTATTGAAAGGAAGCTTCAACTCTGTGAGTTGAAGGTACACATCACAAAGAAGTTTCTGAGAATTCTTCTGTCTAGTTGTAAATGAAGAAATCACGTTTCAAACGAAGGCCACAAAGAGGTCCAAATATCCAGCTGCAGATTCTGCAAAAAGAGGGTTTCAAAACTGCTCCATCAAGAGGAATGTTCAACTCTGTGCGTTGAATGCAAATATCACAAATAAGTTTCTGACAATACTTCTGTCTAGTTTTTATGTGAAGATATTTCCTTTCCTACTGTAGGCCTCAAAACGCTCTAAATAAACACTTGCAAACTCCACAAAAAGAGTGTTTCCAAACTGCTCTATCAAACGAAGTTTAAACTCTGTCAGCTGAATGCAAGCATCACAAAACAGCTTCGGAGAATGAATCTGCCTAGTTTTTCTGTGAAGATATTTCTTTTTCTGCCATAGACCTCAAACCGCTGTAAAAATCCACTTGGAAATTCTACAAAAAGAGTATTTCAAAGCTCTTCTATCGAAAGGAAGTTTCAGCTCCATGAGTTAAATGCACATATCACAAATAATTTTCTGAGGATTCTTCTTTCAAGTTTTAGATGAAGAAATCCCGTTTCCAAAGTTGGCCTCAGAAAAGTCCCAATATACACTTGCAGATTCTACAAAAAGAGTTTTTTAAAACTGCTCTATCAAAAGGAAGGTTAAACTCTGTGAGTTGAAGGCACACATCACTGAGTAGTTTCTGAGAATCATTCTGTCTAGTTTTTCTATGAAGATATTGCCTTTTCCACCATAGGCCTCAAACGGCGCTAAATATCCACTTGGAAATTCTACAAAAAGAGAGTTACTAAACTGCTCTATCGAAAGGAAGCTTCAACGCTGCGAGTTGAAAGCACACATCACGAAGAAGTTTATGAGAATTCTTCTGTCTACTTTTGTATGAAGAAGTCACGTCTCAAACGAAGGCCACAAAGAGGTCCAAATATCCACTTGGAGATTCAACAAAAAGAGTTTTTCAAAACTGCTCCATCAAGAGGAACATTCAACTCTGAGAGTTGAAGGCAGGTATCACAAAGTAGTTTCCGACAATGCTTCTGTCTGGATTTTATGTGAAGACATTCCCTTTTATACCACAGGCCTGAAAGCACTCTAAATATAGAATTGCAAATTCCACAAAAAGAGGGTTTAAAACCGCTCTATGCAAAGAAAGGTTAAACTCTGTCAGCTGAATGCGCACATCACAGAGTAGCTTCAGAGAACAATTATGTCTAGTTTTTCTGTGAAGATAGTTTCTCTTCTACATAGGCCTGAAACCGCTCTAAATATTCACTTGGAAATTCTACAAAAAGAATATTTCAACACTCTTCTATCAAAAGGAAGGTTGAACTCTGAGAGGTAAACGCACACATCACAGAGAAGTTTCTGAGAATTCTTCTGTCAAGGTTTATATGAAGAAACCCCGTTTCCAATGAAGGCCTCAAAAAAGTCCAAATATTTACTTGCAGATTCCACAAAAAGAGTGTTTCATAACTGGTCTATCAAAAGAAAGGTTAAACTCAGTGAGTTGAACCCACACATCACAAAGTAGCTTCTGAGAATCATTCTGTCTAGTTTTCCTACGAAGATATTGCCTTTTCTACCATAGGCCTCAAACGGCGCTAAATATCCACATGGAAATTCTACAAAAACTGAGTTTCAAAAGTGCTCTATTGAAAGGAAGCTTCACCTCTGTGAGTTGTAGGTACACATCACAAAGAAGTTTCTGAGAATTCTTCTGTCTAGTTGTAAATGAAGAAATCACGTTTCAAAAGAAGGCCACAAAGAGGTCCAAATATCCACCTTCAGATTCTACAAAAAGAGTGTTTCAAAACTGCTCCATCAAGAGGAATGTTCAACTCTGTGCGTTGAATGCAAATATCACAAGTAAGTTTCTGAGAATACTTCTGTGTAGTTTTTATGTGAAGATATTTCCTTTCCTACTGTATGCCTCAAAACGCTCTAAATATACACTTGCAAATTCCACAAAAAGAGTGTTTCCAAACTGCTCTATCAAAGGAAGTTTAAACTCTGTCCGCTTAATGCAAGCATCACAAAACAGCTTCGGAGAATGAATCTGCCTAGTTTTTCTGTGAAGATATTACTTTTTCTGCCATAGACCTCAAACCGCTGTAAAAATCCACTTGGAAATTCTACAAAAAGAGTATTTCAAAACTCTTCTATCGAAAGGAAATCTCAACTCCATGAGTTAAATGCAGATATCACAAATAATTTTCTGAGGATTCTTCTTTCAAGATTTATATGAAGAAATCCCGTTTCCAAAGATGGCCTCAGAAAACTCCCAATATACACTTGCAGATTCTACAAAAAGAGTTTTTCAAAACTGCTCTATCAAAAGGAAGGTTAAACTCTGTGAGTTGAAGGCACACATCACAGAGTAGTTTCTGAGAATCATTCTGTCTAGTTTTTCTATGAAGATATCGCCTTCTCCACCATAGGCCTCAAGCGGCGCTAAATATCCACTTGGAAATTCTACAAAAAGAGAGTTACAAGACTGCTCTATCGAAAGGAAGCTTCAACTCTGCGAGTGGAAAGCACACATCACGAAGAAGTTTATGAGAATTCTTCTGTCTACTTTTGTATGAAGCAGTCACGTTTCAAACGAAGGCCACAAAGAGGACCAAATATCCACTTGGAGATTCAACAAAAAGTGTTTTTCAAAACTGCTCCTTCAAGAGGAATATTCAACTCTGAGAGTTGAAGCCATGTATCACAAAGTAGTTACCGACAATGCTTCTGTCTAGATTTTATGTGAGGACATTCCCTTTTGTACCACAGGCCTGAAAGCACTCTAAATATAGAATTGCAAATTCCACAAAAAGAGTGTTTAAAACCGCTCGATCCAAAGAAAGGTTAAACTCTGTAAGCTGAATGCGCACATCACAAAGTAGCTTCAGAGAACAATTATGTCTAGTTTTTCTGTGAAGATAGTTTCTCTTCTACATAGGCCTGAAACCGCTCTAAATATTCACTTGGAAATTCTGCAAAAAGAATATTTCAACACTCTTCTATCAAAAGGAAGGTTGAACTCTGAGAGTTAAACGCACACATCACAGAGAAGTTTCTGAGAATTCTTCTGTCAAGGTTTACATGAAGAGATCCCGTTTCCAATGAAGGCCTCAAAAAAGTCCAAATATTTACTTGCAGATTCTACAAAAAGAGTGTTTCATAACTGGTCTATCAAAAGAAAGGTTAAACTCCGTGAGTTGAACGCACACATCACAAAGTTGTTTCTGGGAATCATTCTGTCTAGTTTTTCTACGAAGATATTGCCTTTTTCACCATAGGCCTCAAACGGCGCTAAATATCCACCTGGAAATTCTACAGAAACTGAGTTTCAAAAGTGCTCTATTGAAAAGAAGCTTCAACTCTGTGAGTTGAAAGTACACATCACAAAGAAGTTTCTGAGAATTCTTCTGTCTAGTTGTAAATGAAGAAATCACGTTTCAAAGGACGGCCACTAAGCGGTCCAAATATCCACTTGCAGATTCTACAAAAAGAGTGTTTCAAAACTACTCCATCAAGAGGAATGTTCAACTCTGTGCGTTCCATGCAAATATCACAAATAAGTTTCTGAAAATACTTCTGTCTAGTTTTTATGTGAAGATATTTCCTTTCCTACTGTAGGCCTCAAAACGCTCTAAATATACAGTTGCAAATTCCACAAAAAGAGTGTTTCAAAACTGCTCTATCAAAGGAAGTTTAAACTCTGTAAGCCTAATGCAAGCATCACAAAACAGCTTCGGAGAATGAATCTGCCTTGTTTTTCTGTGAAGATATTTCTTTTTCTGCCATAGACCTCAAACCGCTGTAAAAATCCACTTGGAAATTCTACAAAAAGAGGATGTCAAAACTCTTCTATCGAAAGGAAGTTTCAATTCCATGAGTTAAATGCACATATCACAAATAATTTTCTGAGGATTCTTCTTTCAAGTTTTATATGAAGAAATCCCGTTTCCAAAGATGGCCTCAGAAAAGTCCCAATATACACTTGCAGATTCTACAAAAAGAGTTTTTCAAAACTGCTCTACCAAAAGGAAAGTTAAACTCTGTGAGTTGAAGGCACACATCACAAAGTAGTTTCTGAGAATCATTCTGTCTAGTTTTTCTATGAAGATATTGCCTTTTCCACCATTGGCCTCAAACGGCGCTAAATATCCACTTGGAAATTCTACAAAAAGAGAGTTACAGAACTGCTCTATCGAAAGGAAGCTTCAACGCTGCGAGTTGAAAGCACACATCACGAAGAAGTTGATGAGAATTCTTCTGTCTACTTTTGTATGAAGCAGTCACGTTTCAAACGAAGGCCACAAAGAGGTCCAAATATCCACTTGGAGATTCAACAAAAAGAGTTTTACAAAACTACTCCATCAAGAGGAATATTCAACTCTGAGACTTGAGGGCAGGTATCACAAAGTAGTTCCCGACAATGCTTCTGTCTAGATTTTATGTGAAGACATTCCCTTTTGTACCAGAGGCCTGAAAGCACTCTAAAGATAGAATAGCAAATTCCACAAAAAGAGGGTTTAAAACCGCTCTATCCAACGAAAGGTTAAACTCTGTCAGCTGAATGCACACATCACAGAGTAGCTTCAGAGAACAATTATGTCAAGTTTTTCTGTGAAGATAGTTTCTCTTCTACATAGGCCTGAAACCGCTCTAAATATTCACTTGGAAATTCTACAAAAAGAATATTTCAACACTCTTCTATCAAAAGGAATGTTGAACTCTGAGAGTTAAACGCACACATCACAGAGAAGTTTCTGAGAATTCTTCTGTCAAGGTTTATATGAAGAAACCCCGTTTCCAATGAAGGCCTCAAAAAAGTCCAAATATTTACTTGCAGATTCCACAAAAAGAGTGTTTCATAACTGGTCTATCAAAAGAAAGGTTAAACTCAGTGAGTTGAACCCACACATCACAAAGTAGCTTCTGAGAATCATTCTGTCTAGTTCTCCTACGAAGATATTGCCTTTTCTACCATAGGCCTCAAACGGCGCTAAATATCCACCTGGAAATCCTACCAAAACTGAGCTTCAAAAGTGCTCTATTGAAAGGAAGCTTCACCTCTGTGAGTTGAAGGTACACATCACAAAGAAGTTTCTGAGAATTCTTCTGTCTAGTTGTAAATGAAGAAATCACGTTTCAAACGAAGGCCACAAAGAGGTCCAAATATCCACCTGCAGATTCTACAAAAAGAGTGTTTCAAAACTGCTCCATCAAGAGGAGTGTTCAACTCTGTGCGTTGAAGGCAAATATCACAAGTAAGTTTCTGACAATACTTCTGTCTAGTATTTATGTGAAGATATTTCCTTTCCCATTGTAGGCCTCAAAACGCTCTAAATATACACTTGCAAATTCCACAAAAAGAGTGTTTCCAAACTGCTCTATCAAAGGAAGTTTAAACTCTGTCCGCTTAATGCAAGCATCACAAAACAGCTTCGGAAAATGAATCTGCCTAGTTTTTCTGTGAAGATATTTCTTTTTCTGCCATAGACCTCAAACTGATGTAAAAATCCACTTGGAAATTCTACAAAAAGAGTATTTCAAAACTCTTCTATCGAAAGGAGGTCTCAAATCCATGAGTTAAATGCACATATCACAAATAATTTTCTGAGGATTCTTCTTTCAAGTTTTATATGAAGAAATCCCGTTTCCAAAGATGGCCTCAGAAAAGTCCCAATATACACTTGCAGATTCTACAAAAAGAGTTTTTCAAAACTGCTCTATCAAAAGAAAGGATAACTCTGTGAGTTGAAGGCACACATCACAAAGTAGTTTCTGAGAATCATTCTGTCTAGTTTTTCTATGAAGATATTGCCTTTTCCACCATTGGCCTCAAACGGCGCTAAATATCCACTTGGAAATTCTACAAAAAGAGAGTTACAGAACTGCTCTATAGAAAGGAAGCTTCAACGTTGCGAGTTGAAAGCACACATCACGAAGAAGTTGATGAGAATTCTTCTGTCTACTTTTATATAAAGCAGTCACGTTTCAATCGAAGGCCACAAGAGGTCCAAATATCCACTTGGAGATTCAACAAAAAGAGTTTTTCAAAACTGCTCCATCAAGTGGAATATTCAACTCTGAGAGTTAAAGGCAGGTATCACAAAGTAGTTTCCGACAATGCTTCTGTCTAGATTTTATGTGAAGACATTCCCTTTTGTACGACAGGCCTGAAAGCACTCTAAATATAGAATTGCAAATTCCACAAAAAGAGTGTTTAAAAGCGCTCTATGCAAAGAAAGGTTAAACTCTGTCAGCTGAATGCGCACATCACAGAGTAGCTTCAGAGAACAATTATGTCTAGTTTTTCTGTGAAGATAGTTTCTCTTCTACATAGGCCTGAAACCGCTCTAAATATTCACTTGGAAATTCTACAAAAAGAATATTTCAACACTCTTCTATCAAAAGGAAGGTTGAACTCTGAGAGTTAAACGCACACATCACAGAGAAGATTCTGAGAATTCTTCTGTCAAGGTTTCTATGAAGAAATCCCGTTTCCAATGAAGGCCTCAAAAAAGTCCAAATATTTACTTGCAGATTCTACAGAAAGAGTGTTTCATAACTGGTCTATCAAAAGAAAGGTTAAACTCAGTGAGTTGAACCCACACATCACAAAGTAGTTTCTGAGAATCATTCTGTCTAGTCCTCCTATGAAGATATTGCCTTTTCTACCATAGGCCTCAAACGGCGCTAAATATCCACCTGGAAATTCTACAAAAACTGAGTTTCTAAGGTGCTCTATTGAAAGGAAGCTTCAACTCTGTGAGTTGAAGGTACACATCACAAAGAAGTTTCTGAGAATTCTTCTGTCTAGTTGTAAATGAAGAAATCACGTTTCAAACGAAGGCCACAAAGAGGTCCAAATATCCACCTGCAGATTCTACAAAAAGAGTGTTTCCAAACTGCTCCATCAAGAGGAATGTTCAACTCTGTGCGTTGAATGCAAATATCACAAATAAGTTTCTGACAATACTTCTGTCTAGTTTTTAGGTGAAGATATTTCCTTTCCTACTGTAGGCCTCAAAACGCTCTAAATATACACTTGCAAATTCCACAAAAAGAGTGTTTCCAAACTGCTCTATCAAAGGAAGTTTAAACTCTGTCAGCTGAATGCAAACATCACAAAACAGCTTCGGAGAATGAATCTGCCTAGTTTTTCTGTGAAGATATTTCTTTTGCTGCCATAGACCTCAAACCGCTGTAAAAATCCACTTGGGAATTCTACAAAAAGAGTATTTCAAAACTCTTCTATCGAAAGGAAGTTTCAACTCCATGAGTTAAATGCACATATCACAAATAATTTTCTGAGGATTCTTCTTTCAAGTTTTATATGAAGAAATCCCGTTTCCAAACATGGCCTCAGAAAAGTCCCAATATACACTTGCAGATTCTACAGAAAGAGTTTTTCAAAACTGCTCTACCAACAGAAAGGTGAAACTCTGTGAGTTGAAGGCACACATCACAAAGTAGTTTCTGAGAATCATTCTGTCTAGTTTTTCTATGAAGATATTGCCTTTTCCACCATAGGCCTCAAACGGCGCTAAATATCCACTTGGAAATTCTACAAAAAGAGAGTTACTAAACTGCTCTATCGAAAGGAAGCTTCAAGGCTGCGAGTTGAAAGCACACATCACGAAGAAGTTTATGAGAATTCTTCTGTCTACTTTTGTATGAAGCAGTCACGTTTCAAACGAAGGCCACAACGAGGTCCAAATATCCACTTGGAGATTCAACAAAAAGAGTTTTTCAAAACTGCTCCATCAAGAGGAATATTCAACTGCTGAGAGTTGAAGGCAGGTATCACAAAGTAGTTCCCGGCAATGCTTCTGTCTAGATTTTATGTGAAGACATTCCCTTTTGTACCACAGGCCTGAAACCACTCTAAATATAGAATTGCAAATTCCAAAAAAAGAGTGTTGAAAACCGCTCTATCCAAAGAAAGGTTAAACTCTGTCAGCTGAATGCGCACATCACAGAGCAGCTTCAGAGAACAGTTATGTCTAGTTTTTCCGTGAAGATAGTTTCTCTTCCACATAGGCCTGAGACGGCTCTAAATATTCACTTGGAAATTCTGCAAAAAGAATATTTCAACACTCTTCTATCAAAAGGAAGGTTGAACTCTGAGAGTTAAACGCACACATCACAGAGAAGTTTCTGAGAATTCTTCTGTCAAGGTTTATATGAAGAAACCCCGTTTCCAATGAAGGCCTCAAAAAAGTCCAAAGATTTACTTGCAGATTCTACAAAAAGAGTGTTTCATAAAGTGGTCTATCAAAAGAAAGGTTAAACTCAGTGAGTTGAACCCATACATCACAAAGTAGCTTCTGAGAATCATTCTGTCTAGTTCTCCTACGAAGATATTGCCTTTTCTACAATAGGCCTCAAACGGCGCTAAATATCCACCTGGAAATTCTACCAAAACTGAGTTTCAAAAGTGCTCTATTGAAAGGAAGCTTCACCTCTGTGGGTTGAAGGTACACATCACAAAGAAGTTTCTGAGAATTCTTCTGTCTAGTTGTAAATGAAGAAATCACGTTTCAAACGAAGGCCACAAAGAGGTCCAAATATCCACCTGCAGATTCTGCA
Source organism: Homo sapiens (assembly GCF_000001405.40). Classification (NCBI taxonomy): domain Eukaryota; kingdom Metazoa; phylum Chordata; class Mammalia; order Primates; family Hominidae; genus Homo; species Homo sapiens. Next base: position 91,057,134 of record NC_000003.12, on the reverse strand, counting down.
AAAAGAGTGTTTCAAAACTGCTCCATCAAGAGGAATGTTCAACTCTGTGCGTTGAATGCAAATATCACAAGTAAGTTTCTGACAATACTTCTGTCTAGTATTTATGTGAAGATATTTCCTTTCCCACTGTAGGCCTCAAAACGCTCTAAATATACACTTGCAAATTCCACAAAAACAGTGTTTCCAAACTGCTCTATCAAAGGAAGTTTAAACTCTGTCAGCTTAATGCAAGCATCACAAAACAGCTTCGGAGAATGAATCTGCCTAGTTTTTCTGTGAAGATATTCCTTTTTCTGCCATAGACCTCAAACCGCTGTAAAAATCCACTTGGAAATTCTACAAAAAGAGTATTTCAAAACTCTTCTATCGAAAGGAAGTTTCAACTCCATGAGTTAAATGCACATATCACAAATAATTTTCTGAGGATTCTTCCTTCAAGTTTTATAGGAAGAAATCCCGTTTCCCAAGATGGCCTCAGAAAAGTCCCAATATACACTTGCAGATTCTACAAAAAGAGTTTTTCAAAACTGCTCTATCAAAACAAAGGTTAAACTCTGTGAGTTGAAGGCACACATCACAAAGAAGTTTCTGAGAATCATTCTGTCTAGTTTTTCTATGAAGATATTGCCTTTTCCACCATTGGCCTCAAACGGCGCTAAATATCCACTTGGAAATTCTACAAAAAGAGAGTTACAGAACTGCTCTATCGAAAGGAAGCTTCAACGCTGCGAGTTGAAAGCACACATCACGAAGAAGTTGATGAGAATTCTTCTGTCTACTTTTGTATGAAGAAGTCACGTCTCAAATGAAGGCCACAAAGAGGTCCAAATATCTACTTGGAGATTCAACAAAAAGAGTTTTTCAAAACTGCTCCATCAAGAGGAACATTCAACTCTGAGAGTTGAAGGCAGGTATCACAAAGTAGTTTCCGACAATGCTTCTGTCTAGATTTTATGTGAAGATATTCCCTTTTGTACCACAGGCCTGAAAGCACTCTAAATATAGAATTGCAAATTCCACAAAAAGAGTGTTTAAAACCGCTCGATCCAAAGAAAGGTTAATCTCTGTAAGCTGAATGCGCACATCACAAAGTAGCTTCAGAGAACAATTGTGTCTAGTTTTTCTGTGAAGATATTTTCTCTTCTACATAGGCCTGAAACCGCTCTAAATATTCACTTGGAAATTCTACAAAAAGAATATTTCAACACTCTTCTATCAAAAGGAAGGTTGAAATCTGAGAGTTAAATGCACACATCACAAAGAAGTTTCTGAGAATTCTTCTGTCAAGGTTTATATGAAGAAACCCCGTTTCCAATGAAGGCCTCAAAAAAGTCCAAAAATTTACTTGCAGATTCCACAAAAAGAGTGTTTCATAACTGGTCTATCAAAAGAAAGGTTAAACTCAGTGAGTTGAACCCACACATCACAAAGTAGCTTCTGAGAATCATTCTGTCTAGTTCTCCTACGAACATATTGCCTTTTCTACCATAGGCCTCAAACGGCGCTGAATATCCACCTGGAAATTCTACCAAAACTGAGCTTCAAAAGTGCTCTATTGAAAGGAAGCTTCACCTCTGTGAGCTGAAGGTACACATCACAAAGAAGTTTCTGAGAATTCTTCTGTCTAGTTGTAAATGAAGAAATCACGTTTCACACGAAGGCCACAAAGAGGTCCAAATATCCACTTGCAGATTCCACAAAAAGAGTGCTTCAAAACGGCTCCATCAAGAGGAATGTTCAACTCCGTGCGTTGAATGCAAATATCACAGATAAGTTTCTGACAATACTTCTGTCTAGTTTTTAGGTGAAGATATTTCCTTTCCTACTGTAGGCCTCAAAACGCTCTAAATATACACTTGCAAATTCCACAAAAAGAGTGTTTCCAAACTGCTCTCTCAAAGGAAGTTTAAACTCTGTCAGCTGAATGCGAGCATCACAAAACAGCTTCGGAGAATGAATCTGCCTAGTTTTTCTGTGAAGATATTTCTCTTGCTGCCATAGACCTCAAACCGCTGTAAAAATCCACTTGGAAATTCTTCAAATGAGTATTTCAAAACTCTTCTATCGAAAGGAAGCTTCAACTCCATGAGTTAAATGCACAGATCACAAATAATTTTCTGAGGATTCTTCTTTCAAATTTTATATGAAGAAATCCCGTTTCCAAAGATGGCCTCAGAAAAGTCCCAAGATACACTTGCAGATTCTACAAAAAGAGTTTTTCAAAACTGCTCTATCAAAAGAAAGGTTAAACTCTGTGAGTTGAAGGCACACATCACAAAGTAGTTTACTGAGAATCATTCTGTCTAGTTTTTCTATGAAGATATTGCCTTTTCCACCATAGGCCTCAAACGGCGCTAAATATCCTCTTGGAAATTCTACAAAAAGAGAGTTACAAAACTGCTCTATCGAAAGGAAGCTGCAACTCTGCGAGTTGAAAGCACACATCGCGAAGAAGTTGATGAGAATTCTTCTGTCTAGTTTTGTATGAAGAAGTCACGTCTCAAACGAAGGCCACAAAGAGGTCCAAATATCCACTTGGAGATTCCACAAAAAGAGTTTTTCAAAACTGCTCCGTCAAGAGGAATATTCAACTCTGAGAGTTGAAGGCAGGTATCACAAAGTAGTTTCCGACAACGCTTCTGTCTAGATTTTATGTGAAGACATTCCCTTTTGTACCACAGGCCTGAAAGCACTCTAAATATAGAATTGCAAATTCCACAAAAAGAGTGTTTAAAACCGCTCTATCCAAAGAAAGGTTAAACTCTGTCAGCTGAAGGCGCACATCACAATGTAGCTTCAGAGAACAATTATGTCTAGTTTTTCCGTGAAGATAGTTTCTCTTCCACATAGGCCTGAGACCGCTCTAAATATTCACTTGGAAATTCTGCAAAAAGAATATTTCAACACTCTTCTATCAAAAGGAAGGTTGAACTCTGAGAGTTAAACGCACACATCACAGAGAAGTTTCTGAGAATTCTTCTGTCAAGGTTTATATGAAGAAACCCCGTTTCCAATGAAGGCCTCAAAAAAGTCCAAAAATTTACTTGCAGATTCCACAGAAAGAGTGTTTCATAACTGGTCTATCAAAAGAAAGGTTAAACTCAGTGAGTTGAACCCACACATCACAAAGTAGCTTCTGAGAATCATTGTGTCTAGTTCTCCTACGAAGATATTGCCTTTTCTACCATAGGCCTCAAACGGCGCTAAATATCCACCTGGAAATTCTACCAAAACTGAGCTTCAAAAGTGCTCTATTGAAAGGAAGCTTCACCTCTGTGAGTTGAAGGTACACATCACAAAGAAGTTTCTGAGAATTCTTCTGTCTAGTTGTAAATGAAGAAATCACGTTTCAAACGAAGGCCACAAAGAGGTCCAAATATCCACCTGCAGATTCTGCAAAAAGAGGGTTTCAAAACTGCTCCATCAAGAGGAATGTTCAACTCTGTGCGTTGAATGCAAATATCACAAGTAAGTTTCTGACAATACTTCTGTCTAGTTTTTAGGTGAAGATATTTCCTTTCCTACTGTAGGCCTCAAAGCGCTCTAAATATACACTTGCAAATTCCACAAAAAGAGTGTTTCCAAACTGCTCTATCAAAGGAAGTTTAAACTCTGTCAGCTGAATGCAAGCATCACAAAACAGCTTCGGAGAATGAATCTGCCTAGTTTTTCTGTGAAGATATTTCTTTTTCTGCCATAGACCTCAAACCGCTGTAAAAATCCACTTGGAAATTCTACAAAAAGAGTATTTCAAAACTCTTCTATCGAAAGGAATTCTCAACTCCATGAGTTAAATGCACATATCACAAATAATTTTCTGAGGATTCTTCTTTGAAGTTTTATATGAGGAAATCCCGTTTCCAAAGAGGGCCTCAGAAAAGTCCCAATATACCCTTGCAGATTCTACAAAAAGAGTTTTTCAAAACTGCTCTATCCAAAGAAAGGTTAAACTCTGTGAGTTGAAGGCACACATCACAAAGTAGTTTCTGAGAATCATTCTGTCTAGTTTTTCTATGAAGATATTGCCTTTTCCACCATTGGCCTCAAACGGCGCTAAATATCCACTTGGAAATTCTACAAAAAGAGAGTTACAGAACTGCTCTATCGAAAGGAAGCTTCAACGCTGCGAGTTGAAAGCACACATCACGAAGAAGTTGATGAGAATTCTTCTGTCTACTTTTGTATGAAGCAGTCACGTTTCAAACGAAGGCCACAAAGAGGTCCAAATATCCACTTGGAGATTCAACAAAAAGAGTTTTTCAAAACTGCTCCGTCAAGAGGAATATTCAACTCTGCGAGTTGAACGCTGGTATCACAAAGTAGTTCCCGACAATGCTTCTGTCTAGATTTTATGTGAAGACATTCCCTTTTGTACCACAGGCCTGAAAGCACTCTAAATACAGAATTGCAAATTCCACAAAAAGAGGGTTTAAAACTGCTCTATGTAAAGAAAGGTTAAACTCTGTCAGCTGAATGCGCACATCACAGAGTAGCTTCAGAGAACAATTATGTCTAGTTTTTCTGTGAAGATATTTTCTCTTCTACTTATGCCTGAAACCGCTCTAAATATTCACTTGAAATTCTACAAAAAGAATATTTCAACCCTCTTCTATCAAAAGGAAGGTTGAACTCTGAGAGTTAAATGCACACATCACAGAGAAGTTTCTGGGAATTCTTCTGTCAAGGTTTATATGAGGAGATCCCGTTTCCAATGAAGGCCTCAAAAAAGTCCAAATATTTACTTGCAGATTCTACAAAAAGTGTGTTTCATAACTGGTCTATCAAAAGAAAGGTTAAACTCCGTGAGTTGAACGCACACATCACAAAGTTGTTTCTGAGAATCATTCTGTCTAGTTCTCCTACGAAGATATTGCCTTTTCTACCATAGGCCTCAAACGGCGCTAAATATCCACCTGGAAATTCTACCAAAACTGAGCTTCAAAAGTGCTCTATTGAAAGGAAGCTTCACCTCTGTGAGTTGAAGGTACTCATCACAAAGAAGTTTCTGAGAATTCTTCTGTCTAGTTGTAAATGAAGAAATCACGTTTCAAAAGAAGGCCACAAAGAGGTCCAAATATCCACCTGCAGATTCTACAAAAAGAGTGTTTCAAAACTGCTCCATCAAGAGGAATGTTCAACTCTGTTCGTTGAATGCAAATATCACAAGTAAGTTTCTGAGAATACTTCTGTATAGTTTTTATGTGAAGATATTTCCTTTCCTACTGTAGGCCTCAAAACGCTCTAAATATACACTTGCAAATTCCACAAAAAGAGTGTTTCCAAACTGCTCTATCAAAGGAGGTTTAAACTCTGTCCGCTTAATGCAAGCATCACAAAACAGCTTCGGAGAATGAATCTGCCTAGTTTTTCTGTGAAGATATTTCTTTTCCTGGCATAGACCTCAAACCGCTGTAAAAATCCACTTGGAAATTCTACAAAAAGAGTATTGCAAAGCTCTTCTATCGAAAGGAAGTTTCAAATCCATGAGTTAAATGCACATATCACAAATAATTTTCTGAGGATTCTTCTTTCAAGTTTTATATGAAGAAATCCCGTTTCCAAACATGGCCTCAGAAAAGTCCCAATATACACTTGCAGATTCTACAGAAAGAGTTTTTCAAAACTGCTCTACCAACAGAAAGGTTAAACTCTGTGAGTTGAAGGCACACATCACAAAGTAGTTTCTGAGAATCATTCTGTCTAGTTTTTCTATGAAGATATTGCCTTTTCCACCATTGGCCTCAAACGGCGCTAAATATCCACTTGGAAATTCTACAAAAAGAGAGTTACAGAACTGCTCTATCGAAAGGAAGCTTCAACGCTGCGAGTTGAAAGCACACATCACGAAGAAGTTGATGAGAATTCTTCTGTCTACTTTTGTATGAAGCAGTCACGTTTCAAACGAAGGCCACAAAGACGTCCAAATATCCACTTGGAGATTCAACAAAAAGAGTTTTACAAAACTGCTCCATCAAGAGGAATATTCAATTCTGAGAGTTGAAGGCAGGTATCACAAAGTAGTTTCCGACAATGCTTCTGTCTAGATTTTATGTGAAGACATTCCCTTTTGTACCACAGGCCTGAAAGCACTCTAAATATAGAATTGCAAATTCCACAAAAAGAGTGTTTAAAACCGCTCTATCCAAAGAAAGGTTCAACTCTGTCAGCTGAAGGCGCACATCACAAAGTAGCTTCAGAGAACAATTATGTCTAGTTTTTCCGTGAAGATAGATTCTCTTCCACATAGGCCTGAGACCGCTCTAAATATTCACTTGGAAATTCTGCAAAAAGAATATTTCAACACTCTTCTATCAAAAGGAAGGTTGAACTCTGAGAGTTAAACGCACACATCACAGAGAAGTTTCTGAGAATTCTTCTGTCAAGGTTTATATGAAGAAACCCCGTTTCCAATGAAGGCCTCAAAAAAGTCCAAATATTTACTTGCAGATTCCACAAAAAGAGTGTTTCATAACTGGTCTATCAAAAGAAAGGTTAAACTCAGTGAGTTGAACCCACACATCACAAAGTAGCTTCTGAGAATCATTCTGTCTAGTTTTCCTACGAAGATATTGCCTTTTCTACCATAGGCCTCAAACGGCGCTAAATATCCACCTGGAAATTCTACAAAAACTGAGTTTCAAAAGTGCTCTATTGAAAGGAAGCTTCAACTCTGTGAGTTGAAGGTACACATCACAAAGAAGCTTCTGAGAATTCATCTGTCTAGTTGTAAATGAAGAAATCACGTTTCCCACGAAGGCCACAAAGAGGTCCAAATATCCACTTGCAGATTCCACAAAAAGAGTGCTTCAAAACGGCTCCATCAAGAGGAATGTTCAACTCGGTGCGTTGAATGCAAATATCACAAATAAGTTTCTGACAATACTTCTGTCTAGTTTTTAGGTGAAGATATTTCCTTTCCTACTGTAGGCCTCAAAGCGCTCTAAATATACACTTGCAAATTCCACAAAAAGAGTGTTTCCAAACTGCTCTATCAAAGGAAGTTTAAACTCTGTCAGCTGAATGCAAGCATCACAAAACAGCTTCGGAGAATGAATCTGCCTAGTTTTTGTGTGAAGATATTTCTTTTTCTGCCATAGACCCCGAACGGCTGTAAAAATCCACTTGGAAATTCTACAAAAAGAGAATTTCAAAGCTCTTCTATCGAAAGGAAGTTTCAGCTCCATGAGTTAAATGCACATATCACAAATAATTTTCTGAGGATTCTTCTTTCAAATTTTATATGAAGAAATCCCGTTTCCAAAGATGGTCTCAGAAAAGTCCCAATATACACTTGCAGATTCTACAAAAAGAGTTTTTCAAAACTGCTCTATCAAAAGGAAGGTTAAACTCTGTGAGTAGAAGGCACACATCACAGAGTAGTTTCTGAGAATCATTCTGTCTAGTTTTTCTATGAAGATATCGCCTTCTCCACCATAGGCCTCAAATGGCGCTAAATATCCACTTGGAAATTCTACAAAAAGAGAGTTACAAGACTGCTCTATCGAAAGGAAGCTTCAACTCTGCGAGTTGAAAGCACACATCACGAAGAAGTTTATGAGAATTCTTATGTCTACTTTTGTATGAAGCAGTCACGTTTCAAACGAAGGCCACAGAGAGGTCCAAATATCCACTTGGAGATTCAACAAAAAGAGTTTTTCAAAACTGCTCCATCAAGAGGAATATTCAACTCTGAGAGTTGAAGGCAGGTATCACAAAGTAGTTTCCGACAATGCTTCTGTCTAGATTTTATGTGAAGACATTCCCTTTTGTACGACAGGCCTGAAAGCACTCTAAATATAGAATTGCAAATTCCACAAAAAGAGTGTTTAAAAGCGCTCTATCCAAAGAAAGGTTAAACTCTGTCAGCTGAATGCGCACATCACAGAGTAGCTTCAGAGAACAATTATGTCTAGTTTTTCCGTGAAGATAGTTTCTCTTCCACATAGGCCTGAGACCGCTCTAAATATTCACTTGGAAATTCTGCAAAAAGAATATTTCAACACTCTTCTATCAAAAGGAAGGTTGAACTCTGAGAGTTAAACGCACACATCACAGAGAAGTTTCTGAGAATTCTTCTGTCAAGGTTTATATGAAGAAACCCCGTTTCCAATGAAGGCCTCAAAAAAGTCCAAAAATTTACTTGCAGATTCCACAAAAAGAGTGTTTCATAACTGGTCTATCAAAAGAAAGGTTAAACTCAGTGAGTTGAACCCACACATCACAAAGTAGCTTCTGAGAATCATTCTGTCTAGTTCTCCTACGAAGATATTGCCTTTTCTACCATAGGCCTCAAACGGCGCTAAATATCCACCTGGAAATTCTACCAAAACTGAGCTTCAAAAGTGCTCTATTGAAAGGAAGCTTCACCTCTGTGAGTTGAAGGTACTCATCACAAAGAAGTTTCTGAGAATTCTTCTGTCTAGTTGTAAATGAAGAAATCACGTTTCAAAAGAAGGCCACAAAGAGGTCCAAATATCCACCTGCAGATTCTACAAAAAGAGTGTTTCAAAACTGCTCCATCAAGAGGAATGTTCAACTCTGTTCGTTGAATGCAAATATCACAAGTAAGTTTCTGAGAATACTTCTGTATAGTTTTTATGTGAAGATATTTCCTTTCCTACTGTAGGCCTCAAAACGCTCTAAATATACACTTGCAAATTCCACAAAAAGAGTGTTTCCAAACTGCTCTATCAAAGGAGGTTTAAACTCTGTCCGCTTAATGCAAGCATCACAAAACAGCTTCGGAGAATGAATCTGCCTAGTTTTTCTGTGAAGATATTTCTTTTCCTGGCATAGACCTCAAACCGCTGTAAAAATCCACTTGGAAATTCTACAAAAAGAGTATTGCAAAGCTCTTCTATCGAAAGGAAGTTTCAAATCCATGAGTTAAATGCACATATCACAAATAATTTTCTGAGGATTCTTCTTTCAAGTTTTATATGAAGAAATCCCGTTTCCAAAGATGGCCTCAGAAAAGTCCCAATATACACTTGCAGATTCTACAAAAAGAGTTTTTCAAAACTGCTCTATCAAAAGAAAGGTTAAACTCTGTGAGTTGAAGGCACACATCACAAAGTAGTTTCTGAGAATCATTCTGTCTAGTTTTTCTATGAAGATATTGCCTTTTCCACCATAGGCCTCAAACGGCGCTAAATATCCACTTGGAAATTCTACAAAAAGAGAGTTACTAAACTGCTCTATCGAAAGGAAGCTTCAACGCTGCGAGTTGAAAGCACACATCACGAAGAAGTTTATGAGAATTCTTCTGACTACATTTGTGTGAAACAGTCACGTTTCAAACGAAGGCCACAAAGAGGTCCAAATATCCACTTGGAGATTCAACAAAAAGAGTTTTTCAAAACTGCTCCATCAAGAGGAATATTCAACTCTGAGAGTTGAAGGCAGGTATCGCAATGTAGTTCCCGACAATGCTTCTGTCTAGATTTTATGTGAGGACATTCTCTTTTGTACCACAGGCTGAAAGCACTCTAAATATAGAATTGCAAATTCCACAAAAAGAGTGTTTAAAACCGCTCTATCCAAAGAAAGGTTAAACTCTGTAAGCTGAATGCGCACATCGCAAAGTAGCTTCAGAGAACAATTATGTCTAGTTTTTCTGTGAAGATAGTTTCTCTTCTACATAGGCCTGAAACCGCTCTAAATATTCACTTGGAAATTCTGCAAAAAGAATATTTCAACACTCTTCTATCAAAAGGAAGGTTGAACTCTGAGAGTTAAACGCACACATCACAGAGAAGTTTCTGAGAATTCTTCTGTCAAGGTTTATATGAAGAAACCCCGTTTCCAATGAAGGCCTCAAAAAAGTCCAAAAATTTACTTGCAGATTCCACAAAAAGAGTGTTTCATAACTGGTCTATCAAAAGAAAGGTTAAACTCAGTGAGTTGAACCCACACATCACAAAGTAGCTTCTGAGAATCATTCAGTCTAGTTCTCCTACGAAGATATTGCCTTTTCTACCATAGGCCTCAAACGGCGCTAAATATCCACCTGGAAATTCTACCAAAACTGAGTTTCAAAAGTGCTCTATTGAAAGGAAGCTTCACCTCTGTGAGTTGAAGGTACACATCACAAAGAAGTTTCTGAGAATTCTTCTGTCTAGTTGTAAATGCAGAAATCACGTTTCAAACGAAGGCCACAAAGAGGTCCAAATATCCAGCTGCAGATTCTGCAAAAAGAGGGTTTCAAATCTGCTCCATCAAGAGGAATGTTCAACTCTGTGCGTTGAATGCAAATATCACAAATAAGTTTCTGACAATACTTCTGTCTAGTTTTTATGTGAAGATATTTCCTTTCCTACTGTGGGCCTCAAACCGCTCTAAATATACACTTGCAAATTCCACAAGAAGAGTGTTTCAAAACTGCTCTATCAAAGGAACTTTAAACTCTGTAAGCTTAATGCAAGCATCACAAAACAGCTTCGGAGAATGAATCTGCCTAGTTTTTCTGTGAAGATATTCCTTTTTCTGCCATAGACCTCAAACCGCTGTAAAAATCCACTGGAAATTCTACAAAAAGAGTATTTCAAAACTCTTCTATCGAAAGGAAGTTGCAACTCCATGAGTTAAACGCACATATCACAAATAATTTTCTGAGGATTCTTCTTTGAAGTTTTATATGAAGAAATCCCGTTTCCAAAGATGGCCTCAGATAAGTCCCAATATACACTTGCAGATTCTACAAAAAGAGCTTTTCAAAACTGCTCTACCAAAAGAAAGGTTAAACTCTGTGAGTTGAAGGCACACATGACAAAGCAGTTTCTGAGAATCATTCTGTCTAGTTTTTCTATGAAGATATCGCCTTCTCCACCATAGGCCTCAAGCGGCACTAAATATCCACTTGGAAATTCTACAAAAAGAGATTTACAAGACTGCTCTATCGAAAGGAAGCTTCAACTCTGCGAGTTGAAAGCACACATCACGAAGAAGTTTATGAGAATTCTTCTGTCTAGTTTTGTATGAAGAAGTCACTTTTCAAACGAAGACCACAAAGAGGCCCAAATATCCACTTGGAGATTCAACAAAAAGAGATTTTCAAAACTGCTCCATCACGAGGAATATTCAACTCGGAGAGATGAAGGCAGGTATCACAAAGTAGTTTCCGACAATGCTTCTGTCTAGATTTTATGTGAAGATATTCCCTTTTGTACCAGAGGCCTGAAAGCACTCTAAATATAGAATTGCAAATTCCACAAAAAGAGTGTTTAAAACCGCTCTATCCAAAGAAAGGTTAATCTCTGTAAGCTGAATGCGCACATCACAAAGTAGCTTCAGAGAACAATTATGTCTAGTCTTTCTGGGAAGATATTTTCTCTTCTACATAGGCCTGAAACCGCTCTAAATATTCACTTGGAAATTCTACAAAAAGAATGCTTCAACACTCTTCCATCAAAAGGAAGGTTGAACTCTGAGAGTTAAACGCACACATCACAGAGAAGTTTCTGAGAATTCTTCTGTCAAGGTTTATATGAAGAAATCCCGTTTCCAATGAAGGCCTCAAAAAAGTCCAAATATTTACTTGCAGATTCTACAAAAAGAGTGTTTCATAACTGGTCTATCAAAAGAAAGGTTAAACTCAGTGAGTTGAACCCACACATCACAAAGTAGTTTCCTGAGAATCATTCTGTCTAGTTCTCCTACGAAGATATTGCCTTTTCTACCATAGGCCTCAAACGGCGCTAAATATCCACCTGGAAATTCTACCAAAACTGAGCTTCAAAAGTGCTCTATTGAAAGGAAGCTTCACCTCTGTGAGTTGAAGGTACACATCACAAAGAAGTTTCTGAGAAGTCTTCTGTCTAGTTGTAAATGAAGAAATCACGTTTCAAACGAAGGCCACAAATAGGTCCAAATATCCACCTGCAGATTCTGCAAAAAGAGTGTTTCAAAACTGCTCCATCAAGAGGAATGTTCAACTCTGTGCGTTGAATGCAAATATCACAAGTAAGTTTCTGACAATACTTCTGTGTAGTTTTTATGTGAAGATATTTCCTTTCCTACTGTAGGCCTCAAAACGCTCTAAAGATACACTTGCAAATTCCACAAAAAGAGTGTTTCCAAACTGCTCTCTCAAAGGAAGTTTAAACTCTGTCCGCTTAATGCAAGCATCACAAAACAGCTTCGGAGAATGAATCTGCCTAGTTTTTCTGTGAAGATATTTCTTTTTCTGCCATAGACCTCAAACCGCTGTAAAAATCCACTTGGAAATTCTACAAAAAGAGTATTTCAAAACTCTTCTATCGAAAGGAAGTCTCAACTCCATGAGTTAAATGCACATATCACAAATAATTTTCTGAGGATTCTTCTTTCAAGTTTTATATGAAGAAATCCCGTTTCCAAAGATGGCCTCAGAAAAGTCCCAATATACACTTGCAGATTCTACAAAAAGAGTTTTTCAAAACTGCTCTACCAAAAGGAAGGTTAAACTCTGTGAGTTGAAGGCAAACATCACAAAGTAGTTTCTGAGAATCATTCTGTCTAGTTTTTCTATGAAGATATTGCCTTTTCCACCATAGGCCTCAAACGGCGCTAAATATCCACTTGGAAATTCTACAAAAAGAGAGTTACTAAACTGCTCTATCGAAAGGAAGCTTCAACGCTGCGAGTTGAAAGCACACATCACCAAGAAGTTTATGAGAATTCTTCTGTCTACTTTTGTATGAAGCAGTCACGTTTCAAAAGAAGGCCACAACGAGGTCCAAATATCCACTTGGAGATTCAACAAAAAGAGTTTTTCAAAACTGCTCTGTCAAGAGGAATATTCAACTCTGCGAGTTGAAGGCTGGTATCACAAAGTAGTTCCCGACAATGCTTCTGTCTAGATTTTATGTGAGGACATTCCCTTTTGTACCACAGGCCTGAAAGCACTCTAAATATAGAACTGCAAATTCCACAAAAAGAGTGTTTAAAACCGCTCTATCCAAAGAAAGGTTAAACTCTGTAAGCTGAATGCACACATCACAAAGTAGCTTCAGAGAACAATTATGTCTAGTTTTTCCGTGAAGATAGTTTCTCTTCTACATAGGCCTGAGACCGCTCTAAATATTCACTTGGAAATTCTGCAAAAAGAATATTTCAACACTCTTCTATCAAAAGGAAGGTTGAACTCTGAGAGGTAAACACACACATCACAGAGAAGTTTCTGAGAATTCTTCTGTCAAGGTTTATATGAGGAAACCCCGTTTCCAATGAAGGCCTCAAAAAAGTCCAAATATTTACTTGCAGATTCCAGAAAAAGAGTGTTTCATAACTGGTCTATCAAAAGAAAGGTTAAACTCAGTGAGTTGAACCCACACATCACAAGGTAGCTTCTGAGAATCATTCTGTCTAGTTCTCCTACGGAGATATTGCCTTTTCTACCATAGGCCTCAAACGGCGCCAAACATCCACCTGGAAATTCTACCAAAACTGAGTTTCAAAAGTGCTCTATTGAAAGGAAGCTTCACCTCTGTGAGTTGAAGGTACACATCACTAAGAAGTTTCTGAGAATTCTTCTGTCTAGTTGTAAATGAAGAAATCACGTTTCAAACGAAGGCCACAAAGAGGTCCAAATATCCACCTGCAGATTCTACAAAAAGAGTGTTTCCAAACTGCTCCATCAAGAGGATTGTTCAACTCGGTGCGTTGAATGCAAATATCACAAATAAGTTTCTGACAATACTTCTGTCTAGTTTTTATGTGAAGATATTTCCTTTCCTACTGTAGGCCTCAAAACGCTCTAAATATACACTTGCAAATTCCACAAAAAGAGTGTTTCCAAACTGCTCTATCAAAGGAAGTTTGAACTCTGTCCGCTTAATGCAAGCATCACAAAACAGCTTCGGAGAATGAATCTGCCTAGTTTTTCTGTGAAGATATTTCTTTTTCTGCCATAGACCTCAAACCGCTGTAAAAATCCACTTGGAAATTCTACAAAAAGAGGATGTCAAAACTCTTCTATCGAAAGGAAGTTTCAATTCCATGAGTTAAATGCACATATCACAAATAATTTTCTGAGGATTCTTCTTTCAAGTTTTATATGAAGAAATCCCGTTTCCAAAGATGGCCTCAGAAAAGTCCCAATATACACTTGCAGATTCTACAAAAAGAGTTTTTCAAAACTGCTCTACCAAAAGGAAGGTTAAACTCTGTGAGTTGAAGGCACACATCACAAAGTAGTTTCTGAGAATCATTCTGTCTAGTTTTTCTATGAAGATATTGCCTTTTCCACCATAGGCCTCAAACGGCGCTAAATATCCACTTGGAAATTCTACAAAAAGAGAGTTACTAAACTGCTCTATCGAAAGGAAGCTTCAACTCTGCGAGTTAAAAGCACACATCACGAAGTAGTTTATGAGAATTCTTCTGTCTACTTTTGTATGAAGCAGTCACGTTTCAAACGAAGGCCACAAAGAGGTCCAAATATCCACTTGGAGATTCAACAAAAAGAGTTTTTCAAAACTGCTCCATCAAGAGGAATATTCAACTCTGAGAGTTGAAGGCAGGTATCCCAAAGTAGTTCCCGACAATGCTTCTGTCTAGATTTTATGTGAAGACATTCCCTTTTGTACCACAGGCCTGAAAGCACTCTAAATACAGAATTGCAAATTCCACAAAAAGAGGGTTTAAAACCGCTCTATGCAAAGAAAGGTTAAACTCTGCCAGCTGAATGCGCACATCACAGAGTAGCTTCAGAGAACAATTGTGTCTAGTTTTTCTGTGGAGATATTTTCTCTTCTACATAGGCCTGAAACCGCTCTAAATATTCACTTGGAAATTCTACAAAAAGAATATTTCAACACTCTTCTATCAAAAGGAAGGTTGAACTCTGAGAGTTTAACGCACACATCACAGAGAAGTTTCTGAGAATTCTTCTGTCAAGGTTTATATGAAGAAACCCCGTTTCCAATGAAGGCCTCAAAAAAGTCCAAATATTTACTTGCAGATTCCACAAAAAGAGTGTTTCATAACTGGTCTATCAAAAGAAAGGTTAAACTCAGTGAGTTGAACCCACACATCACAAACTAGCTTCTGAGAATCATTCTGTCTAGTTCTCCTACGAAGATATTGCCTTTTCTACCATAGGCCTCAAACGGCGCTAAATATCCACCTGGAAATTCTACCAAAACTGAGTTTCAAAAGTGCTCTAGTGAAAGGAAGCTTCACCTCTGTGAGTTGAAGGTACACATCACAAAGAAGTTTCTGAGAATTCTTCTGTCTAGTTGTAAATGAAGAAATCACGTTTCCCACGAAGGCCACAAAGAGGTCCAAATATCCACTTGCAGATTCCACAAAAAGAGTGCTTCAAAACGGCTCCATCAAGAGGAATGTTCAACTCCGTGCGTTGAATGCAAATATCACAAATAAGTTTCTGACAATACTTCTGTCTAGTTTTTAGGTGAAGGTATTTCCTTTCCTACTGTAGGCCTCAAAACGCTCTAAATATACACTTGCAAATTCCACAAAAAGAGTGTTTCAAAACTGCTCTATCAAAGGAAGTTTAAACTCTGTCAGCTGAATGCAAGCGTCACAAAACAGCTTCGGAGAATGGATCTGCCTAGTTTTTCTGTGAAGATATTTCTTTTTCTGCCATAGACCTCAAACCGCTGTAAAAATCCACTTGGAAATTCTACAAAAAGAGTATTTCAAAACTCTTCTATCGAAAGGAAGTCTCAACTCCATGAGTTAAATGCACATATCACAAATAATTTTCTGAGGATTCTTCTTTGAAGTTTTATATGAAGAAATCCCGTTTCCAAAGATGGCCTCAGAAAAGTCCCAATATACCCTTGCAGATTCTACAAAAAGAGTTTTTCAAAACTGCTCTATCCAAAGAAAGGTTAAACTCTGTGAGTTGAAGGCACACATCACAATGTAGTTTCTGAGAATCATTCTGTCTAGTTTTTCTAGGAAGATATTGCCTTTTCCACCATAAGCCCCAAACGGCGCCAAATATCCACTTGGAAATTCTACAAAAAGAGAGTCACAAAACTGCTCTATCGAAAGGAAGCTTCAACGCTGCGAGTTGAAAGCACACATCACGAAGAAGTTTATGAGAATTCTTCTGTCTACTTTTGTGTGAAGCAGTCACGTTTCAAACGAAGGCCACAAAGAGGTCCAAATATCCACTTGGAGATTCAACAAAAAGAGTTTTTCAAAACTGCTCCATCAAGAGGAATATTCAACTCTGAGAGTTGAAGGCAGGTATCCCAAAGTAGTTCCCGACAATGCTTCTGTCTAGATTTTATGTGAAGACATTCCCTTTTGTACCACAGGCCTGAAAGCACTCTAAATATGGAACTGCAAATTCCACAAAAGGAGTGTTTAAAACCGCTCTATCCAAAGAAAGTTTAAATTCTGTCAGCTGAATGCGCACATCACAGAGTAGCTTCAGAGAACAATTATGTCTAGTTTTTCTGTGAAGATAGTTTCTCTTCTACATAGGCCTGAGACCGCTCTAAATATTCACTTGGAAATTCTACAAAAAGAATATTTCAACACTCTTGTATCAAAAGGAAGGTTGAACTCTGAGAGTTAAACGCACACATCACAGAGAAGTTTCTGAGAATTCTTCTGTCAAGGTTTATATGAAGAAATCCCGTTTCCAATGAAGGCCTCAAAAAAGTCCAAATATTTACTTGCAGATTCTACAAAAAGAGTGTTTCATAACTGGTCTATCAAAAGAAAGGTTAAACTCAGTGAGTTGAACGCACACATCACAAAGTTGTTTCTGAGAATCATTCTGTCTAGTTCTCCTACGAAGATATTGCCTTTTCTACCATAGGCCTCAAACGGCGCTAAATATCCACCTGGAAATTCTACCAAAACTGAGCTTCAAAAGTGCTCTATTGAAAGGAAGCTTCACCTCTGTGAGTTGAAGGTACTCATCACAAAGAAGTTTCTGAGAATTCTTCTGTCTAGTTGTAAATGAAGAAATCACATTTCACACGAAGGCCACAAAGAGGTCCAAATATCCACTTGCAGATTCTACAAAAAGAGTGTCTCAAAACGGCTCCATCAAGAGGAATGTTCAATTCTGTGCGTTGAATGCAAATATCACAAATAAGTTTCTGACAATACTTCTGTGTAGTTTTTATGTGAAGATATTTCCTTTCCTACTGTAGGCCTCAAAACACTCTAAATATACACTTGCAAATTCCACAAAAATAGTGTTTCCAAACTGATCTATCAAAGGAAGTTTAAACTCTGTCAGCTTAATGCAAGCATCACAAAACAGCTTCGGAGAATGAATCTGCCTAATTTTTCTGTGAAGATATTACTTTTTCTGCCATAGACCTCAAACCGTTGTAAAAATCCACTTGGAAATTCTACAAAAAGAGTATTTCAAAACTCTTCTATCGAAAGGAACTCTCAACTCCATGAGTTAAATGCACATATCACAAATAATTTTCTGAGGATTCTTCTTTCAAGTTTTATATGAAGAAATCCCGTTTCCAAAGATGGCCTCAGAAAAGTCCCAATATACACTTGCAGATTCTACAAAAAGAGTTTTTCAAAACTGATCTACCAAAAGGAAGGTTAAACTCTGTGAGTTGAAGGCACACGTCACAAAGTAGTTTCTGAGAATCATTCTGTCTAGTTTTTCTATGAAGATATTGCCTTTTCCACCATAGGCCTCAAACGGCGCTAAATATCCACTTGGAAATTCTACAATAAGAGAGTTACAGAACTGCTCTATCGAAAGGAAGCTTCAACGCTGCGAGTTGAAAGCACACATCACGAAGAATTTTATGAGAATTCTTTCTGTCTACTTTTGTATGAAGCAGTCACGTTTCAAACGAAGGCCACAAAGAGGTCCAAATATCCACTTGGAGATTCAACAAAAAGAGTTTTTCAAAACTGCTCCGTCAAGAGGAATATTCAACTCTGAGAGTTGAAGGCAGGTATCACAAAGTAGTTCCCGGCAATGCTTCTGTCTAGATTTTATGTGAAGACATTCCCTTTTGTACCAGAGGCCTGAAAGCACTCTAAAGATAGAATAGCAAATTCCACAAAAAGAGGGTTTAAAACCGCTCTATCCAACGAAAGGTTAAACTCTGTCAGCTGAATGCGCACATCACAGAGTAGCTTCAGAGAACAATTATGTCTAGTTTTTCTGTGAAGATATTTTCTCTTCTACTTAGGCCTGAAACCGCTCTAAATATTCACTTGGAAATTCTACAAAAAGAAAATTTCAACCCTCTTCTATCAAAAGGAAGGTTGAACTCTGAGAGTTAAATGCACACATCACAGAGAAGTTTCTGGGAATTCTTCTGTCAAGGTTTATATGAAGAGATCCCGTTTCCAATGAAGGCCTCAAAAAAGTCCAAATATTTACCTGCAGATTCTACAAAAAGAGTGTTTCATAACTGGTCTATCAAAAGAAAGGTTAAACTCCGTGAGTTGAACGCACACATCACAAAGTTGTTTCTGAGAATCATTCTGTCTAGTTTTTCTACGAAGATATTGCCTTTTCCACCATAGGCCTCAAACGGCGCTAAATATCCACCTGGAAATTCTACAGAAACTGAGTTTCAAAAGTGCTCTATTGAAAGGAGGCTTCAACTCTGTGAGTTGAAAGTACACATCACAAAGAAGTTACTGAGAATTCTTCTGTCTAGTTGTAAATGAAGAAATCACGTTTCAAACGAACGCCACAAAGAGGTCCAAATATCCACCTGCAGATTCTACAAAAAGAGTGTTTCAAAACTGCTCCATCAAGAGGAATGTTCAACTCGGTGCGTTGAATGCAAATATCACAAATAAGTTTCTGACAATACTTCTGTCTAGTTTTTATGTGAAGATATTTCCTTTCCTACTGTAGGCCTCAAAACGCTCTAAATATACACTTGCAAATTCCACAAAAAGAGTGTTTCCCAACTGCTCTATCAAAGGAAGTTTAAACTCTGTCAGCTTAATGCAAGCATCACAAAACAGCTTCGGAGAATGAATCTGCCTAGTTTTTGTGTGAAGATATTTCTTTTTCTGCCATAGACCCCGAACGGCTGTAAAAATCCACTTGGAAATTCTACAAAAAGAGAATTTCAAAGCTCTTCTATCGAAAGGAAGTTTCAGCTCCATGAGTTAAATGCACATATCACAAATAATTTTCTGAGGATTCTTCTTTCAAGTTTTATATGAAGAAATCCCGTTTCCAAAGATGGCCTCAGAAAAGTCCCAATATACACTTGCAGATTCTACAAAAAGTGTTTTTCAAAACTGCTCTATCAAAAGGAAGGTTAAACTCTGTGAGTTGAAGGCACACATCACAGAGTAGTTTCTGAGAATCATTCTGTCTAGTTTTTCTATGAAGATATCTCCTTCTCCACCATAGGCCTCTAACAGCGCTAAATATACACTTGGAAATTCTACAAAAAGAGAGTTACAAGACTGCTCTATCGAAAGGAAGCTTCAATTCCGCGAGTTGAAAGCACACATCACGAAGAAGTTTATGAGAATTCTTCTGTCTACTTTTGTATGAAGCAGTCACGTCTCAAACGAAGGCCACAAAGAGGTCCAAATATCCACTTGGAGATTCAACAAAAAGAGTTTTTCAAAACTGCTCCATCAAGAGGAATATTCAACTCTGAGAGTTGAAGGCAGGTATCACAAAGTAGTTTCCGACAATGCTTCTGTCTAGATTTTATGTGAGGACATTCCCTTTTGTACCACAGGCCTGAAAGCACTCTAAATATAGAATTGCAAATTCCTCAAAAAGAGTGTTTAAAACCGCTCCATCCAAAGAAAGGTTAAACTCTGTAAGCTGAATGCGCACATCAGAAAGTAGCTTCAGAGAACAATTATGTCTTGTTTTTCTGTGAAGATACTTTCTCTTCTACATAGGCCTGAAACCGCTCTAAATATTCACTTGGAAATTCTACAAGAAGAATATTTCAACACTCTTCTATCAAAAGGAAGGTTGAACTCTGAGAGTTAAATGCACACATCACAAAGAAGTTTCTGAGAATTCTTCTGTCAAGGTTTCTATGAAGAAATCCCGTTTCCAATGAAGGCCTCAAAAAAGTCCAAATATTTACTTGCAGATTCTACACAAAGAGTGTTTCATAACTGGTCTATCAAAAGAAAGGTTAAACTCAGTGAGTTGAACCCACACATCACAAAGTAGTTTCTGAGAATCATTCTGTCTAGTTCTCCTACGAAGATATTGCCTTTTCTACCATAGGCCTCAAACGGCGCTAAATATCCACCTGGAAATTCTACCAAAGCTGAGCTTCAAAAGTGCTCTATTGAAAGGAAGCTTCACCTCTGTGAGTTGAAGGTACACATCACAAAGAAGTTTCTGAGAATTCTTCTGTCTAGTTGTAAATGAAGAAATCACGTTTCACACGAAGGCCACAAAGAGGTCCAAATATCCACTTACAGATTCTACAAAAAGAGTGTCTCAAAACGGCTCCATCAAGAGGAATGTTCAATTCTGTGCGTTGAATGCAAATATCACAAATAAGTTTCTGACAATACTTCTGTCTAGTTTTTATGTGAAGATATTTCCTTTCGTACTGTAGGCCACAAAACGCTCTAAATATACACTTGCAAATTACACAAAAAGAGTGTTTCCAAACTGCTCTATCAAAGAAGTTGAAACTCTGTCCGCTTAATGCAAGCATCACAAAACAGCTTCGGAGAATGAATCTGCCTAGTTTTTCTGTGAAGATATTTCTTTTTCTGCCATAGACCCCAAACCGCTGTAAAAATCCACTTGGAAATTCTACAAAAAGAGTATTTCAAAGCTCTTCTATCGAAAGGAAGTTTCAGCTCCATGAGTTAAATGCACATATCACAAATAATTTTCTGAGGATTCTTCTTTCAAGTTTTATATGAAGAAATCCCGTTTCCAAAGATGGCCTCAGAAAAGTCCCAATATACACTTGCAGATTCTACAAAAAGAGTTTTTCAAAACTGCTCTATCAAAAGGAAGGTTAATCTCTGTGAGTTGAAGGCACACATCACAGAGTAGTTTCTGAGAATCATTCTGTCTAATTTTTCTATGAAGATATCGCCTTCTCCACCATAGGCCTCAAGCGGCGCTACATATCCACTTGGAAATTCTACAAAAAGAGAGTTACAAGACTGCTCTATCGAAAGGAAGCTTCAACTCTGCGAGTTGAAAGCACACATCACGAAGAAGTTTATGAGAATTCTTCTGTCTACTTTTGTATGAAGCAGTCACGTTTCAAACGAAGGCCACGAAGAGGTCCAAATATCCACTTGGAGATACAACAAAAAGAGTTTTTCAAAACTGCTCCGTCAAGAGGAATATTCAACTCTGAGAGTTGAAGGCAGGTATCACAAAGTAGTTCCCGGCAATGCTTCTGTCAAGATTTTATGTGAAGACATTCCCTTTTGTACCACAGGCCAGAAAGCACTCTAAATATAGAATAGCAAATTCCATAAAAAGAGGGTTTAAAACCGCTCTATCTAACGAAAGGTTAAACTCTGTCAGCTGAATGCGCACATCACAGAGTAGCTTCAGAGAACAATTATGTCTAGTTTTTCTGTGAAGATATTTTCTCTTCTACATAGGCCTGAAACCGCTCTAAATATTCACTTGGAAATTCTACAAAAAGAATATTTCAACCCTCTTCTATCAAAAGGAAGGTTGAACTCTGAGAGTTAAATGCACACATCACAGAGAAGTTTCTGGGAATTCTTCTGTCAATGTTTATATGAAGAAACCCCGTTTCGAATGAAGGCCTCAAAAAAGTCCAAATATTTACTTGCCGATTCCACAGAAAGAGTGTTTCATAACTGGTCTATCAAAAGAAAGGTTAAACTCACTGAGTTCAACCCACACATCACAAATTAGCTTCTGAGAATCATTCTGTCTAGTTCTCCTACGAAGATATTGCCTTTTCTACCATAGGCCTCAAATGGCGCAAAATATCCACCTGGAAATTCTACCAAAACTGAGTTTCAAAAGTGCTCTAGTGAAAGGAAGCTTCACCTCTGTGAGTTGAAGGTACACATCACAAAGAGGTTTCTGAGAATTCTTCTGTCTAGTTGTAAATGAAGAAATCACGTTTCAAACGAAGGCTACAAAGAGGTCCAAATATCCACCTGCAGATTCTACAAAAAGAGTGTTTCAAAACTGCTCCATCAAGAGGAATGTTCAACTCTGTGCGTTGAATGCAAATATCACAAATAAGTTTCTGACAATACTTCTGTCTAGTTTTTATGTGAAGTTATTTCCTTTCCTACTGTAGGCCTCAAAACGCTCTAAATATACACTTGCAAATTCCACAAAAAGAGTGTTTCCAAACTGCTCTATCAAAGGAAGTTTAAACTCTGTCAGCTTAATGCAAGCATCACAAAACAGCTTCGGAGAATGAATCTGCCTAGTTTTTCTGTGAAGATATTCCTTTTGCTGCCATAGACCTCAAACCGCTGTAAAAATCCACTTGGAAATTCTACAAAAAGAGTATTTCAAAACTCTTCTATCGAAAGGAATATTCAACTCCATGAGTTAAATGCACATATCACAAATAATTTTCTGAGGATTCTTCCTTCAAGTTTTATATGAAGAAATCCAGTTTCCAAAGATGGCCTCAGAAAAGTCCCAATATACACTTGCAGATTCTACAAAAAGAGTTTTTCAAAACTGCTCTATCAAAAGAAAGTTTAAACTCTGTGAGTTGAAGGCACACATCACAAAGTAGTTTCTGAGAATCATTCTGTCTAGTTTTTCTATGAAGATATTGCCTTTTCCACCATAGGCCTCAAACGGCGCTAAATATCCACTTGGAAATTCTACAAAAAGAGAGTTACAAAACTGCTCTATCGAAAGGAAGCTGCAACTCTGCGAGTTGAAAGCACACATCGCGAAGAAGGTGATGAGAACTCTTCTGTCTACTTTTGTATGAAGCAGTCACGTTTCAAACGAAGGCCACAAAGAGGTCCAAATACCCACGTGGAGATTCAACAAAAAGAGTTTTTCAAAACTGCTCCATCAAGAGGAATATTCAACTCTGAGAGTTGAAGGCAGGTATCACCAAGTCGTTTCCGACAATGCTTCTGTCTAGATTTTATGTGAAGACATTCCCTTTTGTACGACAGGCCTGAAAGCACTCTAAATATAGAATTGCAAATTCCACAAAAAGAGTGTTTAAAAGCACTCTATCCAAAGAAAGGTTAAACTCTGTCAGCTGAATGCGCACATCACAGAGTAGCTTCAGAGAACAATTGTGTCTAGTTTTTCTGTGGAGATATTTTCTCTTCTACATAGGCCTGAAACCGCTCTAAATATTCACTTGGAAATTCTACAAAAAGAATATTTCAACACTCTTCTATCAAAAGGAAGGTTGAACTCTGAGAGTTAAACGCACACATCACAGAGAAGTTTCTGAGAATTCTTCTGTCAAGGTTTATATGAAGAAACCCCGTTTCCAATGAAGGCCTCAAAAAAGTCCAAATATTTACTTGCAGATTCTACAAAAAGAGTGTTTCATAAACTGGTCTATCAAAAGAAAGGTTAAACTCAGTGAGTTGAACCCACACATCACAAAGTAGCTTCTGAGAATCATTCTGTCTAGTCCTCCTACGAAGATATTGCCTTTTCTACCATAGGCCTCAAACGGTGCTAAATATCCACCTGGAAATTCTACAAAAACTGAGTTTCTAAGGTGCTCTATTGAAAGGAAGCTTCAACTCTGTGAGTTGAAGGTACACATCACAAAGAAGTTTCTGAGAATTCTTCTGTCTAGTTGTAAATGAAGAAATCACGTTTCAAACGAAGGCCACAAAGAGGTCCAAATATCCACTTGCAGATTCTACAAAAAGAGTGTTTCAAAACTGCTCCATCAAGAGGAATGTTCAACTCTGTGCATTCCATGCAAATATCACAAATAAGTTTCTGACAATACTTCTGTCTAGTTTTTATGTGAAGATATTTCCTTTCCTACTGTAGGCCTCAAAACGCTCTAAATAAACACTTGCAAACTCCACAAAAAGAGTGTTTCCAAACTGCTCTATCAAACGAAGTTTAAACTCTGTCAGCTGAATGCAAGCATCACAAAACAGCTTCGGAGAATGAATCTGCCTTGTTTTTCTGTGAAGATATTTCTTTTTCTGCCATAGACCTCAAACCGCTGTAAAAATCCACTTGGAAATTCTACAAAAAGAGGATGTCAAAACTCTTCTATCGAAAGGAAGTTTCAATTCCATGAGTTAAATGCACATATCACAAATAATTTTCTGAGGATTCTTCTTTCAAGTTTTATATGAAGAAATCCCGTTTCCAAAGATGGCCTCAGAAAAGTCCCAATATACACTTGCAGATTCTACAAAAAGAGTTTTTCAAAACTGCTCTATCAAAAGGAAGGTTAAACTCTGTGAGTTGAAGGCACACATCACAGAGTAGTTTCTGAGAATCATTCTGTCTAGTTTTTCTAGGAAGATATTGCACTTTCCACCATAAGCCTCAAACGGCGCCAAATATCCACTTGGAAATTCTACAAAAAGAGAGTCACAAAACTGCTCTATCGAAAGGAAGCTTCAACGCTGCGAGTTGAAAGCACACATCACGAAGAAGTTTATGAGAATTCTTCTGTCTACTTTTGTATGAAGCAGTCACGTTTCAAACGAAGGCCACAAAGAGGTCCAAATACCCACGTGGAGATTCAACAAAAAGAGTTTTTCAAAACTGCTCCATCAAGAGGAATATTCAACTCTGAGAGTTGAAGGCAGGTATCACCAAGTCGTTTCCGACAATGCTTCTGTCTAGATTTTATGTGAAGACATTCCCTTTTGTACGACAGGCCTGAAAGCACTCTAAATATAGAATTGCAAATTCCACAAAAAGAGTGTTTAAAAGCGCTCTATGCAAAGAAAGGTTAAACTCTGTCAGCTGAATGCGCACATCACAGAGTAGCTTCAGAGAACAATTATGTCTAGTTTTTCTGTGAAGATATTTTCTCTTCTACTTAGGCCTGAAACCGCTCTAAATATTCACTTGGAAATTCTACAAAAAGAAAATTTCAACCCTCTTCTATCAAAAGGAAGGTTGAACTCTGAGAGTTAAATGCACACATCACAGAGAAGTTTCTGGGAATTCTTCTGTCAAGGTTTACATGAAGAAACCCCGTTTCCAATGAAGGCCTCCAAAAAGTCCAAATATTTACTTGCCGATTCCACAAAAAGAGTGTTTCATAACTGGTCTATCAAAAGAAAGGTTAAACTCAGTGAGTTGACCCCACACATCACAAAGTAGCTTCTGAGAATCATTCTGTCTAGTTTTTCTACGAAGATATTGCCTTTTCCACCATAGGCCTCAAACGGCGCTAAATATCCACCTGGAAATTCTACAGAAACTGAGTTTCAAAGGTGCTCTATTGAAAGGAAGCTTCAACTCTGTGAGTTGAAAGTACACATCACAAAGAAGTTTCTGAGAATTCTTCTGTCTAGTTGTAAATGAAGAAATCACGTTTCACACGAAGGCCACAAAGAGGTCCAAATATCCACTTGCAGATTCCACAAAAAGAGTGCTTCAAAACGGCTCCATCAAGAGGAATGTTCAACTCCGTGCGTTGAATGGAAATATCACAAATAAGTTTCTGACAATACTTCTGTCTAGTTTTTAGGTGAAGGTATTTCCTTTCCTACTGTAGGCCTCAAAACGCTCTAAATATACACTTGCAAATTCCACAAAAAGAGTGTTTCAAAACTGCTCTATCAAAGGAAGTTTAAACTCTGTCAGCTGAATGCAAGCATCACAAAGCAGCTTCGGAGAATGAATCTGCCTTGTTTTTCTGTGAAGATATTTCTTTTTCTGCCATAGACCTCAAACCGCTGTAAAAATCCACTTGGAAATTCTACAAAAAGAGTATTTCAAAACTCTTCTATCGAAAGGAAGTTTCAACTCCATGAGTTAAATGCACATATCACAAATAATTTTCTGAGGATTCTTCTTTCAAGTTTTATATGAAGAAATCCCGTTTCCAAAGATGGCCTCAGAAAAGTCCCAATATACACTTGCAGATTCTACAAAAAGAGTTTTTCAAAACTGCTCTATCAAAAGAAAGGTTAAACTCTGTGAGTTGAAGGCACACATCACAAAGTTGTTTCTGAGAATCATTCTGTCTAGTTTTTCTATGAAGATATCGCCTTCTCCACCATAGGCCTCATACGGCGCTAAATATCCACTTGGAAATTCTACAATAAGAGAGTTACAAGACTGCTCTATCGAAAGGAAGCTTCAACTCTGCGTGTTGAAAGCACACACCACGAAGAAGTTTATGAGAATTCTTCTGTCTACTTTTGTATGAAGCAGTCACGTTTCAAACGAAGGCCACAAAGAGGACCAAATATCCACTTGGAGATTCAACAAAAAGAGTTTTTCAAAAGTGCTCCTTCAAGAGGAATATTCAACTCTGAGAGTTGAAGGCAGGTATCACAAAATAGTTCCCGACAATGCTTCGGTCTAGATTTTATGTGAAGACATTCCCTTTTGTACCACAGGCCTGAAAGCACTCTAAATATAGAATTGCAAATTCCACAAAAAGAGGGTTTAAAACCGCTCTATCCAAGGAAAGCTTAAACTCTGTCAGCTGAATGCGCACATCACAAAGTGGCTTCAGAGAAAAATTATGTCTAGTTTTTCTGTGAAGATATTTTCTCTTCTACATAGGCCTGAAACCGCTCCAAATATTCACTTGGAAATTCTACAGAAAGAATATTTCAACACTCTTCTCTCAAAAGGAATGTTCAACTCTAAGAGTTAAACGCACACATCACAGAGAAGTTTCTGAGAATTCTTCTGACAAGGTTTATATGAAGAAATCCCGTTTCCAATGAAGGCCTCCAAAAAGTCCAAATATTTACTTGCCGATTCCACAAAAAGAGTGTTTCATAACTGGTCTATCAAAAGAAAGGTTAAACTCAGTGAGTTGAACCCACACATCACAAAGTAGCTTCTGAGAATCATTCTGTCTAGTTCTCCTACGAAGATATTGCCTTTTCTACCATAGGCCTCAAACGGCGCTAAATATCCACCTGGAAATTCCACCAAAACTGAGTTTCAAATGTGCTCTATTGAAAGGAAGCTTCACCTCTGTGAGTTGAAGGTACACATCACAAAGAAGTTTCTGAGAATTCTTCTGTCTAGTTGTAAATGAAGAAATCACGTTTCAAACGAAGGCCACAAAGAGGTCCAAATATCCACCTGCAGATTCTGCAAAAAGAGTGTTTCAAAACTGCTCCATCAAGAGGAATGTTCAACTCTGTGCGTTGAATGCAAATATCACAAGTAAGTTTCTGACAATACTTCTGTGTAGTTTTTATGTGAAGATATTTCCTTTCCTACTGTAGGCCTCAAAACGCTCTAAATATACACTTGCAAATTCCACAAAAAGAGTGTTTCCAAACTGCTCTTTCAAAGGAAGTTTAAACTCTGTCCGCTTAATGCAAGCATCACAAAACAGCTTCGGAGAATGAATCTGCCTAGTTTTTCTGTGAAGATATTTCTTTTTCTGCCATAGACCTCAAACCGCTGTAAAAATCCACTTGGAAATTCTACAAAAAGAGTATTTCAAAACTCTTCTATCGAAAGGAAGTCTCAACTCCATGAGTTAAATGCACATATCACAAATAATTTTCTGAGGATTCTTCTTTCAAGTTTTATATGAAGAAATCCCGTTTCCAAGGATGGCCTCAGAAAAGTCCCAATAT
This sequence comes from Homo sapiens, assembly GCF_000001405.40. Lineage (NCBI taxonomy): Eukaryota > Metazoa > Chordata > Mammalia > Primates > Hominidae > Homo > Homo sapiens. Next base: position 91,029,459 of record NC_000003.12, on the reverse strand, counting down.
ACACTTGCAGATTCTACAAAAAGAGTTTTTCAAAACTGCTCTACCAAAAGGAAGGTTAAACTCTGTGAGTTGAAGGCACACATCACAAAGTAGTTTCTGAGAATCATTCTGTCTAGTTTTTCTATGAAGATATTGCCTTTTCCACCATTGGCCTCAAACGGCGCTAAATATCCACTTGGAAATTCTACAAAAAGAGAGTTACTGAACTGCTCTATCGAAAGGAAGCTTCAACGCTGCGAGTTGAAAGCACACATCACGAAGAAGTTGATGAGAATTCTTCTGTCTACTTTTGTATGAAGCAGTCACGTTTCAAACGAAGGCCACAAAGAGGTCCAAATATCCACTTGGAGATTCAACAAAAAGAGTTTTTCAAAACTGCTCCATCAAGAGGAATATTCAACTCTGAGAGTTGAAGGCAGGTATCACAAAGTAGTTTCCGACAATGATTCTGTCTAGATTTTATGTGAAGACATTCCCTTTTGTACCACAGGCCTGAAAGCACTCTAAATATAGAATTGCAAATTCCACAAAAAGAGGGTTTAAAACCGCTCTATCCAACGAAAGCTTAAACTCTGTTAGCTGAATGCGCACATCGCAGAGTAGCTTCAGAGAACAATTATGTCTAGTTTTTCTGTGAAGATATTTCCTCTTCTACATAGGCCTGAAACCGCTCTAAATATTCACTTGGAAATTCTACAAAAAGAATATTTCAACACTCTTCTATCAAAAGGAAGGTTGAACTCTGAGAGTTAAATGCACCCATCACAAAGAAGTTTCTGAGAATTCTTCTGTCAAGGTTTATATGAAGAAATCCCGTTTCCAATGAAGGCCTCAAAAAAGTCCAAATATTTACTTGCAGATTCTACAAAAAGAGTGTTTCATAACTGGTCTATCAAAAGAAAGGTTAAACTCAGTGAGTTGAACGCACACATCACAAAGTTGTTTCTGAGAATCATTCTGTCTAGTTTTTCTATGAAGATATTGCCTTTTCCACCATAGGCCTCAAACGGCGCTAAATATCCACCTGGAAATTCTACAAAAACTGAGTTTCAAAAGTGCTCTATTGAAAGGAAGCTTCAACTCTGTGAGTTGAAGGTGCACATCACAAAGAAGTTTCTGAGAATTCTTCTGTCTAGTTGTAAATGCAGAAATCACGTTTCAAACGAAGGCCGCAAAGAGGTCCAAATATCCAGCTGCAGATTCTGCAAAAAGAGGGTTTCAAATCTGCTCCATCAAGAGGAATGTTCAACTCTGTGCGTTGAATGCAAATATCACAAATAAGTTTCTGACAGTACTTCTGTCTAGTTTTTAGGTGAAGATATTTCCTTTCCTACTGTAGGCCTCAAAAGCTCTAAATATACACTTGCAAATTCCACAAAAAGAGTGTTTGAAAACTGCTCTATCAAAGGAAGTTTAAACTCTGTCAGCTGAATGCAAGCATCTAAAAACAGCTTCGGAGAATGAATCTGCTTAGTTTTTCTGTGAAGATATTTCTTTTTCTGCCATAGACCTCAAGCCGCTGTAAAAATCCACTTGGAAATTCTACAAAAAGAGTATGTCAAAACTCTTCTATCGAAAGGAAGTTTCAACTCCATGAGTTAAATGCACATATCACAAATAATTTTCTGAGGATTCTTCTTTCAAGTTTTATATGAAGAAATCCCGTTTCCAAAGATGGCCTCAGAAAAGTCCCAATATACACTTGCAGATTCTACAGAAAGAGTTTTTCAAAACTGCTCTATCAAAGGAAAGGTTAAACTCTGTGTGTTGAAGGCACACATCACAAAGTAGTTTCTGAGAATCATTCTGTCTAGTTTTTCTATGAAGATATTGCCTTTTCCACCATAGGCCTCAGACAGCGCTAAATATCCACTTGGAAATTCTACAAAAAGAGAGTTACTAAACTGCTCTATCGAAAGGAAGCTTCAACGCTGCGAGTTGAAAGCACACATCACGAAGAAGTTTATGAGAATTCTTCTGTCTACTTTTGTATGAAGCAGTCACGTTTCAAACGAAGGCCACAACGAGGTCCAAATATCCACTTGGAGATTCAACAAAAAGTTTTTCAAAACTGCTCCGTCAAGAGGAATATTCAACTCTGCGAGTTGAAGGCTGGTATCACAAAGTAGTTCCCGACAATGCTTCTGTCTAGATTTTATGCGAAGACATTCCCTTTTGTACCACAGGCCTGAAAGCACTCTAAATATAGAATTGCAAATTCCACAAAAAGAGTGTTTAAACCGCTCTATCCAAAGAAAGGTTAAACTCTGTCAGCTGAATGCGCACATCACAGAGCAGCTTCAGAGAACAATTATGTCTAGTTTTTCCGTGAAGATAGTTTCTCTTCCACATAGGCCTGAGACGGCTCTAAATATTCACTTGGAAATTCTGCAAAAAGAATATTTCAACACTCTTCTATCAAAAGGAAGGTTGAACTCTGAGAGTTAAACGCACACATCACAGAGAAGTTTCTGAGAATTCTTCTGTCAAGGTTTATATGAAGAAATCCCGTTTCCAATGAAGGCCTCAAAAAAGTCGAATATTTACTTGCAGATTGTACAAAAAGAGTGTTTCATAACTGGTCTATCAAAAGAAAGGTTAAACTCAGTTAGTTGAACGCACACATCACAAAGTTTTTTCTGAGAATCATTGTGTCTAGTTCTCCTACGAAGATATTGCCTTTTCTACCATAGGCCTCAAACGGCGCTAAATATCCACCTGGAAATTCTACCAAAACTGAGCTTCAAAAGTGCTCTATTGAAAGGAAGCTTCACCTCTGTGAGTTGAAGGTACACATCACAAAGAAGTTTCTGAGAATTCTTCTGTCTAGTTGTAAATGAAGAAATCACGTTTCAAAGGAAGGCCACAAAGAGGTCCAAATATCCACCTGCAGATTCTGCAAAAAGAGTGTTTCAAAACTGCTCCATCAAGAGGAATGTTCAACTCTGTGCGTTGAATGCAAATATCACAAGTAAGTTTCCGACAATACTTCTGTCTAGTTTTTAGGTGAAGATATTTCCTTTCCTACTGTAGGCCTCAAAACGCTCTAAATATACACTTGCAAATTCCACAAAAAGAGTGATTCAAAACTGCTCTATCAAAGGAAGTTTAAACTCGGTCAGCTGAATGCAAGCATCACAAAACAGCTTCGGAGAATGAATCTGCCTAGTTTTTCTGTGAAGATATTTCTTTTGCTGCCATAGGCCTCAAACCGCTGTAAAAATCCACTTGGAAATTCTACAAAAAGAGTATTTCAAAACTCTTCTATCGAAAGGAAGTTTCAACTCCATGAGTTAAATGCACAGATCACAAATAATTTTCTGAGGATTCTTCTTTCAAGTTTTATATGAAGAAATCCCGTTTCCAAAGATGGCCTCAGAAAAGTCCCAATATACACTTGCAGATTCTACAAAAAGAGTTTTTCAAAACTGCTCTATCAAAAGAAAGGTTAAACTCTTGTGAGTTTAAGGCACACATCACAAAGTAGTTTCTGAGAATCATTCTGTCTAGTTTTTCTATGAAGATATTGCCTTTTCCACCATAGGCCTCAAACGGCGCTAAATATCCACTTGGAAATTCTACAAAAAGAGAGTTACAAGACTGCTCTATCGAAATGAAGCTTCAACTCTGCGAGTTGCAAGCACACATCCCAAAGAAGTTTATGAGAATTCTTCTGTCTAGTTTTGTAGGAAGAAGTCACGTCTCAAACGAAGGCCACAAAGAGGTCCAAATCTCCACTTGGAGATTCAACAAAAAGAGTTTTTCAAAACTGCTCCGTCAAGAGGAATATTCAACTCTGAGAGTTGAAGGCAGGTATCACAAAGTAGTTTCCGACAACGCTTCTGTTTAGATTTTATGTGAAGACATTCCCTTTTGTATCACAGGCCTGAAAGCACTCTAAATATAGAATTGCAAATTCCACAGAAAGAGTGTTTAAAACCGCTCTATCCAAAGAAAGGTTAAACTCTGTCAGCTGAAGGCGCACATCACAAAGTAGCTTCAGAGAACAATTATGTCTAGTTTCTCTGTGAAGATATTTTCTCTTCTACATAGGCCTGAAACCGCTCTAAATATTCACTTGGAAATTCCACAAAAAGACTATTTCAACACTCTTCTATCAAAAGGAAGGTTGAACTCTGAGAGTTAAATGCACACATCACAGAGAAGTTTCTGGGAATTCTTCTGTCAAGGTTTATATGAAGAAATCCCGTTTCCATGGAAGGCCTCAAAAAAGTCCAAATATTTACTTGCAGATTCTACAAAAAGAGTGTTTCATAACTGGTCTATCAAAAGAAAGGTTAAACTCAGTGAGTTGAACCCACACATCACAAAGTAGTTTCTGAGAATCATTCTGTCTAGTTTTCCTGCGAAGATATTGCCTTTTCTACCATAGGCCTCAAACGCCGCTAAATATCCACCTGGAAATTCTACAAAAACTGAGTTTCAGAAGTGCTCTATTGAAAGGAAGCTTCAACTCTGTGAGTTGAAGGTACACATCACAAAGAAGTTTCTGAGAATTCTTCTGTCTAGTTGTAAATGAAGAAATCACGTTTCACACGAAGGCCACAAAGAGGTCCAAATATCCACTTGCAGATTCTACAAGAAGAGTGTTTCGTAACTGGTCTATCAAAAGAAAGGTTAAACTCAGTGAGTTGAACCCACACATCACAAAGTAGTTTCTGAGAATCATTCTGTCTAGTTTTTAGGTGAAGATATTTCCTTTCCTACTGTAGGCCTCAAAACGCTCTAAATATACACTTGAAATTCCACAAAAAGAGTGTTTCCAAACTGCTCTATCAAAGGAAGTTTAAACTCTGTCAGCTGAATGCAAGCATCAGAAAACAGCTTCGGAGAATGAATCTGCCTAGTTTTTCTGTGAAGATATTTCTTTTTCTGCCATAGACCTCAAACCGCTGTAAAAATCCACTTGGAAATTCTACAAAAAGGGTATTTCAAAGCTCTTCTATCGAAAGGAAGTTTCAGCTCCATGAGTTAAATGCACATATCACAAATAATTTTCTGAGGATTCTTCTTTCAAGTTTTATATGAAGAAATCCCGTTTCCAAAGATGGCCTCAGAAAAGTCCCAATATACACTTGCAGATTCTACAAAAAGAGTTTTTCAAAACTGCTCTATCAAAACAAAGGTTTAACTCTGTGAGTTGAAGGCACACATCACAAAGTAGTTTCTGAGAATCATTCTGTCTAGTTTTTCTATGAAGATATCGCCTTCTCCACCATAGGCCTCAAACGGCGCTAAATATCCACTTGGAAATTCTACAATAAGAGAGTTACAAGACTGCTCTATCGAAAAGAAGCTTCAACTCTGCGAGTTGAAAGCACACATCACGAAGAAGTTTAGGAGAATTCTTCTGTCTACTTTTGTGTGAAGCAGTCACGTTTCAAACGAAGGCCACAAAGAGGTCCAAATATCCACTTGGAGATTCAACAAAAAGAGTTTTTCAAAACTGCTCCATCAAGAGGAATATTCAACTCTGAGAGTTGAAGGCAGGTATCCCAAAGTAGTTCCCGACAATGCTTCTGTCTAGATTTTATGTGAGGACATTCCCTTTTGTACCACAGGCCTGAAAGCACTCTAAATATAGAATTGCAAATTCCACAAAAAGAGTGTTTAAAACCGCTCTATCCAAAGAAAGGTTAAACTCTGTAAGCTGAATGCGCACATCACAAAGTAGCTTCAGAGAACAATTGTGTCTAGTTTTTCTGTGAAGATATTTTCTCTTCTACATAGGCCTGAAACCGCTCTAAATATTCACTTGGAAATTCTACAAATAGAATATTTCAACACTCTTCTACCAAAAGGAAGGTTGAACTCTGAGAGTTAAATGCACACATCACAAAGAAGTTCCTGAGAATTCTTCTGTCAAGGTTTCTATGAAGAAATCCCGTTTCCAATGAAGGCCTCAAGAAAGTCCAAATATTTACTTGCAGATTCTATAAAAAGAGTGTTTCATAACTGGTCTATCAACAGAAAGGTTAAACTCAGTGAGTTGAACCCACACATCACAAAGTAGTTTCGGAGAATCATTCTGTCTAGTTTTCCTACGAAGATATTGCCTTTTCTACCATAGGCCTCAAACGGCGCTAAATATCCACCTGGAAATTCTACAAAAACTGAGTTTCAAAAGTGCTCTATTGAAAGGAAGCTTCAACTGTGTGAGTTGAAAGTACACATCACAAAGAAGTTTCTGAGAATTCTTCTGTCTAGTTGTAAATGAAGAAATCACGTTTCAAACGAAGGCCACAAAGAGGTCCATATATCCACCTGCAGATTCTACAAAAAGAGTGCTTCAAAACTGCTCCATCAAGAGGAATGTTCAACACTGTGCGTTGAATGCAAATATCACAAATAAGTTTCTGACAATATTTCTGTCTAGCTTTTATGTGAAGATATTTCCTTTCCTACTGTAGGCCTCAAAACGCTCTAAATATACACTTGCAAATTCCACAAAATGAGTGTTTCCAAACTGCTCTATCAAAGGAAGTTTAAACTCTGTCAGCTTAATGCAAGCATCACAAAACAGCTTCGGAGAATGAATCTGCCTAGTTTTTCTGAGAAGATATTTCTTTTTCTGCCATAGACCTCAAACCGCTGTAAAAATCCACTTGGACATTCTACAAAAAGAGTATGTCAAAACTCTTCTATCGAAAGGAAGTCTCAACTCCATGAGTTAAATGCTCATATCACAAATAATTTTCTGAGGATTCTTCTTTCAAGTTTTATATGAAGAAATCCCGTTTCCAAAGATGGCCTCAGAAAAGTCCCAATATACACTTGCAGATTCTACAAAAAGAGTTTTTCAAAACTGCTCTACCAAAAGGAAGGTTAAACTCTGTGAGTTGAAGGCACACATCACAAAGTAGTTTCTGAGAATCATTCTGTCTCGTTTTTCTATGAAGATATTGCCTTTTCCACAATAGGCCTCAAACGGCGCTAAATATCCACTTGGAAATTCTACAAAAAGAGAGTTACTAAACTGCTCTATCGAAAGGAAGCTTCAACGCTGCGAGTTGAAAGCACACATCACGAAGAAGTTTATGAGAATTCTTCTGTCTACTTTTGTATGAAGCAGTCACGTTTCAAACGAAGGCCACAAAGAGGTCCAAATATCCACTTGGAGATTCAACAAAAAGAGTTTTTCAAAACTGCTCCATCAAGAGGAATATTCAACTCTGAGAGTTGAAGGCAGGTATCCCAAAGTAGTTCCCGACAATGCTTCTGTCTAGATTTTATGTGAAGACATTCCCTTTTGTACCACAGGCCTGAAAGCACTCTAAATATAGAATTGCAAATTCCACAAAAAGAGTGTTGAAAACCGCTCTATCCAAAGAAAGGTTAAACTCTGTCAGCTGAATGCGCACATCACAGAGCAGCTTCAGAGAACAATTATGTCTAGTTTTTCTGTGAAGATACTTTCTCTTCTACATAGGCCTGAAACCGCTCTAAATATTCACTTGGAAATTCTACAAAAAGAATATTTCAACACTCTTCTATCAAAAGGAAGGTTGAACTCTGAGAGTTAAATGCACACATCACAGAGAAGTTTCTGAGAATTCTTCTGTCAAGGTTTATATGAAGAAACCCCGTTTCCAATGAAGGCCTCAAAAAGTCCAAATATTTACTTGCCGATTCCACAGAAAGAGTGTTTCATAACTGGTCTATCAAAAGAAAGGTTAAACTCAGTGAGCTGAACCCACACATCACAAAGTAGCTTCTGAGAATCATTCTGTCTAGTTCTCCTACGAAGATATTACCTTTTCTACCATAGGCCTCAAACGGCCCTAAATATCCACCTGGAAATTCGACCAAAACTGAGTTTCAAAAGTGCTCTATTGAAAGGAACCTTCACCTCTGTCAGTTGAAGGTACACATCACAAAGAAGTTTCTGAGAATTCTTCTGTCTAGTTGTAAATGAAGAAATCACGTTTCAAACGAAGGCCACAAAGAGGTCCAAATATCCACCTGCAGATTCTGCAAAAAGAGTGTTTCAAAACTGCTCCATCAAGAGGAATGTTCAACTCTGTGCGTTGAATGCAAATATCACAAGTAAGTTTCTGACAATACTTCTGTGTAGTTTTTATGTGAAGATATTTCCTTTCCTACTGTAGGCCTCAAAACGCTCTAAAGATACACTTGCAAATTCCGCAAAAAGAGTGTTTCCAAACTGCTCTATCAAAGGAAGTTTTAACTCTGTCCGCTTAATGCAAGCATCACAAAACAGCTTCGGAGAATGAATCTGCCTAGTTTTTCTGTGAAGATATTTCTTTTCCTGCCATAGACCTCACACCGCTGTAAAAATCCACTTGGAAATTCTACAAAAAGAGTATTTCAAAACTCTTCTATCGAAAGGAAGTTTCAACTCCATGAGTTAAATGCACATATCACAAATAATTTTCTGAGGATTCTTCTTTCATGTTTTATTTGAAGAAATCCCGTTTCCAAAGATGGCCTCAGAAAAGTCCCACTATACACTTGCAGATTCTACAGACAGAGTTTTTCAAAACTGCTCTATCAAAAGAAAGTTTAAACTCTGTGAGTTGAAGGCACACATCACAAAGTAGTTTCTGAGAATCATTCTGTCTAGTTTTTCTATGAAGATATCGCCTTCTCCACCATAGGCCTCAAGCGGCGCTAAATATCCACTTGGAAATTCTACAAAAAGAGAGTTACAAGACTGCTCTATCGAAAGGAAGCTTCAACTCTGCGAGTTGAAAGCACACATCACGAAGAACTTTATGAGAATTCTTCTGTCTACTTTTGTATGAAGCAGTCACGTCTCAAACGAAGGCCACAAAGAGGTCCAAATATCCACTTGGAGATTCAACAAAAAGAGTTTTTCAAAACTGCTCCATCAAGAGGAATATTCAACTCTGAGAGTTGAAGGCAGGTATCACAAAGTAGTTTCCGACAATGCTTTCTGTCTAGATTTTATGTGAGGACATTCCCTTTTGTACCACAGGCCTGAAAGCACTCTAAATATAGAACTGCAAATTCCACAAAAAGAGTGTTTAAAACCGCTCTATCCAAAGAAAGGTTAAAGTCTGTAAGCTGAATGCGCACATCACAAAGTAGCTTCAGAGAACAATTATGTCTAGTTTTTCTGTGAAGATAGTTTCTCTTCTACATAGGCCTGAAACCGCTCTAAATATTCACTTGGAAATTCTACAGAAAGAATACTTCAACACTCTTCTATCAAAAGGAAGGTTGAACTCTGAGAGGTAAATGCACACACCACAGAGAAGTTTCTGGGAATTCTTCTGTCAAGGTTTATATGAAGAAATCCCGTTTCCAATGAAGGCCTCAAAAAAGTCCAAATGTTTACTTGCAGATTCTACAAAAAGAGTGTTTCATAACTGGTCTATCAAAAGAAAGGTTAAACTCCGTGAGTTGAACGCACACATCACAAAGTTGTTTACTGAGAATCATTCTGTCTAGTTTTCCTACGAAGATATTGCCTTTTCTACCATAGGCCTCAAACGGCGCTAAATATCCACCTGGAAATTCTACAAAAACTGAGTTTCAAAAGTGCTCTATTGAAAGGAAGCTTCAACTCTGTGAGTTGAAGGTACACATCACAAAGAAGTTTCTGAGAATTCTTCTGTCTAGTTGTAAATGCAGAAATCACGTTTCAAACGAAGGCCACAAAGAGGTCCAAATATCCAGCTGCAGATTCTGCAAAAAGAGGGTTTCAAATCTGCTCCATCAAGAGGAATGTTCAACTCTGTGCGTTGAATGCAAATATCACAAATAAGTTTCTGACAATACTTATCTGTCTAGTTTTTAGGTGAAGATATTTCCTTTCCTACTGTAGGCCTCAAAACGCTCTAAATATACACTTGCAAATTCCACAAAAAGAGTGTTTCAAAACTGCTCTATCAAAGGAAGTTTAAACTCTGTCAGCTGAATGCAAGCATCACAAAACAGCTCGGAGAATGAATTCTGCCCAGTTTTTCTGTGAAGATATTACTTTTGCTGCCATAGACCTCACACCGCTGTAAAAATCCACTTGGAAATACTACAAAAAGAGTATTTCAAAACTCTTCTATCGAAAGGAAGTTTCAACTCCATGAGTTAAATGCACATATCACAAATAATTTTCTGAGGATTCTTCTTTCAAGTTTTATATGAAGAAATCCCGTTTCCAAAGATGGCCTCAGAAAAGTCCCAATATACACTTGCAGATTCTACAAAAAGAGTTTTTCAAAACTGCTCTATCAAAAGAAAGGTTAAACTCTGTGAGTTGAAGGCACACATCACAAAGTAGTTTCTGAGAATCATTCTGTCTAGTTTTTCTATGAAGATATTGCCTTTTCCACCATAGGCCTCAAACGGCGCTAAATATCCACTTGGAAATTCTATAAAAAGAGAGTTACAAAACTGCTCTATCGAAAGGAAGCTTCAGCTCCGCGAGTTGAAAGCACACATCGCGAGGAAGGTGATGAGAATTCTTCTGTCTACTTTTGTATGAAGAAGTCACCGTCTCAAACGAAGGCCACAAAGAGGTCCAAATATCCACTTGGAGATTCAACAAAAAGAGTTTTTCAAAACTGCTCCATCAAGAGGAATATTCAACTCTGAGAGTTGAAGGCAGGTATCACAAAGTAGTTTCCGACAATGCTTGTGTCTAGATTTTATGTGAGGACATTCCCTTTTGTACCACAGGCCTGAAAGCACTCTAAATATAGAATTGCAAATTCCACAAAAAGAGTGTTTAGAACCGCTCTATACAAAGAAAGTTTAAACTCTGTAAGCTGAATGCGCACATCACAAAGTAGCTTCAGAGAACACTTATGTCTAGTCTTTCTGGGAAGATATTTTCTCTTCTACATAGGCCTGAAACCGCTCTAAATACTCACTTGGAAATTCTACAAAAAGAATACTTCAACACTCTTCCATCAAAAGGAAGGTTGAACTCTGAGAGTTAAACGCACACATCACAGAGAAGTTTCTGAGAATTCTTCTGTCAAGGTTTATATGAAGAAACCCCGTTTCCAATGAAGGCCTCAAAAAAGTCCAAATATTTACTTGCCGATTCCACAGAAAGAGTGTTTCATAACTGGTCTATCAAAAGAAAGGTTAAACTCAGTGAGTTGAACCCACACATCACAAAGTAGCTTCTGAGAATCATTCTGTCTAGTTCTCCTACGAAGATATTGCCTTTTCTACCATAGGCCTCAAACGGCGCAAAATATCCACCTGGAAATTCTACCAAAACTGAGTTTCAAAAGTGCTCTATTGAAAGGAAGCTTCACCTGTGTGAGTTGAAGGTACACATCACAAAGAAGTTTCTGAGAATTCTTCTGTCTAGTTGTAAATGAAGAAATCACGTTTCAAACGAAGGCCACAAAGAGGTCCAAATATCCACCTGCAGATTCTGCAAAAAGAGGGTTTGAAAACTGCTCCATCAAGAGGAATGTTCAACTCTGTGCGTTGAAGGCAAATATCACAAATAAGTTTCTGACAATACTTCTGTCTAGTTTTTATGTGAAGATATTTACTTTCCTACTGTAGGCCTCAAAAGGCTCTAAATATACACTTGCAAATTCCACAAAAAGAGTGTTTCCAAACTGCTCTATCAAAGGAAGTTTAAACTCTGTCAGGTTAATGCAAGCATCACAAAACAGCTTCAGAGAATGAATCTGCCTAGTTTTTCTGTGAAGATATTTCTTTTTCTGCCATAGACCTCAAAGCGCTGTAAAAATCCACTTGGAAATTCTACAAAAAGAGTATTTCAAAACTCTTCTATCGAAAGGAAGTTTCAACTCCATGAGTTAAATGCACATATCACAAATAATTTTCTGAGGATTCTTCTGTCTAGTTTTGTATGAAGAAGTCACGTCTCAAATGAAGGCCACAAAGAGGTCCAAATATCCACTTGGAGATTCAACAAAAAGAGTTTTTCAAAACTGCTCTATCCAAAGAAAGGTTAAACTCTGTGAGTTGAAGGCACACATCACAAAGTAGTTTCTGAGAATCATTCTGTCTAGTTTTTCTATGAAAATATCGCCTTTTCCACCATAGGCCTCAAACGGCGCTAAATATCCACTTGGAAATTCTACAAAAAGAGAGTTACTAAACTGCTCTATCGAAAGGAAGCTTCAACGCTTCGAGTTGAAAGCACACATCACGAAGAAGTTTATGAGAATTCTTCTGTCTACTTTTCTATGAAGCAGTCACGTTTCAAACGAAGGTCACAAAGAGGTCCAAATATCCACTTGGAGATTCAACAAAAAGAGTTTTTCAAAACTGCTCCATCAAGAGGAATATTCAACTCTGAGAGTTGAAGGCAGGTATCACAAAGTAGTTTCCGACAATGCTTCTGTATAGATTTTATGCGAAGACATTCCCTTTTGTACCACAGGCCTGAAAGCACTCTAAATATAGAATTGCAAATTCCACAAAAAGAGTGTTGAAAACCGCTCTATCCAAAGAAAGGTTAAACTCTGTCAGCTGAATGCGCACATCACAGAGCAGCTTCAGAGAACAATTATGTCTAGTTTTTCTGTGAAGATATTTTCTCTTCTACATAGGCCTGAAACCGCTCTAAATATTCACTTGGAAATTCTACAAAAAGAATGTTTCAACACTCTTCTATCAAAAGGAAGGTTGAACTCTGAGAGTTAAACGCACACATCACAGAGAAGTTACTGAGAATTCTTCTGTCAAGGTTTATATGAAGAAACCCCGTTTCCATTGAAGGCCTCAAAAAAGTCCAAATATTTACTTGCCGATTCCACAGAAAGAGTGTTTCATAACTGGTCTATCAAAAGAAAGGTTAAACTCAGTGAGTTGAACCCACACATCACAAAGTAGCTTCTGAGAATCATTCTGTCTAGTTTTTCTACGAAGATATTGCCTTTTCCACCATAGGCCTCAAACGGCGCTAAATATCCACCTGGAAATTCTACAGAAACTGAGTTTCAAAAGTGCTCTATTGAAAGGAAGCTTCAACTCTGTGAGTTGAAAGTACACATCACAAAGAAGTTTCTGAGAATTCTTCTGTCTAGTTGTAAATGAAGAAATCACGTTTCACATGAAGGCCACAAAGAGGTCCAAATATCCACTTGCAGATTCCACAAAAAGAGTGCTTCAAAACGGCTCCATCAAGAGGAATGTTCAACTCCGTGCGTTGAATGCAAATATCACAAATAAGTTTCTGACAATACTTCTGTCTAGTTTTTATGTGAAGATATTTCCTTTCCTACTGTAGGCCTCAAAACGCTCTAAATAAACACTTGCAAACTCCACAAAAAGAGTGTTTCCAAACTGCTCTATCAAAGGAAGTTTAAACTCTGTCAGCTGAATGCAAGCATCACAAAACAGCTTCGGAGAATAAATCTGCCTAGTTTTTCTGTGAAGATATTTCTTTTTCTGCCATAGACCTCAAACCGCTGTAAAAATCCACTTGGAAATTCTACAAAAAGTGTATTTCAAAGCTCTTCTATCGAAAGGAAGTCTCAACTCCATGAGTTAAATGCACATATCACAAATAATTTTCTGAGGATTCTTCTTTCAAGTTTTATATGAAGAAATCCCGTTTCCAAAGATGGCCTCAGAAAAGTCCCAATATACACTTGCAGATTCTACAAAAAGAGTTTTTCAAAACTGCTCTACCAAAAGGAAGGTTAAACTCTGTGAGTTGAAGGCATACATCACAAAGTAGATTCTGAGAATCATTCTGTCTAGTTTTTCTATGAAGATATTGCCTTTTCCACCATTGGCCTCAAACGGCGCTAAATATCCACTTGGAAATTCTACAAAAAGAAAGTTACAGAACTGCTGTATCGAAAGGAAGCTTCAACGCTGCGAGTTGAAAGCACACATCACGAAGAAGTTGATGAGAATTCTTCTGTCCAGTTTTGTATGAAGCAGTCACGTCTCAAACGAAGGCCACAAAGAGGTCCAAATATCCACTTGGAGATTCAACAAAAAGAGTTTTTCAAAACTGCTCCATCAAGAGGAATATTCAACTCTGAGAGTTGAAGGCAGGTATCACAAAGTAGTTTCCGACAATGCTTCTGTCTAGATTTTATGTGAAGACATTCCCTTTTGTACCACAGGCCTGAAAGCACTCTAAATATAGAATTGCAAATTCCACAGAAAGAGTGCTTAAAACCGCTCTATCCAAAGAAAGGTTAAACTCTGTCCGCTGAAGGCGCACATCACAAAGTAGCTTCAGAGAACAATTATGTCTAGTTTTTCCGTGAAGATAGTTTCTCTTCCACATAGGCCTGAGACCCCTCTAAATATTCACTTGGAAATTCTGCAAAAAGAATATTTCAACACTCTTCTATCAAAAGGAAGGTTGAAATCTGAGAGTTAAACGCACACATCACAGAGAAGTTTCTGAGAATTCTTCTGTCAAGGTTTATATGAAGAAACCCCGTTTCCAATGAAGGCCTCAAAAAAGTCCAAATATTTACTTGCCGATTCCACAGAAAGAGTGTTTCATAACTGGTCTATCAAAAGAAAGGTTAAACTCAGTGAGTTGAACCCACACATCACAAAGTAGCTTCTGAGAATCATTCTGTCTAGTTTTTCTACGAAGATATTGCCTTTTCCACCATAGGCCTCAAACGGCGCTTAATATCCACCTGGAAATTCTACAGAAACTGAGTTTCAAAAGTGCTCTATTGAAAGGAAGCTTCAACTCTGTGAGTTGAAAGTACACATCACAAAGAAGTTTCTGAGAATTCTTCTGTCTAGTTGTAAATGAAGAAATCACGTTTCCCACGAAGGCCACAAAGAGGTCCAAATATCCACTTGCAGATTCCACAAAAAGAGTGCTTCAAAACGACTCCATCAAGAGGAATGTTCAACTCCGTGCGTTGAATGCAAATATCACAAATAAGTTTCTGACAATACTTCTGTCTAGTTTTTAGGTGAAGATATTTCCTTGCCTTCTGTAGGCCTCAAAACGCTCTAAATATACACTTGCAAATTCCACAAAAAGAGTGTTTCCAAACTGCTCTATCAAAGGAAGTTTAAACTCTGTCAGCTGAATGCAAGCATCACAAAACAGCTTCGGAGAATGAATCTGCCCAGTTTTTCTGTGAAGATATTTCTTTTGCTGCCATAGACCTCACACCGCTGTAAAAATCCACTTGGAAATTCTACAGAAAGAGTATTTCAAAACTCTTCTATCGAAAGGAACTTTCAACTCCATGAGTTAAATGCACATATCACAAATAATTTTCTGAGGATTCTTCTTTGAAGTTTTATATGAAGAAATCCCGTTTCCAAAGATGGCCTCAGAAAAGTCCCAATATACCCTTGCAGATTCTACAAAAAGAGTTTTTCAAAACTGCTCTATCCAAAGAAAGGTTAAACTCTGTGAGTTGAAGGCACACATCACAAAGTAGTTTCTGAGAATCATTCTGTCTAGTTTTTCTATGAAGATATTGCCTTTTCCACCATAGGCCTCAAACGGCGCTAAATATCCACTTGGAAATTCTACAAACAGAGAGTTACAAGACTGCTCTATCGAAAGGAAGCTTCAACTCTGCGAGTTGCAAGCACACATCCCAAAGAAGTTTATGAGAATTCTTCTGTCTACTTTTGTATGAAGCAGTCACGTTTCAAACGAAGGCCACAAAGAGGTCCAAATATCCACTTGGAGATTCAACAAAAAGAGTTTTTCAAAACTGCTCCATCAAGAGCAACATTCAACTCTGAGAGTTGAAGGCAGGTATCACAAAGTAGTTTCCGACAATGCTTCTGTCTAGATTTTATGTGAAGACATTCCCTTTTGTACCACAGGCCTGAAAGCACTCTAAATATAGAATTGCAAATTCCACAAAAAGAGTGTTTAAAACCGCTCTATCCAAAGAAAGGTTAAACTCTGTCAGCTGAATGCGCACATCACAGAGTAGCTTCAGAGAACAATTATGTCTAGTTTTTCTGTGAAGATAGTTTCTCTTCTACATAGGCCTGAAAGCGCTCTAAATATTCACTTGGAAATTCTACAGAAAGAATACTTCAACACTCTTCTATCAAAAGGAAGGTTGAACTCTGAGAGTTAAATGCACACACCACAGAGAAGTTTCTGGGAATTCTTCTGTCAGGTTTATATGAAGAAACCCCGTTTCCAATGAAGGCCTCAAAAAAGTCCAAATATTTACTTGCAGATTCTACAAAAAGAGTGTTTCATAACTGGTCTATCAAAAGAAAGGTTAAACTCCCTGAGTTGAACCCACACATCACAAAGTAGCTTCTGAGAATAATTGTGTCTAGTTCTCCTACGAAGATATTGCCTTTTCTACCATAGGCCTCAAACGGCGCTAAATATCCACCTGGAAATTCTACCAAAACTGAGCTTCAAAAGTGCTCTATTGAAAGGAAGCTTCACCTCTGTGAGTTGAAGGTACACATCACAAAGAAGTTTCTGAGAAGTCTTCTGTCTAGTTGTAAATGCAGAAATCACGTTTCAAACGAAGGCCACAAAGTAGGTCCAAATATCCAGCTGCAGATTCTGCAAAAAGAGGGTTTCAAATCTGCTCCATCAAGAGGAATGTTCAACTCTGTGCGTTGAATGCAAATATCACAAATAAGTTTCTGACAATACTTCTGTCTAGTTTTTATGTGAAGATATTTCCTTTCCTACTGTAGGCCTCAAAACGCTCTAAATATACACTTGCAAACTCCACAAAAAGTGTGTTTCCAAACTGCTCTATCAAAGGAAGATTAAACTCTGTAAGCTTAATGCAAGGATCACAAAACAGCTTCGGAGAATGAATCTGCCTAATTTTTCTGTGAAGATATTTCTTTTTCTGCCATAGACCTCAAACCGCTGTAAAAATCCACTTGGAAATTCTACAAAAAGAGTATTTCAAAGCTCTTCTATCGAAAGGAAGTTTCAGCTCCATCAGTTAAATGCACATATCACAAATAATTTTCTGAGGATTCTTCTTTCAAGTTTTATAGGAAGAAATCCCGTTTCCAAAGATGGCCTCAGAAAAGTCCCAATATACACTTGCAGTTCTACAAAAAGAGTTTTTCAAAACTGCTCTATCAAAAGAAAGGTTAAACTCTGTGAGTTGAAGGCACACATCACAAAGTAGTTTCTGAGAATCATTCTGTCTAGTTTTTGTATGAAGATATTGCCTTTTGCACCATAGGCCTCAAACGGCGCTAAATATCCACTTGGGAATTCTACAAAAAGAGAGTTACAAAACTGCTCTATCGAAAGAAAGCTGCAACTCTGCGAGTTGAAAGCACACATCGCGAAGTAGTTGATGAGAATTCTTCTGTCTACTTTTGTATGAAGCAGTCACGTTTCAAACGAAGGCCACAAAGAGGTCCAAATATCCACTTGGAGATTCAACAAAAAGAGTTTTTCAAAACTGCTCCATCAAGAGGAATATTCAACTCTGAGAGTTGAAGGCAGGTATCCCAAAGTAGTTCCCGACAATGCTTCTGTCTAGATTTTATGTGAAGACATTCCCTTTTGTACCACAGGCCTGAAAGCACTCTAAATACAGAATTGCAAATTCCACAAAAAGAGGGTTTAAAACCGCTCTATCCGAAGAAAGGTTAAACTCTGTCAGCTGAATGCGCACATCACAGAGTAGCTTCAGAGAACAATTGTGTCTAGTTTTTCTGTGAAGATATTTTCTCTTCTACATAGGCCTGAAACCGCTCTAAATATTCACTTGGGAATTCTACAAAAAGAATATTTCAACACTCTTCTATCAAAAGGAAGGTTGAACTCTGACAGTTAAATGCAAACATCACAAAGAAGTTTCTGAGAATTCTTCTGTCAAGGTTTATATGAAGAAATCCCGTTTCCAATGAAGGCCTCAAAAAAGTCCAAATATTTACTTGCAGATTCTACAAAAAGAGTGTTTCATAACTGGTCTATCAAAAGAAAGGTTAAACTACGTGAGTTGAACGCACACATCACAAAGTTGTTTCTGAGAATCATTCTGTCTAGTTTTTCTACGAAGATATTGCCTTTTCCACCATAGGCCTCAAACGGCGCTAAATATCCACCTGGAAATTCTACAGAAACTGAGTTTCAAAAGTGCTCTATTGAAAGGAAGCTTCAACTCTGTGAGTTGAAAGTACACATCACAAAGAAGTTTCTGAGAATTCTTCTGTCTAGTTGTTAGTGAAGAAATCACGTTTCCCACGAAGGCCACAAAGAGGTCCAAATATCCACTTGCAGATTCCACAAAAAGAGTGCTTCAAAACGGCTCCATCAAGAGGAATGTTCAACTCCGTGCGTTGAATGCAAATATCACAAATAAGTTTCTGACAATACTTCTGTCTAGTTTTTAGGTGAAGATATTTCCTTTCCTACTGTAGGCCTCAAAGCGCTCTAAATATACACTTGCATATTCCACAAAAAGAGTGTTTCCAAACTGCTCTGTCAAAGGAAGTTTAAACTCTGTCAGCTGAATGCAAGCATCACAAAACAGCTTCGGAGAATGAATCTGCCTAGTTTTTCTGTGAAGATATTTCTTTTTCTGCCATAGACCTCAAACCGCTGTAAAAATCCACTTGGAAATTCTACAAAAAGAGTATTTCAAAGCTCTTCTATCGAAAGGAAGTTTCAGCACCATGAGCTAAATGCACATATCACAAATAATTTTCTGAGGATTCTTCTTTCAAGTTTTATCTGAAGAAATCCCGTTTCCAAAGATGGCCTCAGAAAAGTCCCAATATACACTTGCAGATTCTACAAAAAGAGTTTTTCAAAACTGCTCTATCAAAAGAAAGGTTAAACTCTGTGAGTTGAAGGCACACATCACAAAGTAGTTTCTGAGAATCATTCTGTCTAGTTTTTCTATGAAGATATTGCCTTTTCCACCATAGGCCTCAAACGGCGGCTAAATATCCACTTGGAAATTCTACAAAAAGAGAGTTACAGAACTGCTCTATCGAAAGGAAGCTTCAACGCTGCGAGTTGAAAGCACACATCACGAAGAAGTTTATGAGAATTCTTCTGTCTACTTTTGTATGAAGAAGTCACGTCTCAAACGAAGGCCACAAAGAGGTCCAAATATCCACTTGGAGATTCAACAAAAAGAGTTTTTCAAAACTGCTCCATCAAGAGGAATATTCAACTCTGAGGGTTGAAGGCAGGTATCACAAAGTAGTTTCCGACAATGCTTCTGTTTAGATTTTATGTGAAGACATTCCCTTTTGTATCACAGGCCTGAAAGCACTCTAAATATAGAATTGCAAATTCCACAGAAAGAGTGTTTAAAACCGCTCTATCCAAAGAAAGGTTAAACTCTGTCAGCTGAAGGCGCACATCACAAAGTAGCTTCAGAGAACAATTATGTCTAGTTTTTCTGTGAAGATATTTTCTCTTCTACATAGGACTGAAACCGCTCTAAATATTCACTTGGAAATTCTACAAAAAGAATATTTCAACCCTCTTCTATCAAAAGGAAGGTTGAACTCTGAGAGTTAAATGCACACATCACAGAGAAGTTTCTGGGAATTCTTCTGTCAAGGTTTGTATGAAGAAACCCCGTTTCCAATGAAGGCCTCAAAAAAGTCCAAATATTTACTTGCCGATTCCACAGAAAGAGTGTTTCATAACTGGTCTATCAAAAGAAAGGTTAAACTCAGTGAGTTGAACCCACACATCACAAAGTAGCTTCTGAGAATCATTCTGTCTAGTTTTTCTACGAAGATATTGCCTTTTCCACCATAGGCCTCAAACGGCGCTAAATATCCACCTGGAAATTCTACAGAAACTGAGTTTCAAAAGTGCTCTATTGAAAGGAAGCTTCAACTCTGTGAGTTGAAAGTACACATCACAAAGAAGTTTCTGAGAATTCTTCTGTCTAGTTGTAAATGAAGAAATCACGTTTCACACGAAGGCAACAAAGAGGTCCAAATATCCACTTGCAGATTCCACAAAAAGAGTGCTTCAAAACGGCTCCATCAAGAGGAATGTTCAACTCCGTGTGTTGAATGCAAATATCACAAATAAGTTTCTGACAATACTTCTGTCTATTTTTTAGGTGAAGATATTTCCTTTCCTACTGTAGGCCTCAAAACGCTCTAAATATACACTTGCAAATTCCACAAAAAGAGTGTTTCCAAACTGCTCTATCAAAAGAAGTTTAAACTCTGTCAGCTGAATGCAAGCATCACAAAACAGCTTCGGAGAATGAATCTGCCTAGTTTTTCTGTGAAGATATTTCTTTTTCTGCCATAGACCTCAAAGCGCTGTAAAAATCCACTTGGAAATTCTACAAAAAGAGTATTTCAAAACTCTTCTATCGAAAGGAAGTCTCAACTCCATGAGTTAAATGCACATATCACAAATAATTTTCTGAGGATTCTTCTTTCAAGTTTTATATGAAGAAATCCCGTTTCCAAAGATGGCCTCAGAAAAGTCCCAATATACACTTGCAGATTCTACAAAAAGAGTTTCTCAAAACTGCTCTACCAAAAGGAAGGTTAAACTCTGTGAGTTGAAGGCACACATCACAAAGTAGTTTTTGAGAATCATTCTGTCTAGTTTTTCTATGAAGATATTGCCTTTTCCACCATAGGCCTCAAACGGCGCTAAATATCCTCTTGGAAATTCTACAAAAAGAGAGTTACAAAACTGCTCTATCGAAAGGAAGCTGCAACTCTGCGAGTTGAAAGCACACATCGCGAAGAAGTTGATGAGAATTCTTCTGTCTACTTTTGTATGAAGCTGTCACGTTTCAAACGAAGGTCACAAAGAGGTCCAAATATCCACTTGGAGATTCAACAAAAAGAGTTTTTCAAAACTGCTCCGTCAAGAGGAATATTCAACTCTGAGAGTTGAAGGCAGGTATCACAAAGTAGTTCCCGGCAATGCTTCTGTCTAGATTTTATGTGAAGACATTCCCTTTTGTACCACAGGCCTGAAAGCACTCTAAATATAGAATTGCAAATTCCACAAAAAGAGGGTTCAAAACCGCTCTATCCAAAGAAAGGTTAAACTCTGTCAGCTGAATGCGCACATCACAGTGCAGCTTCAGAGAACAATTATGTCTAGTTTTTCTGTGAAGATAGATTCTCTTCTACATAGGCCTGAAACCGCTCTAAATATTCACTTGGAAATTCTACAAAAAGAATATTTCAACACTCTTCTATCAAAAGGAAGGTTGAACTCTGAGAGTTAAGCGCACACATCACAGAGAAGTTTCTGAGAATTCTTCTGTCAAGGTTTATATGAAGAAACCCCGTTTCCAAAGAAGGCCTCCAAAAAGTCCAAATATTTACTTGCCGATTCCACAAAAAGAGTGTTTCATAACTGGTCTATCAAAAGAAAGGTTAAACTCAGTGAGTTGAACCCACACATCACAAAGTAGCTTCTGAGAATCATTCTGTCTAGTTCTCCTACGAAGATATTGCCTTTTCTACCATAGGCCTCAAACGGCGCAAAATATCCACCTGGAAATTCTACCAAAACTGAGTTTCAAAAGTGCTCTAGTGAAAGGAAGCCTCACCTGTGTGAGTTGAAGGTACACATCACAAAGAAGTTTCTGAGAATTCTTCTGTCTAGTTGTCAATGAAGAAATCACGTTTCACACGAAGGCCACAAAGAGGTCCAAATATCCACTTGCAGATTCTACAAAAAGTGTGTTTCAAAACGGCTCCATCAGGAGGAATGTTCAACTCTGTGCGTTGAATGCAAATATCACAAATAAGTTTCTGACAATACTTCTGTCTAGTTTTTATGTGAAGATATTTCCTTTCCTACTGTAGGCCTCAAAACGCTCTAAAGAGACACTTGCAAATTCCACAAAAAGAGGGTTTCAAAACTGCTCTATCAAAGGAAGTTTAAACTCTGTAAGCTGAATGCAAGCATCACAAAACAGCTTCGGAGAATGAATCTGCCTAGTTTTTCTGTGAAGATATTTCTTTTTCTGCCATAGACCTCAAACCGCAGTGAAAATCCACTTGGAAATTCTACAAAAAGAGTATTTCAAAACTCTTCTGTCGAAAGGAAGTTTCAACTCCATGAGTTAAATGCACATATCAAAAATAATTTTCTGAGGATTCTTCTTTCAAGTTTTATCTGAAGAAATCCCGTTTCCAAAGATGGCCTCAGAAAAGTCCCAATATACACTTGCAGATTCTACAAAAAGAGTTTTTCAAAACTGCTCTATCAAAAGAAAGGTTAAACTCTGTGAGTTGAAGGCACACATCACAAAGTAGTTTCTGAGAATCATTCTGTCTAGTTTTTCTATGAAGATATTGCCTTTTCCACCATAGGCCTCAAACGGCGCTAAATATCCACTTGGAAATTCTACAAAAAGAGAGTTACTAAACTGCTCTATCGAAAGGAAGCTTCAAGGCTGCGAGTTGAAAGCACACATCACGAAGAAGTTTATGAGAATTCTTCTGTCTACTTTTGTATGAAGCAGTCACGTTTCAAACGAAGGCCACAAAGAGGTCCAAATATCCACTTGGAGATTCAACAAAAAGAGTTTTTCAAAACTGCTCCGTCAAGAGGAATATTCAACTCTGCGAGTTGAAGGCTGGTATCACATAGTAGTTCCCGACAATGCTTCTGTCTAGATTTTATGTGAAGACATTCCCTTTTGTACCACAGGCCTGAAAGCACTCTAAATACAGAATTGCAAATTCCACAAAAAGAGGTTTTAAAACCGCTCTATCCTAAGAAAGGTTAAACTCTGTCAGCTGAATGCGCACATCACAGAGTAGCTTCAGAGAACAATTATGTCTAGTTTTTCCATGAAGATAGTTTCTCTTCCACATAGGCCTGAGACCGCTCTAAATATTCACTTGGAAATTCTGCAAAAAGAATATTTCAACACTCTTCTATCAAAAGGAAGGTTGAACTCTGAGAGTTAAACGCACACATCACAGAGAAGTTTCTGAGAATTCTTCTGTCAAGGTTTATAAGAAGAAACCCCGTTTCCAATGAAGGCCTCAAAAAAGTCCAAAAATTTACTAGCAGATTCCACAAAAAGAGTGTTTCATAACTGGTCTATCAAAAGAAAGGTTAAACTCAGTGAGTTGAACCCACACATCACAAAGTAGCTTCTGAGAATCATTCTGTCTAGTTTTTCTACGAAGATATTGCCTTTTCCACCATAGGCCTCAAACGGCGCTAAATATCCACCTGGAAATTCTACAGAAACTGAGTTTCAAAAGTGCTCTATTGAAAGGAAGCTTCAACTCTGTGAGTTGAAAGTACACATGACAAAGAAGTTTCTGAGAATTCTTCTGTCTAGTTGTAAATGAAGAAATCACGTTTCAAACGAAGGCCACAAAGAGGTCCAAATATCCACCTGCAGATTCTGCAAAAAGAGTGTTTCAAAACTGCTCCATCAAGAGGAATGTTCAACTCTGTGCGTTGAATGCAAATATCACAAGTAAGTTTCTGACAATACTTCTGTGTAGTTTTTATGTGAAGATATTTCCTTTCCTACTGTAGGCCTCAAAACGCTCTAAATATACACTTGCAAATTCCACAAAAACAGTGTTTCCAAACTGCTCTATCAAAGAAAGTTTAAACTCTGTCCGCTTAATGCAAGCATCACAAAACAGCTTCGGAGAATGAATCTGCCTAGTTTTTCTGTGAAGATATTTCTTTTTCTGCCATAGACCTCAAACCGCTGTAAAAATCCACTTGGAAATTCTACAAAAAGAGTATTTCAAAACTCTTCTATCGAAAGGAAGTTTCAGCTCCATGAGTTAAATGCACATATCACAAATAATTTTCTGAGGATTCTTCTTTCAAGTTTTATATGAAGAAATCCCGTTCCCAAAGTTGGCCTCAGAAAAGTCCCAATATACACTTGCAGATTCTACAAAAAGAGTTTTTCAAAACTGCTCTATCAAAAGAAAGGTTAAACTCTGTGAGTTGCAGGCACACATCACAGAGTAGTTTCTGAGAATCATTCTGTCTAGTTTTTCTATGAAGATATTGCCTTTTCCACCATAGGCCTCAAACGGCGCTAAATATCCACTTGGAAATTCTACAAAAAGAGAGTTACTAAACTGCTCTGTCGAAAGGAAGCTTCAACGCTGCGAGTTGAAAGCACACATCACGAAGACGTTTATGAGAATTCTTCTGTCTACTTTTGTATGAAGCAGTCACGTTTCAAACGAAGGCCACAAAGAGGTCCAAATATCCACTTGGAGATTCAACAAAAAGAGTTTTTCAAAACTGCTCCATCAAGAGGAATGTTCAACTCGGTGCGTTGAATGCAAATATCACAAATAAGTTTCTGACAATACTTCTGTCTAGATTTTATGTGAAGACATTCCCTTTTGTACCACAGGCCTGAAAGCACTCTAAATATAGAATTGCAAATTCCAAAGAAAGAGTGTTTAAAACCGCTCTATCCAAAGAAAGGTTAAACACTGTCAGCTGAAGGCGCCCATCACAAAGTAGCTTCAGAGAACAATTATTTCTAGTTTCTCTGTGAAGATATTTTCTCTTCTACATAGGCCTGAAACCGCTCTAAATATTCACTTGGAAATTCTATAAAAAGAATATTTCAACACTCTTCTATCAAAAGGAAGGTTGAACTCTGAGAGTTCAATGCACACATCACAAAGAAGTTTCTGGGAATTCTTCTGTCAAGGTTTATATGAGGAGATCCCGTTTCCAATGAAGGCCTCAAAAAAGTCCAAATATTTACTTGCAGATTCTACAAAAAGAGTGTTTCATGACTGGTCTATCAAAAGAAAGGTTAAACTCCGTGAGTTGAACGCACACATCACAAAGTTGTTTCTGAGAATCATTCTGTCTAGTTTTTCTACGAAGATATTGCCTTTTCCACCATAGGCCTCAAACGGCGCTAAATATCCACCTGGAAATTCTACAGAAACTGAGTTTCAAAAGTGCTCTATTGAAAGGAAGCTTCAACTCTGTGAGTTGAAAGTACACATGACAAAGAAGTTTCTGAGAATTCTTCTGTCTAGTTGTAAATGAAGAAATCACGTTTCACACGAAGGCCACAAAGAGGTCCAAATATCCACTTGCAGATTCCACAAAAAGAGTGCTTCAAAACGGCTCCATCAAGAGGAATGTTCAACTCCGTGCGTTGAATGCAAATATCACAAATAAGTTTCTGACAATACTTCTGTCTAGTTTTTATGTGAAGATATTTCCTTTCCTACTGTAGGCCTCAAAACGCTCTAAATATACACTTGCAAATTCCACAAAAAGAGTGTTTCCAAACTGCTCTATCAAAGGAAGTTTAAACTCTGTCAGCTTAATGCAAGCATCACAAAACAGCTTCGGAGAATGAATCTGCCTGGTTTTTCTGTGAAGATATTCCATTTTCTGCCATAGACCTCAAACCGCTGTAAAAATCCACTTGGAAATTCTACAAAAAGAGTATTTCAAAACTCTTCTATCGAAAGGAAGTCTGAACTCCATGAGTTAAATGCACATATCACTAATAATTTTTTGTGGATTCTTCTTTCAAGTTTTATATGAAGAAATCCCGTTTCCAAAGATGGCCTCAGAAAAGTCCCAATATACACTTGCAGATTCTACAAAAAGAGTTTTTCAAAACTGCTCTATCAAAAGGAAGGTTAAACTCTGTGAGTTGAAGGCACACATCACAGAGTAGTTTCTGAGAATCATTCTGTCTAGTTTTTCTATGAAGATATCGCCTTCTCCACCATAGGCCTCAAACGGCGCTAAATATCCACTTGGAAATTCTACAAAAAGAGAGTTACAAGACTGCTCTATCGAAAGGAAGCTTCCACTCTGCGAGTGGAAAGCACACATCACGAAGAAGTTTATGAGAATTCTTCTGTCTACTTTTGTATGAAGCAGTCACGTTTCAAACGAAGGCCACAAAGAGGTCCAAATATCCACTTGGAGATTCAACAAAAAGAGTTTTTCAAAACTGCTCTATCAAGAGGAATATTCAACTCTGAGTGTTGAAGGCAGGTATCCCAAAGTAGTTTCCGACAATGCTTCTGTCTAGATTTTATGTGAAGACATTCCCTTTTGTACCACAGGCCTGAAAGCACTCTAAATATAGAATTGCAAATTCCACAAAAAGAGGGTTTAAAACCGCTCTAT
The DNA here is from genome assembly GCF_000001405.40 of Homo sapiens. NCBI lineage: Eukaryota > Metazoa > Chordata > Mammalia > Primates > Hominidae > Homo > Homo sapiens. Next base: position 91,003,421 of record NC_000003.12, on the reverse strand, counting down.
CCAAAGAAAGGTTAAAGTCTGTCAGCTGAAGGCGCCCATCACAAAGTAGCTTCAGAGAACAATTATGTCTAGTTTTTCCGTGAAGATAGTTTCTCTTCCACATAGGCCTGAGACCGCTCTAAATATTCACTTGGAAATTCTGCAAAAAGAATATTTCAACACTCTTCTATCAAAAGGAAGGTTGAACTCTGAGAGTTAAACGCACACATCACAGAGAAGTTTCTGAGAATTCTTCTGTCAAGGTTTATATGAAGAGATCCCGTTTCCAATGAAGGCCTCAGAAAAGTCCAAATATTTACTTGCAGATTCTACAAAAAGAGTGTTTCATAACTGGTCTATCAAAAGAAAGGTTAAACTCCGTGAGTTGAATGCACACATCACAAAGTTGTTTCTGAGAATCATTCTGTCTAGTTCTCCTACGAAGATATTGCCTTTTCTACAATAGGCCTCAAACGGCGCTAAATATCCACCTGGAAATTCTACCAAAACTGAGTTTCAAAAGTGCTCTATTGAAAGGAAGCTTCACCTCTGTGGGTTGAAGGTACACATCACAAAGAAGTTTCTGAGAATTCTTCTGTCTAGTTGTAAATGAAGAAATCACGTTTCAAACGAAGGCCACAAAGAGGTCCAAATATCCACCTGCAGATTCTACAAAAAGAGTGTTTCCAAACTGCTCCATCAAGAGGAATGTTCAACTCTGTGCGTTGAATGCAAATATCACAAATAAGTTTCTGACAATACTTCTGTCTAGTTTTTATGTGAAGATATTTCCTTTCCTACTGTAGGCCTCAAAACGCTCTAAATATACACTTGCAAATTCCACAAAAAGAGTGTTTCAAAACTGCTCTATCAAAGGAAGTTTAAACTCTGTACGCTTAATGCAAGCATCACAAAACAGCTTCGGAGAATGAATCTGCCTAATTTTTCTGTGAAGATATTTCTTTTTCTGCCATAGACCTCAAACCGCTGTAAAAATCCACTTGGAAATTCTACAAAAAGAGTATTTCAAAGCTCTTCTATCGAAAGGAAGTTTCAGCTCCATCAGTTAAATGCACATATCACAAATAATTTTCTGAGGATTCTTCTTTCAAGTTTTATATGAAGAAATCCCGTTTCCAAAGATGGCCTCAGAAAAGTCCCAATATACACTTGCAGATTCTACAAAAAGCGTTTTTCAAAACTGCTCTACCAAAAGGAAGGTTAAACTCTGTGAGTTGAAGGCACACATCACAAAGTAGTTTCTGAGAATCATTCTGTCTAGTTTTTCTATGAAGATATTGCCTTTTTCATCATAGGCCTCAAGCGGCGCTAAATATCCACTTGGAAATTCTACAAAAAGAGAGTTACTAAACTGCTCTATCGAAAGGAACCTTCAACGCTGCGAGTTGAAAGCACACATCACGAAGAAGTTTATGAGAATTCTTCTGTCTACTTTTGTATGAAGCAGTCACGTTTCAAACGAAGGCCACAATGAGGTCCAAATATCAACTTGGAGATTCAACAAAAAGAGTTTTTCAAAACTGCTCCATCAAGAGGAATATTCAACTCTGAGAGTTGAAGGCAGGTATCCCAAAGAAGTTCCCGACAATGCTTCTGTCTAGATTTTATGTGAAGACATTCCCTTTTGTACCACAGGCCTGAAAGCACTCTAAATACAGAATTGCAAATTCCACAAAAAGAGGGTTTAAAACCGCTCTATCCTAAGAAAGGTTAAACTCTGTCAGCTGAATGCGCACATCACAGAGTAGCTTCAGAGAACAATTATGTCTAGTTTTTCCGTGAAGATAGTTTCTCTTCTACATAGGCCTGAGACCGCTCTAAATATTCACTTGGAAATTCTGCAAAAAGAATATTTCAACACTCTTCTATCAAAAGGAAGGTTGAACTCTGAGAGGTAAACACACACATCACAGAGAAGTTTCTGAGAATTCTTCTGTCAAGGTTTATATGAAGAAACCCCGTTTCCAATGAAGGCCTCAAAACAGTCCAAATATTTACTTGCAGATTCCACAAAAAGAGTGTTTCATAACTGGTCTATCAAAAGAAAGGTTAAACTCAGTGAGTTGAACCCACACATCACAAAGTAGCTTCTGAGAATCATTCTGTCTAGTTCTCCTACGAAGATATTGCCTTTTCTACCATAGGCCTCAAACGGCGCTAAATATCCACCTGGAAATTCTACCAAAACTGAGTTTCAAAAGTGCTCTATTGAAAGGAAGCTTCACCTCTGTGGGTTGAAGGTACACATCACAAAGAAGTTTCTGAGAATTCTTCTGTCTAGTTGTAAATGAAGAAATCACGCTTCAAACGAAGGCCACAAAGGAGGTCCAAATATCCACCTGCAGATTCTGCAAAAAGAGGGTTTCAAAACTGCTCCATCAAGAGGAATGTTCAACTCTGTGCGTTGAATGCAAATACCACAAAGAAGTTTCTGACAATACTTCTGTGTAGTTTTTATGTGAAGATATTTCCTTTCCTACTGTAGGCCTCAAAACGCTCTAAATATACACTTGCAAATTCCACAAAAAGAGTGTTTCCAAACTGCTCTCTCAAAGGAAGTTTAAACTCTGTCCGCTTAATGCAAGCATCACAAAACAGCTTCGGAGAATGAATCTGCCTAGTTTTTCTGTGAAGATATTTCTTTTTCTGCCATAGACCTCAAACCGCTGTAAAAATCCACTAGGAAATTCTACAAAAAGAGTATTTCAAAGCTCTTCTATCGAAAGGAAGTTTCAGCTCCATGAGTTAAATGCACATATCACAAATAATTTTCTGAGGATTCTTCTTTCAAGTTTTATATGAAGAAATCCCGTTTCCAAAGATGGCCTCAGAAAAGTCCCAATATACACATGCAGATTCTACAAAAAGAGTTTTTCAAAACTGCTCTATCAAAAGAAAGGTTAAACTCTGTGAGTTGAAGGCACACATCACACAGTAGTTTCTGAGAATCATTCTGTCTAGTTTTTCTAGGAAGATATCGCCTTTTCCACCATAGGCCTCAAACGGCGCTAAATATCCACTTGGAAATTCTACAAAAAGAGAGTTACAAGACTGCTCTATCGAAAGGAAGCTTCAACTCTGTGAGTTGAAAGCACGCATCACGAAGAAGTATATGAGAATTCTTCTGTCTACTTTTGTATGAAGCAGTCACGTTTCAAACGAAGGCCACAAAGAGGTCCAAATATCCACTTGGAGATTCAACAAAAAGAGTTTTACAAAACTGCTCCATCAAGAGGTATATTCAACTCTGAGAGTTGAAGGCAGGTATCACAAAGTAGTTCCCGACAATGCTTCTGTCTAGATTTTATGTGAGGACATTCCCTTTTGTACCACAGGCCTGAAAGCACTCTAAATATAGAACTGCAAATTCCACAAAAAGAGTGTTTAAAACCGCTCTATCCAAAGAAAGGTTAAACTCTGTAAGCTGAATGCACACATCACAAAGTAGCATCAGAGAACAATTATGTCTAGTTTTTCTGTGAAGATAGTTTCTCTTCTACATAGGCCTGAAACCGCTCTAAATATTCACTTGGAAATTCTACAGAAAGAATACTATAACACTCTTCTATCAAAAGGAAGGTTGAACTCTGAGAGTTAAATGCACACACCACAGAGAAGTTTCTGGGAATTCTTCTGTCAAGGTTTATATGAAGAAACCCCGTTTCCAATGAAGGCCTAAAAAAGTCCAAATATTTACTTGCAAGTTCCACAGAAAGAGTGTTTCATAACTGGTCTATCAAAAGAAAGGTTAAACTCAGTGAGTTGAGCTCACACATCACAAAGTAGCTTCTGAGAATCATTCTGTCTAGTTTTTCTACGAAGATATTGCCTTTTCCACCATAGGCCTCAAACGGCGCTAAATATCCACCTGGAAATTCTACAGAAACTGAGTTTCAAAAGTGCTCTATTGAAAGGAAGCTTCAACTCTGTGAGTTGAAAGTACACATCACAAAGAAGTTTCTGAGAATTCTTCTGTCTAGTTGTAAATGCAGAAATCACGTTTCAAACGAAGGCCACAAAGAGGTCCAAATATCCAGCTGCAGATTCTGCAAAAAGAGGGTTTCAAATCTGCTCCATCAAGAGGAATGTTCAACTCTGTGCGTTGAATGCAAATATCACAAATAATTTTCTGACAATACTTCTGTCTAGCTTTTATGTGAAGATATTTCCTTTCCTACTGTAGGCCTCAAAACGCTCTAAATATACACTTGCAAATTCCACAAAAAGAGTGTTTCCAAACTGCTCTATCAAAGGAAGTTTAAACTCTGTCAGCTTAATGCAAGCATCACAAAACAGCTTCGGAGAATGAATCTGCCTAGTTTTTCTGTGAAGATATTTCTTTTTCTGCCATAGACCTCAAACCGCTGTAAAAATCCACTTGGAAATTCTACAAAAAGAGTATTTCAAAACTCTTCTATCGAAAGGAAGTCTCAACTCCATGAGTTAAATGCACATATCACAAATAATTTTCTGAGGATTCTTCTTTCAAGTTTTATATGAAGAAATCCCGTTTCCAAAGATGGCCTCAGAAAAGTCCCAATATACACTTGCAGATTCTACAAAAAGAGTTTTTCAAAACTGCTCTACCAAGAGGAAGGTTAAACACTGTGAGTTGAAGGCACACATCACAAAGTAGTTTCTGAGAATCATTCTGTCTAGTTTTTCTATGAAGATATTGCCTTTTTCACCATAGGCCTCAAACGGCGCTAAATATCCACTTGGAAATTCTACAAAAAGAGAGTTACTAAACTGCTCTATCGAAAGGAAGCTTCAACGCTGCGAGTTGAAAGCACACATCACCAAGAAGTTTATGAGAATTCTTGTGTCTACTTTTGTATGAAGCAGTCACGTTTCAAACGAAGGCCACAAAGAGGTACAAATACCCACTTGGAGATTCAACAAAAAGAGTTTTTCAAAACTGCTCCATCAAGAGGAATATTCAACCCTGAGAGTTGAAGGCAGGTATCACCAAGTCGTTTCCGACAATGCTTCTGTCTAGATTTTATGTGAAGACATTCCCTTTTGTACCACAGGCCTCAAAGCACTCTAAATATAGAACTGCAAATTCCACAAAAGGAGTGTTTAAAACCGCTCTATCCAAAGAAAGGTTAAACTCTGTCAGCTGAATGCGCACATCACAGAGTAGCTTCAGAGAACAATTATGTCTAGTTTTTCCGTGAAGATAGTTTCTCTTCTACATAGGCCTGAGACCGCTCTAAATATTCACTTGGAAATTCTGCAAAAAGAATATTTCAACACTCTTCTATCAAAAGGAAGGTTGAACTCTGAGAGGTAAACGCACACATCACAGAGAAGTTTCTGAGAATTCTTCTGTCAAGGTTTATATGAAGAAACCCCGTTTCCAATGAAGGCCTCAAAAAAGTCCAAAAATTTACTAGCAGATTCCACAAAAAGAGTGTTTCATAACTGGTCTATCAAAAGAAAGGTTAAACTCAGTGAGTTGAACCCACACATCACAAAGTAGCTTCTGAGAATCATTCTGTCTAGTTCTCCTACGAAGATATTGCCTTTTCTACCATAGGCCTCAAACGGCGCTAAATATCCACCTGGAAATTCTACCAAAACTGAGCTTCAAAAGTGCTCTATTGAAAGGAAGCTTCACCTCTGTGAGTTGAAGGTACACATCACAAAGAAGTTTCTGAGAATTCTTCTGTCTAGTTGTAAATGAAGAAATCACGTTTCAAACGAAGGCCACAAAGAGGTCCAAATATCCACCTGCAGATTCTACAAAAAGAGTGTTTCAAAACTGCTCCATCAAGAGGAATGTTCAACTCTGTGCGTTGAATGCAAATATCACAAGTAAGTTTCTGACAATACTTCTGTCTAGTTTTTAGGTGAAGATATTTCCTTTCCTACTGTAGGCCTCAAAACGCTCTAAATATACACTTGCAAATTCCACAAAAAGAGTGTTTCCAAACTGCTCTATCAAAGGAAGTTTAAACTCTGTCAGCTGAATGCAAGCATCACAAAACAGCTTCGGAGAATGAATCTGCCTAGTTTTTCTGTGAAGATATTTCTTTTCCTGCCATAGACCTCAAACCGCTGTAAAAATCCACTTGGAAATTCTACAAAAAGAGTATTTCAAAGCTCTTCTTTCGAAAGGAAGTTTCAACTCCATGAGTTAAATGCACATATCACAAATAATTTTCTGAGGATTCTTCTTTCAAGTTTTATATGAAGAAATCCCGTTTCCAAAGATGGCCTCAGAAAAGTCCCAATATACACTTGCAGATTCTACAAAAAGAGTTTTTCAAAACTGCTCTATCAAAAGGAAGGTTAAACTCTGTGAGTTGAAGACACACATCACAGAGTAGTTTCTGAGAATCATTCTGTCTAGTTTTTCTATGAAGATATTGCCTTTTCCACCATTGGCCTCAAACGGCGCTAAATATCCACTTGGAAATTCTACAAAAAGAAAGTTACAGAACTGCTGTATCGAAAGGAAGCTTCAACGCTGCGAGTTGAAAGCACACATCACGAAGAAGTTGATGAGAATTCTTCTGTCTACTTTTGTATGAAGAAGTCACGTCTCAAACGAAGGCCCTAAAGAGGTCCAAATATCCACTTGGAGATTCAACAAAAAGAGTTTTTCAAAACTGCTCCATCAAGAGGAACATTCAACTCTGAGAGTTGAAGGCAGGTATCACAAAGTAGTTTCCGACAATGCTTCTGTCTAGATTTTATGTGAGGACATTCCCTTTTGTACCACAGGCCTGAAAGCACTCTAAATATAGAACTGCAAATTCCACAAAAAGAGTGTTTAAAACCGCTCTATCCAAAGAAAGGTTAAACTCTGTAAGCTGAATGCGCACATCACAAAGTAGCTTCAGAGAACAATTATGTCTAGTTTTTCTGTGAAGATATTTTCTCTTCTACATAGGCCTGAAACCGCTCCAAATATTCACTTGGAAATTCTACAGAAAGAATATTTCAACACTCTTCTCTCAAAAGGAATGTTCAACTCTAAGAGTTAAACGCACACATCACAGAGAAATTTCTGAGAATTCTTCTGTCAACGTTTATATGAAGAAACCCCGTTTCCAATGAAGGCCTCAAAAAGTCCAAATATTTACATGCAGATTCTACAAAAAGAGTGTTTCATAACTGGTCTATCAAAAGAAAGGTTAAACTCACTGAGTTGAACCCACACATCACAAAGTAGTGTCTGAGAATCATTCTGTCTAGTTTTCCTACAAATATATGGCCTTTTCTACCATAGGCCTCAAACGGCGCTAAATATCCACCTGGAAATTCTACAGAAACTGATTTTCAAAAGTGCTCTATTGAAAGGAAGCTTCAACTCTGTGAGTTGAAGGTACACATCACAAAGAAGTTTCTGAGAATTCCTCTGTCTAGTTGTAAATGAAGAAATCACGTTTCAAACGAAGGCCACAAAGAGGTCCAAATATCCACATGCAGATTCTACAAAAAGAGTGTTTCAAAACTGCTCCATCAAGAGGAATGTTCAACTCTGTGCGTTGAATGCCAATATCACAAATAAGTTTCTGACAATACTTCTGTCTAGTTTTTATGTGAAGATATTTCCTTTCCTACTGTAGGCCTCAAAACGCTCTAAATATACACTTGCAAATTCCACAAAAAGAGTGTTTCCAAACTGCTCTGTCAAAGGAAGTTTAAACTCTGTCCGCTTAATGCAAGCATCACAAAACAGCTTCGGAGAATGAATCTGCCTAGTTTTTCTGTGAAGATATTTCTTTTTCTGCCATAGACCTCAAACCGCTGTAAAAATCCACTTGGAAATTCTACAAAAAGAGTATTTCAAAACTCTTCTATCGAAAGGAAGTCTCAACTCCATGAGTTAAATCCACATATCACAAATAATTTTCTGAGGATTCTTCTTTCAAGTTTTATATGAAGAAATCCCGTTTCCAAAGATGGCCTCAGAAAAGTCCCAATATACACTTGCAGATTCTACAAAAAGAGTTTTTCAAAACTGCTCTACCAAAAGGAAGGTTAAACTCTGTGAGTTGAAGGCACACATCACAAAGTAGTTTCTGAGAATCATTCTGTCTAGTTTTTCTATGAAGATATTGCCTTTTCCACCATAGGCCTCAAACGGCGCTAAATATCCACTTGGAAATTCTACAAAAAGAGAGTTACTAAACTGCTCTATCGAAAGGAAGCTTCAACGCTGCGAGTTGAAAGCACAAATCACGAAGAAGTTTATGAGAATTCTTCTGTCTACTTTTGTATGAAGCAGTCACGTTTCAAACGAAGGCCACAAAGAGGTCCAAATATCCACTTGGAGATTCAACAAAAAGAGTTTTTCAAAACTGCTCCATCAAGAGGAATATTCAACTCTGAGAGTTGAAGGCAGGTATCCCAAAGTAGTTCCCGACAATGCTTCTGTCTAGATTTTATGTGAAGACATTCCCTTTTGTACCACAGGCCTGAAAGCACTCCAAATACAGAATTGCAAATTCCACAAAAAGAGGGTTTAAAACCGCTCTATCCAAAGAAAGGTTAAACTCTGTCAGCTGAATGCGCACATCACAGAGTAGCTTCAGAGAACAATTGTGTCTAGTTTTTCTGTGAAGATATTTTCTCTTCTAGATAGGCCTGAAACCGCTCTAAATATTCACTTGGAAATTCTACAAAAAGAATATTTCAACACTCTTCTATCAAAAGGAAGGTTGAACTCTGAGAGTTAAATGCACACATCACAAAGAAGTTTCTGAGAATTCTTCTGTCAAACGTTTATATGAAGAAACCCCGTTTCCAATGAAGGCCTCAAAAAAGTCCAAATATTTAGTTGCCGATTCCACAGAAAGAGTGTTTCATATCTGGTCTATAAAAAGAAAGGTTAAACTCAGTGAGTTGAACCCACACATCACAAAGTAGCTTCTGAGAATCATTCTGTCTAGTTCTCCTACGAAGATATTGCCTTTTCTACCATAGGCCTCAAACGGCGCTAAATATCCACCTGGAAATTCTACCAAAACTGAGTTTCAAAAGTGCTCTATTGAAAGGAAGCTTCACCTCTGTGGGTTGAAGGTACACATCACAAAGAAGTTTCTGAGAATTCTTCTGTCTAGTTGTTAGTGAAGAAATCACGTTTCCCACGAAGGCCACAAAGAGGTCCAAATATCCACTTGCAGATTACACAAAAAGAGTGCTTCAAAACGGCTCCATCAAGAGGAATGTTCAACTCCGTGCGTTGAATGCAAATATCACAAATAAGTTTCTGACAATACTTCCGTCTAGTTTTATGTGAAGATATTTCCTTTCCTACTGTAGGCCTCAAAACGCTCTAAAGAGACACTTGCAAATTCCACAAAAAGAGGGTTTCAAAACTGCTCTATCAAAGGAAGTTTAAACTCTGTCAGCTGAATGCAAGCATCACAAAACAGCTTCGGAGAATGAATCTGCCTAGTTTTTCTGTGAAGATATTTCTTTTTCTGCCATAGACCTCAAACCGCTGTAAAAATCCACTTGGAAATTCTACAAAAAGAGTATTTCAAAACTCTTCTATCGAAAGGAAGTCTCAACTCCATGAGTTAAATGCACATATCAAAAATAATTTTCTGAGGATTCTTCTTTCAAGTTTTCTATGAAGAAATCCCGTTTCCAAAGATGGCCTCAGAAAAGTCCCAATATACACTTGCAGATTCTACAAAAAGAGTTTTTCAAAACTGCTCTATCAAAAGGAAGGTTAAACTCTGTGAGTTGAAGGCACACATCACAGAGTAGTTTCTGAGAATCATTCTGTCTAGTTTTTCTATGAAGATATTGCCTTTTCCACCATAGGCCTCAAACGGCGCTAAATATCCACTTGGAAATTCTACAAAAAGAGAGTTACTAAACTGCTCTATCGAAAGGAAGCTTCAACTCTGCGAGTTGAAAGCACACATCACGAAGAAGTTTGTGAGAATTCTTCTGTCTACTTTTGTATGAAGCAGTCACGATTCAAACGAAGGCCACAAAGAGGTCCAAATATTCACTTGGAGATTCAACAAAAAGAGTTTTTCAAAACTGCTCCGTCAAGAGGAATATTCAACTCTGCGAGTTGAAAGCTGGTATCACAAAGTAGTTCCCGACAATGCTTCTGTCTAGATTTTATGTGAGGACATTCCCTTTTGTACCACAGGCCTGAAAGCACTCTAAATATAGAATTGCAAATTCCACAAAAAGAGTGTTTAAAACCGCTTGATCCAAAGAAAGGTTAAACTCTGTAAGCTGAATGCGCACATCACAAAGTAGCTTCAGAGAACAATTATATCTAGTTTTTCTGTGAAGAAATTTTCTCTTCTACTTAGGCCTGAAACCGTTCTAAATATTCACTTGGAAATTCTACAAAAAGAAAATTTCAACCCTCTTCTATCAAAAGGAAGGTTGAACTCTGAGAGTTAAATGCACACATCACAGAGAAGTTTCTGGGAATTCTTCTGTCAAGGTTTATATGAAGAAATCCCGTTTCCAATGAAGGCCTCAAAAAAGTCCAAATATTTACTTGCAGATTCTACAAAAAGAGTGTTTCATAACTGGTCTATCAAAAGAAAGGTTAAACTCCGTGAGTTGAACGCACACATCACAAAGTTGTTTCTGAGAATCATTCTGTGTAGTTTTTCTACGAAGATATTGCCTTTTCCACCATAGGCCTCAAACGGCGCTAAATATCCACCTGGAAATTCTACAGAAACTGAGTTTCAAAAGTGCTCTATTGAAAGGAAGCTTCAACTCTGTGAGTTGAAAGTACACATCACAAAGAAGTTTCTGAGAATTCTTCTGTCTAGTTGTAAATGAAGAAATCACGTTTCACACTGAAGGCCACAAAGAGGTCCAAATATCCACTTGCAGATTCCACAAAAAGAGTGCTTCAAAACGGCTCCATCAAGAGGAATGTTCAACTCCGTGCGTTGAATGCAAATATCACAAATAAGTTTCTGACAATACTTCTGTCTAGTTTTTAGGTGAAGATATTTCCTTTCCTACTGTAGGCCTCAAAACGCTCTAAATATACACTTGCAAATTCCACAAAAAGAGTGTTTCAAAACTGCTCTCTCAAAGGAAGTTTAAACTCTGTCAGCTGAATGCAAGCATCACAAAACAGCTTCGGAGAATGAATCTGCCTAGTTTTTCTGTGAAGATATTCCTTTTTCTGCCATAGACCTCAAACCGCTGTAAAAATCCACTTGGAAATTCTACAAAAAGAGTATTTCAAAACTCTTCTATCGAAAGGAAGTTTCAACTCCATGAGTTAAACGCACATATCACAAATAATTTTCTGAGGATTCTTCTTTCAAGTTTTATATGAAGAAATCCCGTTTCCAAAGATGGCCTCAGAAAAGTCCCAATATACACTTGCAGATTCTACAAAAAGAGTTTTTCAAAACTGCTCTATCAAAAGAAAGGTTAAACTCGGTGAGTTGAAGGCACACATCACACAGTAGTTTCTGAGACTCATTCTGTCTAGTTTTTCTATGAAGATATTGCCTTTTCCACCATAGGCCTCAAACGGCGCTAAATATCCACTTGGATATTCTACAAAAAGAGAGTTACTAAACTGCTCTATCGAAAGGAAGCTTCAACGCTGCGAGTTGAAAGCACACATCACGAAGAAGTTTATGAGAATTCTTCTGTCTGCTTTTGTATGAAGAAGTCACGTCTCAAACGAAGGCCACAAAGAGGTCCAAATATCCACTTGGAGATTCAACAAAAAGAGTTTTTCAAAACTGCTCCATCAAGAGGAATATTCAACTCTGAGAGTTGAAGGCAGGTATCACAAAGTAGTTTCCGACAATGCTTCTGTTTAGATTTTATGTGAAGACATTCCCTTTTGTATCACAGGCCTGAAAGCACTCTAAATATAGAATTGCAAATTCCACAGAAAGAGTGTTTAAAACCGCTCTATCCAAAGAAATGTTAAACTCTGTCAGCTGAAGGCGCACATCACAAAGTAGCTTCAGAGAACAATTATGTCTAGTTTCTCTGTGAAGATATTTTCTCTTCTACGTAGGCCTGAAACCGCTCTAAATATTCACTTGGAAACTCTAGAAAAAGAATATTTCAACACTCTTCTGTCAAAAGGAAGGTTGAACTCTGAGAGTTCAATGCACACATCACAAAGAAGTTTCTGGGAATTCTTCTGTCAAGGTTTCTATGAAGAAATCCCGTTTCCAATGAAGGCCTCAAAAAAGTCCAAATATTTACTTGCAGATTCTACAAAAAGAGTGTTTCGTAACTGGTCTATCAAAAGAAAGGTTAAACTCAGTGAGTTGAACCCACACATCACAAAGTAGTTTCTGAGAATCATTGTGTCTAGTTCTCCTACGAAGATATTGCCTTTTCTACCATAGGCCTCAAACGGCGCTAAATATCCACCTGGAAATTCTACCAAAACTGAGCTTCAAAAGTGCTCTATTGAAAGGAAGCTTCACCTCTGTGAGTTGAAGGTACACATCAAAAAGAAGTTTCTGAGAATTCTTCTGTCTAGTTGTAAATGAAGAAATCACGTTTCAAACGAAGGCCACAAAGAGGTCCAAATATCCACCTGCAGATTCTGCAAAAAGAGTGTTTCAAAATTGCTCCATCAAGAGGAATGTTCAACTCTGTGCGTTGAATGCAAATATCACAAGTAAGTTTCTGACAATACTTCTGTCTAGTTTTTATGTGAAGATATTTCCTTTCCTACTGTAGGCCTCAAAACGCTCTAAATATACACTTGCAAATTCACAAAAAGAGTGTTTCCAAACTGCTCTATCAAAGGAAGTTTAAACTCTGTCAGCTTAATGCAAACATCACAAAACAGCTTCGGAGAATGAATCTGCCTAGTTTTTCTGTGAAGATATTTCTTTTTCTGCCATAGACCTCAAACCGCTGTGAAAATCCACTTGGAAATCCTACAAAAAGAGTATGTCAAAACTCTTCTAGCGAAAGGAAGTTTCAACTCCATGAGTTAAATGCACATACCACAAATAATTTTCTGAGGATTCTTCTTTCAAGATTTATATGAAGAAATCCCGTTTCCAAAGATGGCCTCAGAAAAGTCCCAATATACACTTGCAGATTCTACAAAAAGAGTTTTTCAAAACTGCTCTACCAAAAGGAAGGTTAAACTCTGTGAGTTGAAGGCACACATCACAAAGTAGTTTCTGAGAATCATTCTGTCTAGTTTTTCTATGAAGATATCGCCTTCTCCACCATAGGCCTCAAGCGGCGCTAAATATCCACTTGGAAATTCTACAAAAAGAGAGTTACAAGACTGCTCTATCGAAAGGAAGCTTCAACTCTGCGAGTTGAAAGCACACATCACGAAGAAGTTTATGAGAATTCTTCTGTCTACTTTTGTATGAAGCAGTCACGTTTCAAACGAAGGCCACAAAGAGGTCCAAATATCCACTTGGAGATTCAACAAAAAGAGTTTCTCAAAACTGCTCCATCAAGAGGAATATTCAACTCTGAGAGTTGAAGGCAGGTATCCCAAAGTAGTTCCCGACAATGCTTCTGTCTAGATTTTATGTGAGGACATTCCCTTTTGTACCACAGGCCTGAAAGCACTCTAAATATAGAACTGCAAATTCCACAAAAAGAGTGTTTAAAACCGCTCTATCCAAAGAAAGGTTAAACTCTCTAAGCTGAATGCGCACATCACAAAGTAGCTTCAGAGTACAATTATGTCTAGTTTTTCTGTGAAGATAGTTTCTCTTCTACATAGGCCTGAAAGCGCTCTAAATATTCACTTGGAAATTCTACAGAAAGAATACTTCAACACTCTTCTATCAAAAGGAAGGTTGAACTCTGAGAGTTAAATGCACACACCACAGAGAAGTTTCTGGGAATTCTTCTGTCAAGGTTTATATGAAGAAACCCCGTTTCCAATGAAGGCCTCAAAAAAGTCCAAATATTTACTTGCAGATTCTACAAAAAGAGTGTTTCATAACTGGTCTATCAAAAGAAAGGTTAAACTCCCTGAGTTGAACCCACACATCACAAAGTAGCTTCTGAGAATAATTCTGTCTAGTTTTTCTACGAAGATATTGCCTTTTCCACCATAGGCCTCAAACGGCGCTAAATATCCACCTGGAAATTCTACAGAAACTGAGTTTCAAAAGTGCTCTATTGAAAGGAAGCTTCAACTCTGTGAGTTGAAAGTACACATCACAAAGAAGTTTCTGAGAATTCTTCTGTCTAGTTGTAAATGAAGAAATCACGTTTCACACGAAGGCCACAAAGAGGTCCAAATATCCACTTGCAGATTCCACAAAAAGAGTGCTTCAAAACGGCTCCATCAAGAGGAATGTTCAACTCCGTGCGTTGAATGCAAATATCACAAATAAGTTTCTGACAATACTTCTGTCTAGTTTTTAGGTGAAGATATTTCCTTTCCTACTGTAGGCCTCAAAACGCTCTAAATATACACTTGCAAATTCCACAAAAAGAGGGTTTCAAAACTGCTCTATCAAAGGAAGTTTAAACTCTGTCAGCTGAATGCAAGCATCACAAAACAGCTTCGGAGAATGAATCTGCCTAGTTTTTCTGTGAAGATATTTCTTTTGCTGCCATAGACCTCAAACCGCTGTAAAAATCCACTTGGGAATTCTACAAAAAGAGTATTTCAAAACTCTTCTATCGAAAGGAAGTTTCAACTCCATGAGTTAAATGCACATATCACAAATAATTTTCTGAGGATTCTTCTTTCAAGTTTTATATGAAGAAATCCCGTTTCCAAAGTTGGCCTCAGAAAAGTCCCAATATACACTTGCAGATTCTACAAAAAGAGTTTTTCAAAACTGCTCTATCAAAAGGAAGGTTAAACTCTGTGAGTTGAAGGCACACATCACACAGTAGTTTCTGAGAATCATTCTGACTAGTTTTTCTATGAAGATATTGCCTTTTCCGCCATAGGCCTCAAACGGCGCTAAATATCCACTTGGAAATTCTACAAAAAGAGAGTTACTAAACTGCTCTATCGAAAGGAAGCTTCAACTCTGCGAGTTGAAAGCACACATCACGAAGAAGTTTATGAGAATTCTTGTGTCTACTTTTGTATGAAGCAGTCACGTTTCAAACGAAGGCCACAAAGAGGTCCAAATACCCACTTGGAGATTCAACAAAAAGAGTTTTTCAAAACTGCTCCATCAAGAGGAATATTCAACTCTGAGAGTTGAAGGCAGGTATCACCAAGTAGTTTCCGACAATGCTTCTGTCTAGATTTTATGTGAGGACATTCCCTTTTGTACCACAGGCCTGAAAGCACTCTAAATATGGAACTGCAAATTCCACAAAAAGAGTGTTTAAAACCGCTCTATCCAAAGAAAGGTTAAACTCTGTAAGCTGAATGCGCACATCACAAAGTAGCTTCAGAGAACAATTATGTCTAGTTTTTCCGTGAAGATAGTTTCTCTTCCACATAGGCCTGAGACCGCTCTAAATATTCACTTGGAAATTCTGCAAAAAGAATATTTCAACACTCTTCTATCAAAAGGAAGGTTGAACTCTGAGAGTTAAACGCACACATCACAGAGAAGTTTCTGAGAATTCTTCTGTCAAGGTTTATATGAAGAAACCCCGTTTCCAATGAAGGCCTCAAAAAAGTCCAAATATTTACTTGCCGATTCCACAGAAAGAGTGTTTCATAACTGGTCTATCAAAAGAAAGGTTAAACTCAGTGAGTTGAACCCACACATCACAAAGTAGCTTCTGAGAATCATTCAGTCTAGTTCTCCTACGAAGATATTGCCTTTTCTACCATAGGCCTCAAACGGCGCTAAATATCCACCTGGAAATTCTACCAAAACTGAGTTTCAAAAGTGCTCTATTGAAAGGAAGCTTCACCTCTGTGAGTTGAAGGTACACATCACAAAGAAGTTTCTGAGAATTCTTCTGTCTAGTTGTAAATGAAGAAATCACGTTTCACACGAAGGCCACAAAGAGGTCCAAATATCCACTTGCAGATTCTACAAAAAGAGTGTTTCAAAACGGCTCCATCAAGAGGAATGTTCAACTCTGTGCGTTGAAAGCAAATATCACAAATAAGTTTCTGACAATACTTCTGTCTAGTTTTTAGGTGAAGATATTTCCTTTCCTACTGCAGGCCTCAAAACGCTCTAAATATACACTTGCAAATTCCACAAAAAGAGTGTTTCAAAACTGCTCTATCAAAGGAAGTTTAAACTCTGTCAGCTGAATGCAAGCATCACAAAACAGCTTCGGAGAATGAATCTGCCTAGTTTTTCTGTGAAGATATTCCTTTTGCTGCCATAGACCTCAAACCGCTGTAAAAATCCACTTGGAAATTCTACAAAAAGAGTATTTCAAAACTCTTCTATCGAAAGGAAGTTTCAACTCCATGAGTTAAATGCACATATCGCAAATAATTTTCTGAGGATTCTTCTTTCAAGTTTTATATGAAGAAATCCCGTTTCCAAAGATGGCCTCAGAAAAGTCCCAATATACACTTGCAGATTCTACAAAAAGAGTTTTTCAAAACTGCTCTATCAAAAGAAAGGTTAAACTCTGTGAGTTGAAGGCACACATCACAAAGTAGTTTCTGAGAATCATTCTGTCTAGTTTTTCTATGAAGATATTGCCTTTTCCACCATTGGCCTCAAACGGCACTAAATATCCACTTGGAAATTCTACAAAAAGAGAGTTACAGAACTGCTCTATCGAAAGGAAGCTTCAACGCTGCGAGTTGAAAGCACACATCACGAAGAAGTTGATGAGAATTCTTCTGTCTACTTTTGTATGAAGAAGTCACGTCTCAAACGAAGGCCACAAAGAGGTCCAAATATCCACTTGGAAATTCAACAAAAAGAGTTTTTCAAAACTGCTCCATCAAGAGGAACATTCAACTCTGAGAGTTGAAGGCAGGTATCACAAAGTAGTTTCCGACAATGCTTCTGTCTAGATTTTATGCGAAGACATTCCCTTTTGTACCACAGGCCTGAAAGCACTCTAAATATAGAATTGCAAATTCCACAAAAAGAGTGTTTAAAACCGCTCTGTCCAAAGAAAGGTTAAACTCTGTCAGCTGAATGCGCACATCACAGAGCAGCTTCAGAGAACAATTATGCCTAGTTTTTCCGTGAAGATAGATTCTCTTCTACATAGGCCTGAGACCGCTCTAAATATTCCTTTGGAAATTCTGCAAAAAGAATATTTCAACACTCTTCTATCAAAAGGAAGGTGGAACTCTGAGAGGTAAATGCACACATCACAGAGAAGTTTCTGAGAATTCTTCTGTCAAGGTTTATATGAAGAAACCCCGTTTCCAATGAAGGCCTCAAAAAAGTCCAAATATTTACTTGCCGATTCCACAGAAAGAGTGTTTCATAACTGGTCTATCAAAAGAAAGGTTAAACTCAGTGAGTTGAACCCACACATCACAAAGTAGCTTCTGAGAATCATTCTGTCTAGTTCTCCTACGAAGATATTGCCTTTTCTACCATAGGCCTCAAACGGCGCAAAATATCCACCTGGAAATTCTACCAAAACTGAGTTTCAAAAGTGCTCTATTGAAAGGAAGCTTCACCTCTGTGAGTTGAAGGTACACATCACCAAGAAGTTTCTGAGAATTCTTCTGTCTAGTTGTAAATGAAGAAATCACGTTTCAAACGAAGGCCACAAAGAGGTCCAAATATCCAGCTGCAGATTCTGCAAAAAGAGGGTTTGAAAACTGCTCCATCAAGAGGAATGTTCAACTCTGTGCGTTGAATGCAAATATCACAAATAAGTTTCTGACAATATTTCTGTCTAGTTTTTACGTGAAGATATTTCCTTTCCTACTGTAGGCCTCAAAACGCTCTAAATATACACTTGCAAATTCCACAAAAAGAGTGTTTCAAAACTGCTCTATCAAAGGAAGTTTAAACTCTGTAAGCCTAATGCAAGCATCACAAAACAGCTTCGGAGAATGAATCTGCCTAGTTTTTCTGTGAAGATATTTCTTTTTCTGCCATAGACCTCACACCGCTGTAAAAATCCACTTGGAAATTCTACAAAAAGAGTATTTCAAAACTCTTCTATCGAAAGGAAGTTTCAACTCCATGAGTTAAATGCACATATCACAAATAATTTTCTGAGGATTCTTCTTTCAAGTTTTATATGAAGAAATCCCGTTTCCAAAGATGGCCTCAGAAAAGTCCCAATATACACTTGCAGATTCTACAAAAAGAGTTTTTCGAAACTGCTCTAACAAAAGAAAGGTTAAACTCTGTGAGTTGAAGGCACACATCACAAAGTAGTTTCTGAGAATCATTCTGTCTAGTTTTTCTATGAAGATATCGCCTTCTCCACCATAGGCCTCAAGCGGCGCTAAATATCCACTTGGAAATTCTACAAAAAGAGAGTTACAAGACTGCTCTATCGAAAGGAAGCTTCAACTCTGCGAGTTGAAAGCACACATCACGAAGAAGTTTATGAGAATTCTTCTGTCTACTTTTGTATGAAGCAGTCACGTTTCAAACGAAGGCCACAAAGAGGTCCAAATATCCACTTGGAGATTCAACAAAAAGAGTTTTACAAAACTACTCCATCAAGAGGAATATTCAACTCTGAGACTTGAGGGCAGGTATCACAAAGTAGTTCCCGACAATGCTTCTGTCTAGATTTTATGTGAAGACATTCCCTTTTGTACCACAGGCTTGAAAGCACTCTAAATATAGAATTGCAAATTCCACAAAAAGAGGGTTTAATACCGCTCTATCCAAAGAAAGGTGAAACTCTGTCAGCTGAATGCGCACATCACAGAGTAGCTTCAGAGAACAATTATGTCTAGTTTTTCTGTGAAGATAGTTTCTCTTCTACATAGGCCTGAAACCGCTCTAAATATTCACTTGGAAATTCTACAAAAAGAATATTTCAACACTCTTCTATCAAAAGGAAGGTTGAACTCTGAGAGTTAAACGCACACATCACAGAGAAGTTTCTGAGAATTCTTCTGTCAAGGTTTATATGAAGAAACCCCGTTTCCAATGAAGGCCTCAAAAAAGTCCAAATATTTACTTGCCGATTCCACAGAAAGAGTGTTTCATAACTGGTCTATCAAAAGAAAGGTTAAACTCAGTGAGTTGAACCCACACATCACAAAGTAGCTTCTGAGAATCATTCTGTCTAGTTCTCCTACGAAGATATTGCCTTTTCTACAATAGGCCTCAAACGGCGCTAAATATCCACCTGGAAATTCTACCAAAACTGAGTTTCAAAAGTGCTCTATTGAAAGGAAGCTTCACCTCTGTGGGTTGAAGGTACACATCACAAAGAAGTTTCTGAGAATTCTTCTGTCTAGTTGTAAATGCAGAAATCACGGTTTCAAACGAAGGCCACAAAGAGGTCCAAATATCCAGCTGCAGATTCTGCAAAAAGAGGGTTTCAAATCTGCTCCATCAAGAGGAATGTTCAACTCTGTGCGTTGAATGCAAATATCACAAATAAGTTTCTGACAATACTTCTGTCTAGTTTTTAGGTGAAGATATTTCCTTTCCTACTGTAGGCCTCAAAACGCTCTAAATATACACTTGCAAATTCCACAAAAAGAGTGTTTCCAAACTGCTCTATCAAAGGAAGTTTAAACTCTGTCAGCTGAATGCAAACATCACAAAACAGCTTCGGAGAATGAATCTGCCTAGTTTTTCTGTGAAGTTATTTCTTTTTCTGCCATAGACCTCAAACCGCTGTAAAAATCCACTTGGAAATTCTACAAAAAGAGTATTTCAAAACTCTTCTATCGAAAGGAAGTCTCAACTCCATGAGTTAAATGCACATATCACAAATAATTTTCTGAGGATTCTTCTTTCAAGTTTTATATGAAGAAATCCCGTTTCCAAAGATGGCCTCAGAAAAGTCCCAATATACACTTGCAGATTCTACAAAAAGCGTTTTTCAAAACTGCTCTACCAAAAGGAAGGTTAAACTCTGTGAGTTGAAGGCACACATCACAAAGTAGTTTCTGAGAATCATTCTGACTAGTTTTTCTATGAAGATATTGCCTTTTCCACCATAGGCCTCAAACGGCGCTAAATATCCATTTGGAAATTCTACAAAAAGAGAGTTACTAAACTGCTCTATCGAAAGGAAGCTTCAACGCTGCGAATTGAAAGCACATATCATGAAGAAGTTTATGAGAATTCTTCTGTCTACTTTTGTATGAAGCAGTCACGTTTCAAACGAAGGCCACAAAGAGGTCCAAATATCCACTTGGAGATTCATCAAAAAGAGTTTTACAAAACTGCTCCATCAAGACGAATATTCAACTCTGAGAGTTGAAGGCAGGTATCACAAAGTAGTTCCCGACAATGCTTCTGTCTAGATTTTATGTGAAGACATTCCCTTTTGTACCACAGGCCTGAAAGCACTCTAAATATAGAATTGCAAATTCCACAAAAAGAGTGTTGAAAACCGCTCTATCCAAAGAAAGGTTAAACTCTGTCAGCTGAATGCGCACATCACAGAGTAGCTTCAGAGAACAATTATGTCTAGTTTTTCCGTGAAGATAGTTTCTCTTCTACATAGCCCTGAGACCGCTCTAAATATTCACTTGGAAATTCTGCAAAAAGAATATTTCAACACTCTTCTATCAAAAGGAAGGTTGAACTCTGAGAGTTAAACGCACACATCACAGAGAAGTTTCTGAGAATTCTTCTGTCAAGGTTTATATGAGGAAACGCCGTTTCCAATGAAGGCCTCAAAAAAGTCCAAATATTTACTTGCCGATTCCACAAAAAGAGTGTTTCATAACTGGTCTATCAAAAGAAAGGTTAAACTCAGTGAGTTGAACCCACACATCACAAAGTAGCTTCTGAGAATCATTCTGTCTAGTTTTCCTACGAAGATATTGCCTTTTCTACCATAGGCCTCAAACGGCGCTAAATATCCACCTGGAAATTCTACAAAAACTGAGTTTCAAAAGTGCTCTATTGAAAGGAAGCTTCAACTCTGTGAGTTGAAGGTACACATCACAAAGAAGTTTCTGAGAATTCTTCTGTCTAGTTGTAAATGAAGAAATCACGTTTCAAACGAAGTCCACAAAGAGGTCCAAATATCCACCTGCAGATTCTACAAAAAGAGTGTTTCAAAACTGCTCCATCAAGAGGAATGTTCAACTCTGTGCGTTGAATGCAAATATCACAAATAAGTTTCTGACAATACTTCTGTCTAGTTTATATGTGAAGATATTTCCTTTCCTACTGTAGGCCTCAAAACGCTCTAAATATACACTTGCAAATTCCACAAAAAGAGTGATTCCAAACTGCTCTATCAAAGGAAGTTTAAAATCAGTCCGCTGAATGCAAGCATCACAAAACAGCTTCGGAGAATGAATCTGCCTAGTTTTTCTGTGAAGATATTCCTTTTTCTGCCATAGACCTCAAACCGCTGTAAAAATCCACTTGGAAATTCTACAAAAAGAGTATTTCAAAACTTCTATCGAAAGGAAGTTTTACCTCCATGAGTTAAATGCACATATCACAAATAATTTTCTGAGGATTCTTCTTTGAAGTTTTATATGAAGAAATCCCGTTTCCAAAGATGGCCTCAGATAAGTCCCAATATACACTTGCAGATTCTACAAAAAGAGTCTTTCAAAACTGCTCTATCCAAAGAAAGGTTAAACTCTGTGAGTTGAAGGCACACATCACAAAGTAGTTTCTGAGAATCATTCTGTCTAGTTTTTCTATGAAGATATTGCCTTTTCCACCATAGGCCTCAAACGGCGCTAAATATCCACTTGGGAATTCTACAAAAAGAGAGTTACAAAACTGCTCTATCGAAAGGAAGCTGCAACTCTGCGAGTTGAAAGCACATATCGCGAAGAAGGTGATGAGAATTCTTCTGTCTAGTTTTGTATGAAGAAGTCACGTCTCAAACGAAGGCCACAAAGAGGTCCAAATATCCACTTGGAGATTCAACAAAAAGAGTTTTTCAAAACTGCTCCGTCAAGAGGAATATTCAACTCTGAGAGTTGAGGGCAGGTATCACAAACTAGTTTCCGACAACGCTTCTGTCTAGATTTTATGTGAAGACATTCCCTTTTGTACCACAGGCCTGAAAACACTCTAAATATAGAATTGCAAATTCCACAAAAAGAGTGTTGAAAACCGCTCTATCCAAAGAAAGGTTAAACTCTGTCAGCTGAATGCGCACATCACAGAGCAGCTTCAGAGAACAATTATGTCTAGTTTTTCTGTGAAGATAGTTTCTCTTCTACATAGGCCTGAAACCGCTCTAAATATTCACTTGGAAATTCTACAAAAAGAATATTTCAACACTCTTCTATCAAAAGGAAGGTTGAACTCTAAGAGTTAAACGCACACATCACAGAGAAGTTTCTGAGAATTCTTCTGTCAAGATTTATATGAAGAAACCCCGTTTCCAATGAAGGCCTCAAAAAAGTCCAAAAATTTACTTGCAGATTCCACAAAAAGAGTGTTTCATAATTGGTCTATCAAAAGAAAGGTTAAACTCAGTGAGTTGAACCCACATATCACAAAGTAGCTTCTGAGAATCATTGTGTCTAGTTCTCCTACGAAGATATTGCCTTTTCTACCATAGGCCTCAAACGGCGCTAAATATCCACCTGGAAATTCTACCAAAACTGAGCTTCAAAAGTGCTCTATTGAAAGGAAGCTTCACCTCTGTGGGTTGAAGGTACACATCACAAAGAAGTTTCTGAGAATTTTTCTGTCTAGTTGTAAATGCAGAAATCACGTTTCAAACGAAGGCCACAAAGTAGGTCCAAATATCCAGCTGCAGATTCTGCAAAAAGAGGGTTTCAAATCTGCTCCATCAAGAGGAATGTTCAACTCTGTGCGTTGAATGCAAATATCACAAATAAGTTTCTGACAATACTTCTGTCTAGTTTTTAGGTGAAGATATTTCCTTTCCTACTGTAGGCCTCAAAACGCTCTAAATATACACTTGCAAATTCCACAAAAAGAGTGTTTCAAAACTGCTCTATCAAAGGAAGTTTAAACTCTGTCAGCTGAATGCAAGCATCACAAAACAGCTCGGAGAATGAATTCTGCCTAGTTTTTCTGTGAAGATATTTCTTTTTCTGCCATAGACCTCAAACCGCTGTGAAAATGCACTTGGAAATTCTAGAAAAAGAGTATGTCAAAACTCTTCTATCGAAAGGAAGTTTCAACTCCATGAGTTAAATGCACATATCACAAATAATTTTCTGAGGATTCTTCTTTCAAGTTTTATATGAAGAAATCCCGTTTCCAAAGATGGCCTCAGAAAAGTCCCAATATACACTTGCAGATTCTACAAAAAGAGTTTTTCAAAACTGCTCTATCAAAAGAAAGGTTAAACTCTTGTGAGTTTAAGGCACACATCACAAAGTAGTTTCTGAGAATCATTCTGTCTAATTTTTCTATGAAGATATTGCCTTTCCACCATAGGCCTCAAACGGCGCTAAATATCCACTTGGAAATTCTACAAAAAGAGAGTTACTAAACTGCTCTATCGAAAGGAAGCTTCAACGCTGCGAGTTGAAAGCACACATCACGAAGAAGTTTATGAGAATTCTTCTGTCTACTTTTGTATGAAGCAGTCACGATTCAAACGAAGGCCACAAAGAGGTCCAAATATTCACTTGGAGATTCAACAAAAAGAGTTTTTCAAAACTGCTCCGTCAAGAGGAATATTCAACTCTGCGAGTTGAAAGCTGGTATCACAAAGTAGTTCCCGACAATGCTTCTGTCTAGTTTTTATGTGAAGACATTTCCTCTTGTACCACAGGCCTGAAAGCACTCTAAATATAGAATTGCAAATTCCACAAAAAGAGTGTTGAAAACCGCTCTATCCAAAGAAAGGTTAAACTCTGTCAGCTGAATGCGCACATCACAGAGCAGCTTCAGAGAACAGTTATGTCTAGTTTTTCTGTGAAGATACTTTCACTTCTACTTAGCCCTGAAACCGCTCTAAATATTCACTTGGAAATTCTACAAAAAGAAAATTTCAACCCTCTTCTATCAAAAGGAAGGTTGAACTCTGAGAGTTAAATGCACACATCACAGAGAAGTTTCTGGGAATTCTTCTGTCAAGGTTTGTATGAAGAGATCCCGTTTCCAATGAAGGCCTCAAAAAAGTCCAAATATTTACTTGCAGATTCTACAAAAAGAGTGTTTCATAACTGGTCTATCAAAAGAAAGGTTAAACTCCGTGAGTTGAACGCACACATCACAAAGTTGTTTCTGAGAATCATTCTGTCTAGTTTTTCTACGAAGATATTGCCTTTTCCACCATAGGCCTCAAACGGCGCTAAATATCCACCTGGAAATTCTACAGAAACTGAGTTTCAAAAGTGCTCTATTGAAAGGAAGCTTCAACTCTGTGAGTTGAAAGTACACATCACAAAGAAGTTTCTGAGAATTCTTCTGTCTAGTTGTAAATGAAGAAATCACGTTTCAAACGAAGGCCACAAAGAGGTCCAAATATCCACCTGCAGATTCTACAAAAAGAGTGTTTCCAAACTGCTCCATCAAGAGGAATGTTCAACTCGGTGCGTTGAATGCAAATATCACAAATAAGTTTCTGACAATACTTCTGTCTAGTTTTTACGTGAAGATATTTCCTTTCCTACTGTAGGCCTCAAAACGCTCTAAATATACACTTGCAAATTCCACAAAAAGAGTGTTTCAAAACTGCTCTATCAAAGGAAGTTTAAACTCTGTAAGCCTAATGCAAGCATCACAAAACAGCTTCGGAGAATGAATCTGCCTAGTTTTTCTGTGAAGATATTTCTTTTTCTGCCATAGACCTCACACCGCTGTAAAAATCCACTTGGAAATTCTACAAAAAGAGTATTTCAAAACTCTTCTATCGAAAGGAAGTTTCAACTCCATGAGTTAAATGCACATATCACAAATAATTTTCAGAGGATTCTTCCTTCAAGTTTTATATGAAGAAATCCCGTTTCCAAAGATGGCCTCAGAAAAGTCCCAATATACACTTGCAGATTCTACAAAAAGAGTTTTTCAAAACTGCTCTATCAAAAGAAAGGTTAAACACTGTGAGTTGAAGGCACACATCACAAAGAAGTTTCTGAGAATCATTCTGTCTAGTTTTTCTATGAAGATATTGCCTTTTCCACCATTGGCTTCAAACGGCGCTAAATATCCACTTGGAAATTCTACAAAAAGAGAGTTACAGAACTGCTCTATCGAAAGGAAGCTTCAACGCTGCGAGTTGAAAGCACACATCACGAAGAAGTTTATGAGAATTCTTCTGTCTACTTTTGTATGAAGAAGTCACGTCTCAAACGAAGGCCACAAAGAGGTCCAAATATCCACTTGGAGATTCAACAAAAAGAGTTTTTCAAAACTGCTCCATCAAGAGGAACATTCAACTCTGAGAGTTGAAGGCAAGTATCACAAAGTAGTTTCCGACAATGCTTCTGTCTAGATTTTATGTGAAGACATTCCCTTTTGTACCACAGGCCTGAAAGCACTCTAAATATAGAATTGCAAATTCCACAAAAAGAGTGTTGAAAACCGCTCTATCCAAAGAAAGGTTAAACTCTGTCAGCTGAATGCGCACATCACAGAGTAGCTTCAGAGAACAATTATGTCTAGTTTTTCCGTGAAGATAGTTTCTCTTCCACATAGGCCTGAGACCGCTCAAAATATTCACTTGGAAATTCTGCAAAAAGAATATTTCAACACTCTTCTATGAAAAGGAAGGTTGAACTCTGAGAGTTAAACGCACACATCACAGAGAAGTTTCTGAGAATTCTTCTGTCAAGGTTTATATGAAGAAACCCCGTTTCCAATGAAGGCCTCAAAAAAGTCCAAATATTTACTTGCAGATTCTACAAAAAGAGTGTTTCATAACTGGTCTATCAAAACAAAGGTTAGACTCCCTGAGTTGAACCCACACATCACAAAGTAGCTTCTGAGAATCATTCTGTCTAGTTTTTCTACGAAGATATTGCCTTTTCCACCATAGGCCTCAAACGGCGCTAAATATCCACCTGGAAATTCTACAGAAACTGAGTTTCAAAGGTGCTCTATTGAAAGGAAGCTTCAACTCTGTGAGTTGAAAGTACACATCACAAAGTAGTTTCTGAGAATTCTTCTGTCTAGTTGTAAATGAAGAAATCACGTTTCCCACGAAGGCCACAAAGAGGTCCAAATATCCACTTGCAGATTCCACAAAAAGAGTGCTTCAAAACGGCTCCATCAAGAGGAATGTTCAACTCCGTGCGTTGAATGCAAATATCACAAATAAGTTTCTGACAATACTTCTGTCTAGTTTTTAGGTGAAGGTATTTCCTTTCCTACTGTAGGCCTCAAAACGCTCTAAATATACACTTGCAAATTCCACAAAAAGAGTGTTTCAAAACTGCTCTATCAAAGGAAGTTTAAACTCTGTCAGCTGAATGCAAGCATCACAAAGCAGCTTCGGAGAATGAATCTGCCTAGTTTTTCTGTGAAGATATTTCTTTTTCTGCCATAGACCTCAAACCGCTGTAAAAATCCACTTGGAAATTCTACAAAAAGAGTATTTCAAAGCTCTTCTATCGAAAGGAAGTTTCAGCTCCATGAGCGAAATGCACATATCACAAATAATTTTCTGAGGATTCTTCTTTCAAGTTTTATATGAAGAAATCCCGTTTCCAAAGATGGCCTCAGAAAAGTCCCAATATACACTTGCAGATTCTACAAAAAGAGTTTTTCAAAACTGCTCTACCAAAAGGAAGGTTAAACTCTGTGAGTTGAAGGCACACATCACAAAGTAGTTTCTGAGAATCATTCTGACTAGTTTTTCTATGAAGATATTGCCTTTTCCACCATAGGCCTCAAACGGCGCTAAATATCCACTTGGAAATTCTACAAAAAGAGAGTTACTAAACTGCTCTATTGAAAGGAAGCTTCAACGCTGCGAGTTGAAAGCACACAACACGAAGAAGTTGATGAGAATTCTTCTCTCTAGTTTTGTATGAAGAAGTCACGTCTCAAACGAAGGTCACAAAGAGGTCCAAATATCCACTTGGAGATTCAACAAAAAGAGTTTTTCAAAACTGCTCCATCAAGAGGAATATTCAACTCTGAAAGTTGAAGGCAGTTATCACAATGTAGTTTCCGACAATGCTTCTGTCTAGATTTTAAGTGAGGACATTCCCTTTTGTACCACAGGCCTGAAAGCACTCTAAATATAGAATTGCAAATTCCACAAAAAGAGTGTTTAAAACCGCTCAATCCAAAGAAAGGTTAAACTCTGTAAGCTGAATGCGCACATCACAAAGTAGCTTCAGAGAACAGTTATGTCTAGTTTCTCTGTGAAGATATTTTCTCTTCTACATAGGCCTGAAACCGCTCTAAATATTCACTTGAAAATTCTAGAAGAAGAATATTTCAAAACTCTTCTGTCAAAAGGAAGGTTGAACTCTGAGAGTTAAATGCACACATCACAAAGAAGTTTCTGGGAATTCTTCTGTCAAGGTTTATATGAAGAGATCCCGTTTCCAATGAAGGCCTCAAAAAAGTCCAAATATTTACTTGCAGATTCTACAAAAAGAGTGTTTCATAACTGGTCTATCAAAAGAAAGGTTAAACTCCGTGAGTTGAACGCACACATCACAAAGTTGTTTCTGAGAATCATTCTGTCTAGTTCTCCTACGAAGATATTGCCTTTTCTACCATAGGCCTCAAACGGCGCAAAATATCCACCTGGAAATTCTACCAAAACTGAGTTTCAAAAGTGCTCTATTGAAAGGAAGCTTCACCTCTGTGAGTTGAAGGTACACATCACAAAGGAGTTTCTGAGAATTCTTCTGTCTAGTTGTAAATGAAGAAATCACGTTTCAAAAGAAGGCCACAAAGAGGTCCAAATATCCACCTGCAGATTCTACAAAAAGAGTGTTTCAAAACTGCTTCATCAAGAGGAATGTTCAACTCTGTGCGTTGAATGCAAATATCACAAGTAAGTTTCTGAGAATACTTCTGTCTAGTTTTTATGTGAAGATATTTACTTTCCTACTGTAGGCCTCAAAAGGCTCTAAATATACACTTGCAAATTCCACAAAAAGAGTGTTTCCAAACTGCTCTATCAAAGGAAGTTTAAACTCTGTCAGCTGAATGCAAGCATCACAAAACAGCTTCGGAGAATGAATCTGCCTAGTTTTTCTGTGAAGATATTTCTTTTTCTGCCATAGACCTCAAACCGCTGTAAAAATCCACTTGGAAATTCTACAAAAAGAGTATTTCAAAACTCTTCTATCGAAAGGAAGTCTCAACTCCATGAGTTAAATACACATATCACAAATAATTTTCTGAGGATTCTCTTTCAAGTTTTATATGAAGAAACCCCGTTTCCAAAGATGGCCTCAGAAAAGTCCCAATATACACTTGCAGATTCTACAAAAAGAGTTTTTCAAAACTGCTCTATCAAAAGGAAGGTTAAACTCTGTGAGTTGAAGGCACACATCACAGAGTAGTTTCTGAGAATCATTCTGTCTAGTTTTTCTATGAAGATATCGCCTTCTCCACCATAGGCCTCAAACGGCGCTAAATATCCACTTGGAAATTCTACAAAAAGAGAGTTACAAGACTGCTCTATCGAAAGGAAGCTTCAACTCTGCGAGTTGAAAGCACACATCACGAAGAAGTTTATGAGAATTCTTCTGTCTACTTTTGTATGAAGCAGTCACGTTTCAAACGAAGGCCACAAAGAGGTCCAAATATCCACTTAGAGATTCAACAAAAAGAGTTTTTCAAAACTGCTCCATCAAGAGGAATATTCAACTCTGAGAGTTGAAGGCAGGTATCCCAAAGTGGTTCCCGACAATGCTTCTGTCTAGATTTTATGTGAAGACATTCCCTTTTGTACCACAGGCCTGAAAGCACTCTAAATATAGAATTGCAAATTCCACAAAAAGAGTGTTTAAAACCGCTCGATCCAAAGAAAGGTTAAACTCTGTAGGCTGAATGCGCACATCACAAAGTAGCTTCAGAGAACAATTGTGTCTAGTTTTTCTGTGAAGATATTTTCTCTTCTACATAGGCCTGAAACCGCTCTAAATATTCACTTGGAAATTCTACAAAACGAATATTTCAACACTCTTCTATCAAAAGGAAGGTTGAACTCTGAGAGTTAAATGCACACATCACAAAGAAGTTTCTGAGAATTCTTCTGTCAAGGTTTCTATGAAGAAATCCCGTTTCCAATGAAGGCCTCAAAAAAGTCCAAATATTTACTTGCAGATTCTTCAAAAAGAGTGTTTCATAACTGGTCTAACAAAAGAAAGGTTAAACTCAGTGAGTTGAACCCACACATCACAATGTAGTTTCTGAGAATCATTCTGTCTAGTTTTCCTATGAAGATATTGCCTTTTCTACCATAGGCCTCAAACAGCGCTAAATATCCACCTGGAAATTCTACAAAAACTGAGTTTCAAAAGTGCTCTATTGAAAGGAAGCTTCAACTCTGTGAGTTGAAGGTACACATCACAAAGAAGTTTCTGAGAATTCTTCTGTCTAGTTGTAAATGAAGAAATCACGTTTCAAACGAAGGCCACAAAGAGGTCCAAACTATCACACCTGCAGATTCTACAAAAAGAGTGTTTCAAAACTGCTCCATCAAGAGGAATGTTCAACTCTGTGCGTTGAATGCAAATATCACAAATAAGTTTCTGACAATACTTCTGTGTAGCTTTTATGTGAAGATATTTCCTTTCCTACTGTAGGCCTCAAAACGCTCTAAATATACACTTGCAAATTCCACAAAAAGAGTGTTTCCAAACTGCTCTATCAAAGGAAGTTTAAACTCTGTCCGCTTAATGCAAGCATCACAAAACAGCTTCGGAGAATGAATCTGCCTAGTTTTTCTGTGAAGATATTTCTTTTTCTGCCATAGACCTCAAACCGCTGTAAAAATCCACTTGGAAATTCTACAAAAAGAGAATTTCAAAGCTCTTCTATCGAAAGGAAGTTTCAACTCCATGAGTTAAATGCACATATCGCAAATAATTTTCTGAGGATTCTTCTTTCAAGTTTTATATGAAGAAATCCCGTTTCCAAAGATGGCCTCAGAAAAGTCCCAATATACACTTGCAGATTCTACAAAAAGCGTTTTTGAAAACTGCTCTACCAAAAGGAAGGTTAAACTCTGTGAGTTGAAGGCACACATCACAAAGTAGTTTCTGAGAATCATTCTTTCTAGTTTTTCTATGAAGATATTGCCTTTTCCACCCTAGGCCTCAAACGGCGCTAAATATCCACTTGGAAATTCTTCAAAAAGAGAGCTACAAGACTGCTCTATCGAAAGGAAGCTTCAACTCTGCGAGTTGAAAGCACACATCACAAAGAAGTTTATGGGAATTCTTCTGTCTAGTTTTGTATGAAGAAGTCACGTCTCAAACGAAGGCCACAAAGAGGTCCAAATATCCACTTGGAGATTCCACAAAAAGCGTTTTTCAAAACTGCTCCGTCAAGAGGAATATTCAACTCTGAGAGTTGAAGGCAGGTATCACAAAGTAGTTTCCGACAACGCTTCTGTCTAGATTTTATGTGAAGACATTCCCTTTTGTACCACAGGCCTCAAAGCACTCTAAATATAGAACTGCAAATTCCACAAAAGGAGTGTTTAAAACCGCTCTATCCAAAGAAAGGTTAAACTCTGTCAGCTGAATGCGCACATCATAGAGTAGCTTCAGAGAACAATTATGTCTAGTTTTTCTGTGAAGATATTTTCTCTTCTACATAGGCCTGAAACCGCTCTAAATATTCACTTGGAAATTCTACAAAAAGAATATTTCAACCCTCTTCTATCAAAAGGAAGGTTGAACTCTGAGAGTTAAATGCACACATCACAGAGAAGTTTCTGGGAATTCTTCTGTCAAGGTTTCTATGAAGAAATCCCGTTTCCAATGAAGGCCTCAAAAAAGTCCAAAAATTTACTTGCAGATTCCACAAAAAGAGTGTTTCATAACTGGTCTATCAAAAGAAAGGTTAACTCAGTGAGTTGAACCCACACATCACAAAGTAGTTTCTGAGAATCATTGTGTCTAGTTCTCCTACGAAGATATTGCCTTTTCTACCATAGGCCTCAAACGGCGCAAAATATCCACCTGGAAATTCTACCAAAACTGAGTTTCAAAAGTGCTCTAATGAAAGGAAGCTTCACCTCTGTGAGTTGAAGGTACACATCACAAAGAAGTTTCTGAGAATTCTTCTGTCTAGTTGTAAATGAAGAAATCACGTTTCAAACGAAGGCCACAAAGAGGTCCAAATATCCACCTGCAGATTCTGCAAAAAGAGTGTTTCAAAACTGCTCCATCAAGAGGAATGTTCAACTCTGTGCGTTGAATGCAAATATCACAAGTAAGTTTCTGACAATACTTCTGTGTAGTTTTTATGTGAAGATATTTCCTTTCCTACTGTAGGCCTCAAAACGCTCTAAATATACACTTGCAAATTCCACAAAAAGAGTGTTTCCAAACTGCTCTCTCAAAGGAAGTTTAAACTCTGTCCGCTTAATGCAAGCATCACAAAACAGCTTTGGAGAATGAATCTGCCTAGTTTTTCTGTGAAGATATTTCTTTTTCTGCCATAGACCTCAAACCGCTGTAAAAATCCACTTGGAAATTCTACAAAAAGAGTATTTCAAAGCTCTTCTATCGAAAGGAAGTTTCAACTCCATGAGTTAAATGCACATATCACAAATAATTCTCTGAGCATTCTTCTTTCAAGATTTATATGAAGAAATCCCGTTTCCAAAGATGGCCTCAGAAAACTCCCAATATACACTTGCAGATTCTACAAAAAGAGTTTTTCAAAACTGCTCTATCAAAAGGAAGGTTAAACTCTGTGAGTTGAAGGCACACATCACAGAGTAGTTTCTGAGAATCATTCTGTCTAGTTTTTCTATGAAGATATCGCCTTCTCCACCATAGGCCTCAAGCGGCGCTAAATATCCACTTGGAAATTCTACAAAAAGAGAGTTACAAGACTGCTCTATCGAAAGGAAGCTTCAACTCTGCGAGTTGAAAGCACACATCACGAAGAAGTTTATGAGAATTCTTCTGTCTACTTTTGTATGAAGCAGTCACGTTTCAAACGAAGGCCACAAAGAGGTCCAAATATCCACTTGGAGATTCAACAAAAAGAGTTTTACAAAACTGCTCCATCAAGAGGAATATTCAACTCTGAGAGATGAAGGCAGGTATCACCAAGTAGTTTCCGACAATGCTTCTGTCTAGATTTTATGTGAAGACATTCCCTTTTGTACCACAGGCCTGAAAGCACTCTAAATATAGAATTGCAAATTCCACAAAAAGAGTGTTGAAAACCGCTCTATCCAAAGAAAGGTTAAACTCTGTCAGCTGAATGCGCACATCACAGAGCAGCTTCAGAGAACAGTTATGTCTAGTCTTTCTGGGAAGATATTTTCTCTTCTACATAGGCCTGAAACCGCTCTAAATATTCACTTGGAAATTCTACAAAAAGAATACTTCACCACTCTTCCATCAAAAGGAAGGTTGAACTCTGAGAGTTAAACGCACACATCACAGAGAAGTTTCTGAGAATTCTTCTGTCAAGGTTTTTATGAAGAAATCCCGTTTCCAATGAAGGCCTCAAAAAAGTCCAAATATTTACTTGCAGATTCTACAAAAAGAGTGTTTCATAACTGGTCTATCAAAAGAAAGGTTAAACTCCGTGAGTTGAACGCACACATCACAAAGTTGTTTCTGAGAATCATTCTGTCTAGTTCTCCTACGAAGATATTGCCTTTTCTACCATAGGCCTCAAACGGCGCAAAATATCCACCTGGAAATTCTACCAAAACTGAGTTTCAAAAGTGCTCTAGTGAAAGGAAGCTTCACCTCTGTCAGTTGAAGGTACTCATCACAAAGAAGTTTCTGAGAATTCTTCTGTCTAGTTGTAAATGAAGAAATCACGTTTCAATCGAAGGCCACAAAGAGGTCCAAATATCCACCTGCAGATTCTGCAAAAAGAGGGTTTCAAAACTGCTCCATCAAGAGGAATGTTCAACTCTGTGCGTTGAATGCAAATATCACAAATAAGTTTCTGACAATACTTCTGTCTAGTTTTTAGGTGAAGATATTTCCTTTCCTACTGTAGGCCTCAAAACGCTCTAAATATACACTTGCAAATTCCACAAAAAGAGTGTTTCAAAACTGCTCTATCAAAGGAAGTTTAAACTCTGTCAGCTGAATGCAAGCATCACAAAACAGCTTCGGAGAATGAATCTGCCTAGTTTTTCTGAGAAGATATTTCTTTTCCTGTCATAGACCTCAAACCGCTGTAAAAATCCACTTGGAAATTCTACAAAAAGAGTATTTCAAAGCTCTTCTTTCGAAAGGAAGTTTCAACTCCATGAGTTAAATGCACATATCACAAATAATTTTCTGAGGATTCTTCTTTCAAGTTTTATATGAAGAAA
The DNA here is from genome assembly GCF_000001405.40 of Homo sapiens. Classification (NCBI taxonomy): domain Eukaryota; kingdom Metazoa; phylum Chordata; class Mammalia; order Primates; family Hominidae; genus Homo; species Homo sapiens. The sequence goes on along the minus strand of NC_000003.12, from coordinate 90,970,034 downwards.
TCCCGTTTCCAAAGTTGGCCTCAGAAAAGTCCCAATATACACTTGCAGATTCTACAAAAAGAGTTTTTCAAAACTGCTCAATCAAAAGGAAGGTTAAACTCTGTGAGTTGAAGGCACACTTCACAGAGTTGTTTCTGAGAATCATTCTGTCTAGTTTTTCTATGAAGATATCGCCTTCTCCACCATAGGCCTCAAGCGGCGCTAAATATCCACTTGGAAATTCTACAAAAAGAGAGTTACAAGACTGCTCTATCGAAAGGAAGCTTCAACTCTGCGAGTTGAAAGCACACATCACGAAGAAGTTTATGAGAATTCTTCTGTCTACTTTTGTATGAAGCAGTCACGTTTCAAACGAAGGCCACAAAGAGGTCCAAATATCCACTTGGAGATTCAACAAAAAGAGTTTTTCAAAACTGCTCCATCAAGACGAATATTCAAATCTGAGAGTTGAAGGCAGGTATCACAAAGTAGTTCCCGACAATGCTTCTGTCTAGATTTTATGTGAAGACATTCCCTTTTGTACCACAGGCCTGAAAGCACTCTAAATATAGAATTGCAAATTCCACAAAAAGAGTGTTTCCAAACTGCTCTATCAAAGGAAGTTTAAACTCTGTCAGCTTAATGCAAGCATCACTAAACAGCTTCGGAAAATGAATATGTCTAGTTTTTCTGTGAAGATATTTTCTCTTCTACATAGGCCTGAAACCGCTCTAAATATTCACTTGGAAATTCTACAAAAAGAATATTTCAACCCTCTTCTATCAAAAGGAAGGTTGAACTCTGAGAGTTAAATGCACACATCACAGAGAAGTTTCTGGGAATTCTTCTGTCAAGGTTTATATGAAGAAATCCCGTTTCCAAAGAAGGCCTCAAAAAAGTCCAAATATTTACTTGCAGATTCTACAAAAAGAGTGTTTCATAACTGGTCTATCAAAAGAAAGGTTAAACTCCGTGAGTTGAACGCACACATCACAAAGTTGTTTCTGAGAATCATTCTGTCTAGTTTTTTACGAAGATATTGCCTTTTCCATCATAGGCCTCAAACGGCGCTAAATATCCACCTGGAAATTCTACAGAAACTGAGTTTCAAAAGTGCTCTATTGAAAGGAAGCTTCAACTCTGTGAGTTGAAAGTACACATCACAAAGAAGTTTCTGAGAATTCTTCTGTCAAGGTTTATATGAAGAAAGCCCGTTTCCAATGAATGCCTCAAAAAAGTCCAAAGATTTACTTGCAGATTCTACAAAAAGAGTGTTTCCAAACTGCTCCATCAAGAGGAATGTTCAACTCGGTGCGTTGAATGCAAATATCACAAATAAGTTTCTGACAATACTTCTGTCTAGTTTTTATGTGAAGATATTTCCTTTGCTACTGTAGGCCTCAAAACGCTCTAAATATACACTTGCAAATTCCACAAAAAGAGTGTTTCCAAACTGCTCTATCAAAGGAAGTTTAAACTCTGTCAGCTTAATGCAAGCATCACAAAACAGCTTCGGAGAATGAATCTGCCTAGTTTTTCTGTGAAGATATTTCTTTTTCTGCCATAGACCTCAAACCGCTGTAAAAATCCACTTGGAAATTCTACAAAAAGAGTATTTCAAAACTCTTCTATCGAAAGGAAGTCTCAACTCCATGAGTTAAATACACATATCACAAATAATTTTCTGAGGATTCTTCTTTCAAGTTTTATATGAAGAAATCCCGTTTCCAAGGATGGCCTCAGAAAAGTCCCAATATACACTTGCAGATTCTACAAAAAGAGTTTTTCGAAACTGCTCTATCAAAAGAAATGTTAAACTCTGTGAGTTGAAGGCACACATCACACAGTAGTTTCTGAGAATCACTCTGTCTAGTTTTTCTATGAAGATATTGCCTTTTCCACCATAGGCCTCAAACGGCGCTAAATATCCACTTGGAAATTCTACAATAAGAGAGTTACAGAACTGCTCTATCGAAAGGAAGCTTCAACGCTGCGAGTTGAAAGCACACATCACGAAGAAGTTTATGAGAATTCTTCTGTCTACTTTTCTATGAAGCAGTCACGTTTCAAACGAAGGCCACAACGAGGTCCAAATATCCACTTGGAGATTCAACAAAAAGAGTTTTTCAAAACTGCTCCGTCAAGAGGACTATTCAACTCTGAGAGTTGAAGGCTGGTATCACAAAGTAGTTCCCGACAATGCTTCTGTCTAGATTTTATGCGAAGACATTCCCTTTTGTACCACAGGCCTGAAAGCACTCTAAATATAGAATTGCAAATTCCACAAAAAGAGTGTTGAAAACCGCTCTATCCAAAGAAAGGTTAAACTCTGTCAGCTGAATGCACACATCACAGAGCAGCTTCAGAGAACAATTATGTCTAGTTTCTCTGTGAAGATATTTTCTCTTCTACATAGGCCTGAAACCGCTCTAAATATTCACTTGGAAATTCTACAAAAAGAATATTTCAACACTCTTCTATCAAAAGGAAGGTTGAACTCTGAGAGTTCAATGCACACATCACAAAGAAGTTTCTGGGAATTCTTCTGTCAAGGTTTATATGAAGAAAGCCCGTTTCCAATGAAGGCCTCAAAAAAGTCCAAACATTTACTTGCCGATTCCACAGAAAGAGTGTTTCATAACTGGTCTATCAAAAGAAAGGTTAAACTCCGTGAGTTGAACGCACACATCACAAAGTTGTTTCTGAGAATCATTCTGTCTAGTTCTCCTACGAAGATATTGCCTTTTCTACCATAGGCCTCAAACGGCGCTAAATATCCACCTGGAAATTCTACCAAAACTGAGTTTCAAAAGTGCTCTATTGAAAGGAAGCTTCACCTCTGTGTGTAGAAGGTACACATAACAAAGAAGTTTCTGAGAATTCTTCTGTCTAGTTGTAAATGAAGAAATCACGTTTCAAAAGAAGGCCACAAAGAGGTCCAAATATCCACCTGCAGATTCTACAAAAAGAGTGTTTCAAAACTGCTCCATCAAGAGGAATGTTCAAATCTGTGCGTTGAATGCAAATATCACAAGGAAGTTTCTGAGAATACTTCTGTCTAGTTTATATGTGAAGATATTTCCTTTCCTACTGTAGGCCTCAAAACGCTCTAAATATACACTTGCAAATTCCACAAAAAGAGTGTTTCCAAACTGCTCTATCAAAGGAAGTTTAAACTCTGTCCGCTTAATGCAAGCATCACAAAACAGCTTCGGAGAATGAATCTGCCTAGTTTTTCTGTGAAGATATTTCTTTTTCTGCCATAGACCTCAAACCGCTGTGAAAATCCACTTGGAAATCCTACAAAAAGAGTATGTCAAAACTCTTCTATCGAAAGGAAGTTTCAACTCCGTGAGTTAAATGCACATACCACAAATAATTTTCTGAGGATTCTTCTTTCAAGTTTTATATGAAGAAATCCCGTTTCCAAGGATGGCCTCAGAAAAGTCCCAATATACACTTGCAGATTCTACAAAAAGAGTTTTTCGAAACTGCTCTATCAAAAGAAATGTTAAACTCTGTGAGTTGAAGGCACACATCACACAGTAGTTTCTGAGAATCACTCCGTCTAGTTTTTCTAGGGAGATATCGCCTTTTCCACCATAGGCCTCAAATGGCGCTAAATATCCACTTGGAAATTCTACAAAAAGAGAGTTACAAGACTGCTCTATCGAAAGGAAGCTTCAACTCTGCGAGTTGAAAGCACGCATCACGACGAAGTTTATGAGAATTCTTCTGTCTACTTTTGTATGAAGCAGTCACGTATCAAACGAAGGCCACAAAGAGGTCCAAATATCCACTTGGAGATTCATCAAAAAGAGATTTACAAAACTGCTCCATCAAGAGGAATATTCAACTCTGAGAGTTGAAGGCAGGTATCACAAAGTAGTTCCCAACAATGCTTCTGTCTAGATTTTATGTGAAGACATTCCCTTTTGTACCACAGGACTGAAAGCACTCTAAGTATAGAATTGCAAATTCCACAAAAAGAGAGTTTAAAACCGCCTATCCAAAGAAAGGTTAAACTCTGTCAGCTGAATGCGCACATCACAGAGTAGCTTCAGAGAACAATTATGTCTAGTTTTTCTGTGAAGATAGTTTCTCTTCTACATAGGCCTGAAACCGCTCTAAATATTCACTTGGAAATTCTACAGAAAGAATACTATAACAATCTTCTATCAAAAGGAAGGTTGAACTCTGAGAGTTAAATGCACACACCACAGAGAAGTTTCTGGGAATTCTTCTGTCAAGGTTTATATGAAGAAAGCCCGTTTCCAATGAAGGCCTCAAAAAAGTCCAAATATTTACTTGCCGATTCCACAGAAAGAGTGTTTCATAACTGGTCTATCAAAAGAAAGGTTAAACTCAGTGAGTTGAACCCACACATCACAAAGTAGCTTCTGAGAATCATTGTGTCTAGTTCTCCTACGAAGATATTGCCTTTTCTACCATAGGCCTCAAACGGCGCTAAATATCCACCTGGAAATACTACCAAAACTGAGCTTCAAAACTGCTCTATTGAAAGGAAGCTTCACCTCTGTGAGTTGAAGGTACACATCAAAAAGAAGTTTCTGAGAATTCTTCTGTCTAGTTGTAAATGAAGAAATCACGTTTCAAAAGAAGGCCACAAAGAGGTCCAAATATCCACCTTCAGATTCTACAAAAAGAGTGTTTCAAAACTGCTCCATCAAGAGGAATGTTCAACTCTGTGCGTTGAATGCAAATATCACAAGTAAGTTTCTGAGAATACTTCTGTGTAGTTTTTATGTGAAGATATTTCCTTTCCTACTGTAGGCCTCAAAACGCTCTAAATACACACTTGCAAATTCCACAAAAAGAGTGTTTCCAAACTGCTCTATCAAAGGAGGTTTAAACTCTGTCCGCTTAATGCAAGCATCACAAAACAGCTTCGGAGAATGAATCTGCCTAGTTTTTCTGTGAAGATATTTCTTTTCCTGCCATAGACCTCAAACCGCTGTAAAAATCCACTTGGAAATTCTACAAAAAGAGTATTTCAAAGCTCTTCTATCGAAAGGAAGTTTCAACTCCATGAGTTAAATGCACATATCACAAATAATTTTCTGAGGATTCTTCTTTCAAGTTTTATATGAAGAAATCCCGTTTCCAAAGATGGCCTCAGAAAAGTCCCAATATACACTTGCAGATTCTACAAAAAGCGTTTTTCAAAACTGCTCTACCAAAAGGAAGGTTAAACTCTGTGAGTTGAAGGCACACATCACAAAGTAGTTTCTGAGAATCATTCTGTCTAGTTTTTGTATGAAGATATTGCCTTTTGCACCATAGGCCTCAAACGGCGCTAAATATCCACTTGGGAATTCTACAAAAAGAGAGTTACAAAACTGCTCTATCGAAAGAAAGCTGCAACTCTGCGAGTTGAAAGCACACATCGCGAAGTAGTTGATGAGAATTCTTCTGTCTAGTTTTGTAGGAAGAAGTCACGTCTCAAACGAAGGCCACAAAGAGGTCCAAATATCCACTTGGAGATTCAACAAAAACAGTTTTTCAAAACCGCTCCGTCAAGAGGAATATTCAACTCAGAGAGTTGAAGGCAGGTATCACAAAGTAGTTTCCGACAACGCTTCTGTCTCGATTTTATGTGAAGACATTCCCTTTTGTACCACAGGCCTGAAAGCACTCTAAATATAGAATTGCAAATTCCACAAAAAGAGTGTTTAAAACCGCTCTATCCAAAGAAAGGTTCAACTCTGTCAGCTGAAGGCGCACATCACAAAGTAGCTTCAGAGAACAATTGTGTCTAGTTTTCCTGTGAAGATATTTTCTCTTCTACATAGGCCTGAAACCGCTCTAAATATTCACCTGGAAATTCTACAAAAAGAATATTTCAACACTCTTCTATCAAAAGGAAGGTTGAACTCTGAGAGTTAAATGCACACATCACAAAGAAGTTTCTGAGAATTCTTCTGTCAAGGTTTCTATGAAGAAATCCCGTTTCCAATGAAGGCCTCAAAAAAGTCCAAATATTTACTTGCAGATTCTACACAAAGAGTGTTTCATAAACTGGTCTATCAAAAGAAAGGTTAAACTCAGTGAGTTGAACCCACACATCACAAAGTAGTTTCTGAGAATCATTCTGTCTAGTTCTCCTACGAAGATATTGCCTTTTCTACCATAGGCCTCAAACGGCGCTAAATATCCACCTTTAAATTCTACCAAAACTGAGCTTCAAAAGTGCTCTATTGAAAGGAAGCTTCACTTCTGTGAGTTGAAGGTACTCATCACAAAGAAGTTTCTGAGAATTCTTCTGTCTAGTTGTAAATGAAGAAATCACGTTTCAAAAGAAGGCCACAAAGAGGTCCAAATATCCACCTGCAGATTCTACAAAAAGAGTGTTTCAAAACTGCTCCATCAAGAGGAATGTTCAACTCTGTGCGTTGAATGCAAATATCACAAGGAAGTTTCTGAGAATACTTCTGTGTAGTTTTTATGTGAAGATATTTCCTTTCCTACTGTAGGCCTCAAAACGCTCTAAATATACACTTGCAAATTCCACAAAAAGAGTGTTTCCAAACTGCTCTCTCAAAGGAAGTTTAAACTCTGTCCGCTTAATGCAAGCATCACAAAACAGCTTTGGAGAATGAATCTGCCTAGTTTTTCTGTGAAGATATTTCTTTTTCTGCCATAGACCTCAAACCGCTGTAAAAATCCACTTGGAAATTCTACAAAAAGAGTATTTCAAAGCTCTTCTATCGAAAGGAAGTTTCAACTCCATGAGTTAAATGCACATATCACAAATAATTCTCTGAGCATTCTTCTTTCAAGTTTTATATGAAGAAATCCCGTTTCCAAAGATGGCCTCAGAAAAGTCCCAATATACACTTGCAGATTCTACAAAAAGAGTTTTTCAAAACTGCTCTACCAAAAGGAAGGTTAAACTCTGTGAGTTGAAGGCACACGTCACAAAGTAGTTTCTGAGAATCATTCTGTCTAGTTTTTCTATGAAGATATTGCCTTTTCCACCATTGGCCTCAAACGGCGCTAAATATCCACTTGGAAATTCTACAAAAAGAGAGTTACAGAACTGCTCTATCGAAAGGAAGCTTCAACGCTGCGAGTTGAAAGCACACATCACGAAGAATTTGATGAGAATTCTTCTGTCTACTTTTGTATGAAGCAGTCACGTTTCAAACGAAGGCCACAAAGAGGACCAAATATCCACTTGGAGATTCAACAAAAAGTGTTTTTCAAAACTGCTCCTTCAAGAGGAATATTCAACTCTGAGTGTTGAAGCCATGTATCACAAAGTAGTTACCGACAATGCTTCTGTCTAGATTTTATGTGAAGACATTCCCTTTTGTACCACAGGCCTGAAAGCACTCTAAATATAGAATTGCAAATTCCACAAAAAGAGTGTTGAAAACCGCTCTATCCAAAGAAAGGTTAAACTCTGTCAGCTGAATGCGCACATCACAGAGTAGCTTCAGAGAACAATTATGTCTAGTTTCTCTGTGAAGATATTTTCTCTTCTACATAGGCCTGAAACCGCTCTAAATATTCACTTGGAAACTCTAGAAAAAGAATATTTCAACACTCTTCTGTCAAAAGGAAGGTTGAACTCTGAGAGTTAAATGCACACATCACAAAGAAGTTTCTGGGAATTCTTCTGTAAAGGTTTGTATGAAGAAACCCCGTTTCCAATGAAGGCCTCAAAAAAGTCCAAATATTTACTTGCAGATACCACAAAAAGAGTGTTTCATAACTGGTCTATCAAAAGAAAGGTGAAACTCAGTGAGTTGAACCCACACATCACAAAGTAGATTCTGAGAATCATTCTGTCTAGTTTTTCTACGAAGATATTGCCTTTTCCACCATAGGCCTCAAACGGCGCTAAATATCCACCTGGAAATTCTACAGAAACTGAGTTTCAAAAGTGCTCTATTGAAAGGAAGCTTCAACTCTGTGAGTTGAAAGTACACATCACAAAGAAGTTTCTGAGAATTCTTCTGTCTAGTTGTAAATGCAGAAATCACGTTTCAAACGAAGGCCACAAAGAGGTCCAAATATCCAGCTGCAGATTCTGCAAAAAGAGGGTTTCAAATCTGCTCCATCAAGAGGAATGTTCAACTCTGTGCGTTGAATGCAAATATCACAAATAAGTTTCTGACAATACTTCCGTCTAGTTTTTATGTGAAGATATTTCCTTTCCTACTGTAGGCCTCAAAACGCTCTAAAGAGACACTTGCAAATTCCACAAAAAGAGGTTTTCAAAACTGCTCTATCAAAGGAAGTTTAAACTCTGTAAGCTGAATGCAAGCATCACAAAACAGCTTCGGAGAATGAATCTGCCTAGTTTCTCTGTGAAGATATTTCTTTTTCTGCCATAGACCTCAAACCGCTGTGAAAATCCACTTGGAAATTCTAGAAAAAGAGTATGTCAAAACTCTTCTATCGAAAGGAAGTTTCAACTCCATGAGTTAAATGCACATATCACAAATAATTTTCTGAGGATTCTTCTTTCAAGTTTTATATGAAGAAATCCCGTTTCCAAAGATGGCCTCAGAAAAGTCCCAATATACACTTGCAGATTCTACAAAAAGAGTTTTTCAAAACTGCTCTATCAAAAGAAAGGTTAAACTCTGTGAGTTGAAGGCACACATCACAAAGTAGTTTCTGAGAATCATTCTGTCTAGTTTTTCTAGGAAGATATTGCATTTTCCACCATAAGCCTCAAACGGCGCCAAATATCCACTTGGAAATTCTACAAAAAGAGAGTCACAAAACTGCTCTATCGAAAGGAAGCTTCAACGCTGCGAGTTGAAAGCACACATCACGAAGAAGTTTATGAGAATTCTTCTGTCTACTTTTGTATGAAGCAGTCACGTTTCAAACGAAGGCCACAAAGAGGTCCAAATACCCACGTGGAGATTCAACAAAAAGAGTTTTTCAAAACTGCTGCATCAAGAGGAATATTCAACTCTGAGAGTTGAAGGCAGGTATCACCAAGTCGTTTCCGACAATGCTTCTGTCTAGATTTTATGTGAAGACATTCCCTTTTGTACGACAGGCCTGAAAGCACTCTAAATATAGAATTGCAAATTCCACAAAAAGAGTGTTTAAAAGCACTCTATCCAAAGAAAGGTTAAACTCTGTCAGCTGAATGCGCACATCACAGAGTAGCTTCAGAGAACAATTATGTCTAGTTTTTCTGTGAAGATAGTTTCTCTTCTACATAGGCCTGAAACCGCTCTAAATATTCACTTGGAAATTCTACAAAAAGAATATTTCAACACTCTTCTATCAAAAGGAAGGTTGAACTCTGAGAGTTAAACGCACACATCACAGAGAAGTTTCTGAGAATTCTTCTGTCAAGGTTTATATGAAGAAAGCCCGTTTCCAATGAAGGCCTCAAAAAAGTCCAAATATTTACTTGCCGATTCCACAGAAAGAGTGTTTCATAACTGGTCTATCAAAAGAAAGGTTAAACTCAGTGAGTTGAACCCACACATCACAAAGTAGCTTCTGAGAATCATTGTGTCTAGTTCTCCTACGAAGATATTGCCTTTTCTACCATAGGCCTCAAACGGCGCTAAATATCCACCTGGAAATTCTACCAAAACTGAGCTTCAAAAGTGCTCTATTGAAAGGAAGCTTCACCTCTGTGAGTTGAAGGTACACATCACAAAGAAGTTTCTGAGAATTCTTCTGTCTAGTTGTAAATGAAGAAATCACGTTTCAAACGATGGCCAAAAAGAGGTCCAAATATCCACCTGCAGATTCTGCAAAAAGAGGGTTTCAAAACTGCTCCATCAAGAGGAATGTTCAACTCTGTGCGTTGAATGCAAATATCACAAATAAGTTTCTGACAATACTTCTGTGTAGTTTTTATGTGAAGATATTTCCTTTCCTACTGTAGGCCTCAAAACGCTCTAAAGATACACTTGCAAATTCCACAAAAAGAGTGTTTCCAAACTGCTCTATCAAAGGAAGTTTAAACTCTGTCCGCTTAATGCAAGCATCACAAAACAGCTTCGGAGAATGAATCTGCCTAGTTTTTCTGTGAAGATATTTCTTTTTCTGCCATAGACCTCAAACCGCTGTAAAAATCCACTTGGAAATTCTACAAAAAGAGTATTTCAAAGCTCTTCTATCGAAAGGAAGTTTCAGCTCCATGAGCTAAATGCACATATCAGAAATAATTTTCTGAGGATTCTTCTTTCAAGTTTTATATGAAGAAATCCCGTTTCCAAAGATGGCCTCAGAAAAGTCCCAATATACACTTGCAGATTCTACAAAAAGAGTTTTTCAAAACTGCTCTATCAAAAGGAAGGTTAAACTCTGTGAGTTGAAGGCACACATCACAGAGTTGTTTCTGAGAATCATTCTGTCTAGTTTTTCTATGAAGATATCGCCTTCTCCACCATAGGCCTCAAGCGGCGCTAAATATCCACTTGGAAATTCTACAAAAAGAGATTTACAAGACTGCTCTATCGAAAGGAAGCTTCAACTCTGCGAGTTGAAAGCACACATCACGAAGAAGTTTATGAGAATTCTTCTGTCTACTTTTGTATGAAGCAGTCACGTTTCAAACGAAGGCCACAAAGAGGTCCAAATATCCACTTGGAGATTCAACAAAAAGAGTTTTTCAAAACTGCTCCATCAAGAGGAATATTCAACTCTGAGAGTTGAAGGCAGGTATCCCAAAGTAGTTCCCGACAATGCTTCTGTCTAGATTTTATGTGAAGACATTCCCTTTTGTACCACAGGCCTGAAAGCACTCTAAATATAGAATTGCAAATTCCACAAAAAGAGTGTTGAAAACCGCTCTATCCAAAGAAAGGTTAAACTCTGTCAGCTGAATACGCACATCACACAGCAGCTTCAGAGAACAATTATGTCGAGTTTTTCTGTGAAGATAGTTTCTCTTCTACATAGGCCTGAAACCGCTCTAAATATTCACTTGGAAATTCTACAAAAAGAATATTTCAACACTCTTCTATCAAAAGGAAGGTTGAACTCTGAGAGTTAAACGCACACATCACAGAGAAGTTTCTGAGAATTCTTCTGTCAAGGTTTATATGAAGAAACCCCGTTTCCAATGAAGGCCTCCAATAAAGTCCAAATATTTACTTGCAGATTCTACAAAAACAGTGTTTCATAACGGGTCTATCAAAAGAAAGGTTAAACTCAGTGAGTTGAACCCACACATCACAAGGTAGCTTCTGAGAATCATTCTGTCTAGTTTTCCTACGAAGATATTGCCTTTTCTACCATAGGCCTCAAACGGCGCTAAATATCCACCTGGAAATTCTACAAAAACTGAGTTTCAAAAGTGCTCTATTGAAAGGAAGCTTCAACTCTGTGAGTTGAAGGTACACATCACAAAGAAGTTTCTGAGAATTCTTCTGTCTAGTTGTAAATGAAGAAATCACGTTTCCCACGAAGGCCACAAAGAGGTCCAAATATCCACTTGCAGATTCCACAAAAAGAGTGCTTCAAAACGGCTCCATCAAGAGGAATGTTCAACTCTGTACGTTGAATGCAAATATCACAAATAAGTTTCTGACAATACTTCTGTCTAGTTTTTAGGTGAAGATATTTCCTTTCCTACTGTAGGCCTCAAAACGCTCTAAATATACACTTGCAAATTCCACAAAAAGAGTGTTTCCAAACTGCTCTATCAAAGGATGTTTAAACTCTGTCAGCTGAATGCAAGCATCACAAAACAGCTTCGGAGAATGAATCTGCCTAGTTTTTCGGTGAAGATATTTCTTGTTCTGCAATAGACCTCACACCGCTGTAAAAATCCACTTGGAAATTCTACAAAAAGAGTATTTCAAAACTCTTCTATCGAAAGGAAGTTTCAACTCCATGAGTTAAATGCACATATCACAAATAATTTTCTGAGGATTCTTCCTTCAAGTTTTATATGAAGAAATCCCGTTTCCAAAGATGGCCTCAGAAAAGTCCCAATATACACTTGCAGATTCTACAAAAAGAGTTTTTCAAAACTGCTCTATCAAAACAAAGGTTAAACTCTGTGAGTTGAAGGCACACATCACAAATTAGTTTCTGAGAATCATTCTGTCTAGTTTTTGTATGAAGATATTGCCTTTTGCACCATAGGCCTCAAACGGCGCTAAATATCCACTTAGGAATTCTACAAAAAGAGAGTTACAAAACTGCTCTATCGAAAGGAAGCTGCAACTCTGCGAGTTGAAAGCACACATCGCGAAGAAGTTGATGAGAATTCTTCTGTCTACTTTTGTATGAAGCAGTCACGTTTCAAACGAAGGCCACAAAGAGGTCCAAATATCCACTTGGAGATTCAACAAAAAGAGTTTTTCAATACTGCTCCATCAAGAGGAATATTCAACTCTGAGAGTTGAAGGCAGGTATCCCAAAGTAGTTCCCGACAATGCTTCTGTCTAGATTTTATGTGAAGACATTCCCTTTTGTACCACAGGCCTGAAAGCACTCTAAATACAGAATTGCAAATTCCACAAAAAGAGGGTTTAAAACTGCTCTATGTAAAGAAAGGTTAAACTCTGTCAGCTGAATGCGCACATCACAGAGTAGCTTCAGAGAACAATTGTGTCTAGTTTTTCTGTGAAGATATTTTCTCTTCTACATAGGCCTGAAACCGCTCTAAATATTCACTTGGAAATTCTACAAAAAGAATATTTCAACACTCTGCTATCAAAAGGAAGGTTGAACTCTGAGAGTTAAATGCACACATCACAAAGAAGTTTCTGAGAATTCTTCTCTCAAGGTTTATATGAAGAGATCCCGTTTCCAATGAAGGCCTCAAAAAAGTCCAAATATTTACCTGCAGATTCTACAAAAAGAGTGTTTCATAACTGGTCTATCAAAAGAAAGGTTAAACTCCGTGAGTTGAACGCACACATCACAAAGTTGTTTCTGAGAATCATTGTGTCTAGTTCTCCTACGAAGATATTGCCTTTTCTACCATAGGCCTCAAACGGCGCTAAATATCCACCTGGAAATTCTACCAAAACTGAGCTTCAAAAGTGCTCTATTGAAAGGAAGCTTCACCTCTGTGAGTTGAAGGTACACATCACAAAGAAGTTTCTGAGAATTCTTCTGTCTAGTTGTAAATGCAGAAATCACGTTTCAAACGAAGGCCACAAAGAGGTCCAAATATCCAGCTGCAGATTCTGCAAAAAGAGGGTTTCAAATCTGCTCCATCAAGAGGAATGTTCAACTCTGTGCGTTGAATGCAAATATCACAAATAATTTTCTGACAATACTTCTGTCTAGTTTTTAGGTGAAGATATTTCCTTTCCTACTGTAGGCCTCAAAACGCTCTAAATATACACTTGCAAATTCCACAAAAAGAGTGTTTCCAAACTGCTCTATCAAAGGAAGTTTAAACTCTGTCAGCTGAATGCAAGCATCAGAAAACAGCTTCGGAGAATGAATCTGCCTAGTTTTTCTGTGAAGATATTACTTTTTCTGCCATAGACCTCAAACCGCTGTAAAAATCCACTTGGAAATTCTACAAAAAGAGTATTTCAAAACTCTTCTATCGAAAGGAAATCTCAACTCCATGAGTTAAATGCAGATATCACAAATAATTTTCTGAGGATTCTTCTTTCAAGTTTTATATGAAGAAATCCCGTTTCCAAAGATGGCCTCAGAAAAGTCCCAATATACACTTGCAGATTCTACAAAAAGCGTTTTTCAAAACTGCTCTACCAAAAGGAAGGTTAAACTCTGTGAGTTGAAGGCACACATCACAAAGTAGTTTCTGAGAATCATTCTGACTAGTTTTTCTATGAAGATATTGCCTTTTCCACCATAGGCCTCAAACGGCGCTAAATATCCACTTGGAAATTCTACAAAAAGAGAGTTACTAAACTGCTCTATCGAAAGGAAGCTTCAACGCTGCGAGTTGAAAGCACACATCACCAAGAAGTTTATGAGAATTCTTCTGTCTATTTTGTATGAAGCAGTCACGATTCAAACGAAGGCCACAAAGAGGTCCAAATATCCACTTGGAGATTCAACAAAAAGAGTTTTTCAAAACTGCTCCATCAAGAGGAATATTCAACTCTGAGAGTTGAAGGCAGGTATCCCAAAGTAGTTCCCGACAATGCTTCTGTCTAGATTTTATGTGAAGACATTCCCTTTTGTACCACAGGCCTGAAAGCACTCTAAATATAGAATTGCAAATTCCACAAAAAGAGTGTTGAAAACCGCTCTATCCAAAGAAAGGTTAAACTCTGTCAGCTGAATGCGCACATCACAGAGCAGCTTCAGAGAACAGTTATGTCTAGTTTTTCTGTGAAGATAGTTTCTCTTCCACATAGGCCTGAGACCGCTCTAAATATTCACTTGGAAATTCTACAAAAAGAATATTTCAACACTCTTCTATCAAAAGGAAGGTTGAACTCTGAGAGGTAAACGCACACATCACAGAGAAGTTTCTGAGAATTCTTCTGTCAAGGTTTATATGAGGAAACGCCGTTTCCAATGAAGGCCTCAAAAAAGTCCAAATATTTACTTGCCGATTCCACAAAAAGAGTGTTTCATAACTGGTCTATCAAAAGAAAGGTTAAACTCAGTGAGTTGAACCCACACATCACAAAGTAGCTTGCTGAGAATCATTCTGTCTAGTTTTCCTACTAAGATATGGCCTTTTCTACCATAGGCCTCAAACGGCGCTAAATATCCACCTGGAAATTCTACAAAAACTGACTTTCAAAGTGCTCTATTGAAAGGAAGCTTCAACTCTGTGAGTTGAAGGTACACATCACAAAGAAGTTTCTGAGAATTCCTCTGTCTAGTTGTAAATGAAGAAATCACGTTTCAAACGAAGGCCACAAAGAGGTCCAAATATCCACCTGCAGATTCTACAAAAAGACTTTTTCAAAACTGCTCCATCAAGAGGAATATTCAACTCTGTGAGTTGAAGGCAGGTATCACAAAGTGGTTTCCGACAATGCTTCTGTCTAGTTTTTAGGTGAAGATATTTCCTTTCTTACTGTAGGCCTCAAAGCGCTCTAAATATACACTTGCAAATTCCACAAAAAGAGTGTTTCAAAACTGCTCTATCAAAGGAAGTTTAAACTCTGTCAGCTGAATGCAAACATCACAAAACAGCTTCGGAGAATGAATCTGCCTAGTTTTTCTGTGAAGATATTTCTTTTTCTGCCATAGACCTCAAACCGCTGTAAAAATCCACTTGGAAATTCTACAAAAAGAGTATTTCAAAACTCTTCTATCGAAAGGAAGTCTCAACTCCATGAGTTAAATGCACATATCAAAAATAATTTTCTGAGGATTCTTCTTTCAAGTTTTATATGAAGAAATCCCGTTTCCAAACATGGCCTCAGAAAAGTCCCAATATACACTTGCAGATTCTACAGAAAGAGTTTTTCAAAACTGCTCTATCAACAGAAAGGTTAAACTCTGTGAGTTGAAGGCACACATCACAAAGTAGTTTCTGAGAATCATTCTGTCTAGTTTTTCTATGAAGATATTGCCTTTTCCACCATAGGCCTCAAACGGCGCTAAATATCCACTTGGAAATTCTACAAAAATAGGGTTACAAAACTGCTCTATCGAAAGGAAGCTTCAACTCTGCGAGTTGAAGCACACATCACAAAGAAGTTTATGAGAATTCTTCTGTCTACTTTTGTATGAAGCAGTCACGTTTCAAACGAAGGCCACAAAGACGTCCAAATATCCACTTGGAGATTCAACAAAAAGAGTTTTACAAAACTGCTCCATCAAGAGGAATATTCAATTCTGAGAGTTGAAGGCAGGTATCACAAAGTAGTTTCCGACAATGCTTCTATCAAGATTTTATGTGAAGACATTCCCTTTTGTACCACAGGCCTGAAAGCACTCTAAAGATAGAATAGCAAATTCCACAAAAAGAGGGTTTAAAACCGCTCTATCCAACGAAAGGTTAAACTCTGTCAGCTGAATGCGCACATCTCAGAGTAGCTTCAGAGAACAATTATGTCTAGTCTTTCTGGGAAGATATTTTCTCTTCTACATAGGCCTGAAACCGCTCTAAATATTCACTTGGAAATTCTACAAAAAGAATACTTCAACACTCTTCCATCAAAAGGAAGGTTGAACTCTGAGAGTTAAACGCACACATCACAGAGAAGTTTCTGAGAATTCTTCTGTCAAGGTTTATATGAAGAAACCCCGTTTCCAATGAAGGCCTCAAAAAAGTCCAAAGATTTACTTGCAGATTCTACAAAAAGAGTGTTTCATAAACTGGTCTATCAAAAGAAAGGTTAAACTCAGTGAGTTGAACCCACACATCACAAAGTAGCTTCTGAGAATCATTGTGTCTAGTTCTCCTACGAAGATATTGCCTTTTCTACCATAGGCCTCAAACTGCGCTAAATATCCACCTGGAAATTCTACCAAAACTGAGTTTCAAAAGTGCTCTATTGAAAGGAAGCTTCACCTCTGTGAGTTGAAGGTACACATCACAAAGAAGTTTCTGAGAATTCTTCTGTCTAGTTGTAAATGAAGAAATCACGTGTCCCACGAAGGCCACAAAGAGGTCCAAATATCCACTTGCAGATTCCACAAAAAGAGTGCTTCAAAACGGCTCCATCAAGAGGAATGTTCAACTCCGTGCGTTGAATGCAAATATCACAAATAAGTTTCTGACAATACTTCTGTCTAGATTTTAGATGAAGATATTTCCTTTCGTACTGTAGGCCTCAAAACGCTCTAAATATACACTTGCAAATTCCGCAAAAAGAGTGTTTCAAAACTGCTCTATCAAAGGAAGTTTATACTCTGTCAGCTGAATGCAAGCATCACAAAACAGCTTCGGAGAATGAATCTGCCTAGTTTTTCTGTGAAGATATTTCTTTTTCTGCCATAGACCTCAAACCGCTGTAAAAATCCACTTGGAAATTCTACAAAAAGAGTATTTCAAAGCTCTTCTATCGAAAGGAAGTTTCAGCTCCATGAGTTAAATGCACATATCACAAATAATTTTCTGAGGATTCTTCTTTGAAGTTTTATATGAAGAAATCCCGTTTCCAAAGATAGCCTCAGATAAGTCCCAATATACACTTGCAGATTCTACAGAAAGTGTTTTTCAAAACTGCTCTATCAAAAGAAAGGTTAAACTCTGTGAGTTGAAGGCACACATCACAAAGTAGTTTCTGAGAATCATTCCGTCTAGTTTTTCTAGGAAGATATTGCCTTTTCCACCATAGGCCTCAAACGGCGCTAAATATCCACTTGGAAATTCTACAAAAAGAGAGTTACAAGACTGCTCTATCGAAAGGAAGCTTCAACTCTGCGAGTTGAAAGCACGCATCACGAAGAAGTTTATGAGAATTCTTCTGTCTACTTTTGTATGAAGAAGTCACGTCTCAAATGAAGGCCACAAAGAGGTCCAAATATCCACTTGGAGATTCAACAAAAAGAGTTTTTCAAAACTGCTCCATCAAGAGGAACATTCAACTCTGAGAGTTGAAGGCAGGTATCACAAAGTAGTTTCCGACAATGCTTCTGTCTAGATTTTATGTGAAGACATTCCCTTTTGTACCACAGGCCTGAAAGCACTCTAAATATAGAATTGCAAATTCCACAAAAAGACGGTTTAAAACCGCTCTATCCAAAGAAAGGTTAAACTCTGTCAGCTGAATGCGCACATCACAGAGTAGCTTCAGAGAACAATTATGTCTAGTTTTTCCGTGAAGATAGTTTCTCTTCTACATAGGCCTGAGACCGCTCTAAATATTCACTTGGAAATTCTGCAAAAAGAATATTTCAACACTCTTCTATCAAAAGGAAGGTTGAACTCTGAGAGGTAAACACACACATCACAGAGAAGTTTCTGAGAATTCTTCTGTCAAGGTTTATATGAAGAAACCCCGTTTCCAATGAAGGCCTCAAAAAAGTCCAAATATTTACTTGCCGATTCCACAGAAAGAGTGTTTCATAACTGGTCTATCAAAAGAAAGGTTAAACTCAGTGAGTTGAACCCACACATCACAAAGTAGCTTCTGAGAATCATTCTGTCTAGTTCTCCTACGAAGATATTGCCTTTTCTACCATAGGCCTCAAACGGCGCTAAATATCCACCTGGAAATTCTACCAAAACTGAGCTTCAAAAGTGCTCTATTGAAAGGAAGCTTCACCTCTGTGAGTTGAAGGTACACATCACAAAGAAGTTTCTGAGAATTCTTCTGTCTATTTGTAAATGAAGAAATCACGTTTCAAACGAAGTCCACAAAGAGGTCCAAATATCCACCTGCAGATTCTACAAAAAGAGTGTTTCAAAACTGCTCCATCAAGAGGAATGTTCAACTCTGTGCGTTGAATGCAAATATCACAAATAAGTTTCTGACAATACTTCTGTCTAGTTTTTATGTGAAGATATTTCCTTTCCTACTGTAGGCCTCAAAACGCTCTAAATATACACTTGCAAACTCCCCAAAAAGAGTGTTTCCAAACTGCTCTATCAAAGGAAGTTTAAACTCTGTAAGCTTAATGCAAGCATCACAAAACAGCTTCGGAGAATGAATCTGCCTAGTTTTTCTGTGAAGATATTTCTTTTTCTGCCATAGACCTCAAACCGCTGTGAAAATCCACTTTGAAATTCTACAAAAAGAGTATTTGAAAACTCTTCTGTCGAAAGGAAGTTTCAACTCCATGAGTTAAATGCACATATCTCAAATAATTTTCTGAGGAATCTTCTTTCAAGTTTTATATGAAGAAATCCCGTTTCCAAACATGGCCTCAGAAAAGCCCCACTATACACTTGCAGATTCTACAGAAAGAGTTTTTCAAAACTGCTCTATCAAAAGGAAGGTTAAACTCTGTGAGTTGAAGGCACACATCACAAATTAGTTTCTGAGAATCATTCTGTCTAGTTTTTCTATGAAGATATTGCCTTTTCCACCATAGGCCTCAAGCGGCGCTAAATATCCACTTGGAAATTCTACAAAAAGAGTCTTACAAGAATGCTCTATCGAAAGGAAGCTTCAACACTGTGAGTTGCAAGCACACATCCCAAAGAAGTTTATGAGAATTCTTCTGTCTAGTTTTGTATGAAGAAGTCAGGTCTCAAACGAAGGCCACAAAGAGGTCCAAATATCCACTTGGAGATTCCACAAAAAGCGTTTTTCAAAACTGCTCCGTCAAGAGGAATATTCAACTCTGATTGTTGAAGGCAGGTATCACAAAGTAGTTTCCGACAACGCTTCTGTCTAGATTTTATGTGAAGACATTCCCTTTTGTACCACAGGCCTGAAAGCACTCTAAATATAGAATTGCAAATTCCACCATAAGAGTGTTTAAAACCGCTCTATCCAAAGAAAGGTTAAACTCTGTCAGCTGAAGGCGCCCATCACAAAGTAGCTTCAGAGAACAATTCTGTCTAGTTTTTCTGTGAAGATAGTTTCTCTTCTACATAGGCCTCAAACCGCTCTAAATATTCACTTGGAAATACTACAAAAAGAATATTTCAACACTCTTCTATCAAAAGGAAGGTTGAACTCTGAGAGTTAAACGCACACATCACAGAGAAGTTTCTGAGAATTCTTCTGTCAAGGTTTATATGAAGAAACCCCGTTTCCAATGAAGGCCTCAAAAAAGTCCAAATATTTACTTGCCGATTCCACAGAAAGAGTGTTTCATAACTGGTCTATCAAAAGAAAGGTTAAACTCAGTGAGTTGAACCCACACATCACAAAGTAGCTTCTGAGAATCATTCTGTCTAGTTCTCCTACGAAGATATTGCCTTTTCTACCATAGGCCTCAAACGGCGCAAAATATCCACCTGGAAATTCTACCAAAACTGAGTTTCAAAAGTGCTCTATTGAAAGGAAGCTTCACCTCTGTGAGTTGAAGGTACACATCACCAAGAAGTTTCTGAGAATTCTTCTGTCTAGTTGTAAATGAAGAAATCACGTTTCAAACGAAGGCCACAAAGAGGTCCAAATATCCACCTGCAGATTCTGCAAAAAGAGGGTTTGAAAACTGCTCCATCAAGAGGAATGTTCAACTCTGTGCGTTGAATGCAAATATCACAAATAAGTTTCTGACAATATTTCTGTCTAGTTTTTATGTGAAGATATTTCCTTTCCTACTGTAGGCCTCAAAAGGCTCTAAATATACACTTGCAAATTCCACAAAAAGAGTGTTTCCAAACTGCTCTATCAAAGGAAGTTTAAACTCTGTCAGCTTAATGCAAGCATCACAAAACAGCTTCGGAGAATGAATCTGCCTAGTTTTTCTGTGAAGATATTTCTTTTTCTGCCATAGACCTCAAACCGCTGTAAAAATCCACTTGGGAATACTACAAAAAGAGTATTTCAAAACTCTTCTATCGAAAGGAAGTTTCAACTCCATGAGTTAAATGCACATATCACAAATAATTTTCTGAGGATTCTTCTTTCAAGTTTTATATGAAGAAATCCCGTTTCCAAAGATGGCCTCAGAAAAGTCCCAATATACACTTGCATGTTCTACAAAAAGAGTTTTTCAAAACTGCTCTATCAAAAGGAAGGTTAAACTCTGTGAGTTGGAGGCACACATCACAGAGTAGTTTCTGAGAATCATTCTGTCTAGTTTTTCTATGAAGATATTTCCTTTTCCACCATAGGCCTCAAACGGCGCTACATATCCTCTTGGAAATTCTACAAAAAGAGAGTTACAAAACTGCTCTATCGAAAGGAACCTGCAACTCTGCGAGTTGAAAGCACACATGGCGAAGAAGTTGATGAGAATTCTTCTGTCTACTTTTGTATGAAGCAGTCACGTTTCAAACGAAGGCCACAAAGACGTCCAAATATCCACTTGGAGATTCAACAAAAAGAGTTTTACAAAACTGCTCCATCAAGAGGAATATTCAACTCTGAGAGTTGAAGGCAGGTATCACAAAGTAGTTTCCGACAATGCTTCTGTCTTGATTTTATCTGAAGACGTTCCCTTTTGTACCACAGGCCTGAAAGCACTCTAAATATAGAATTGCAAATTCCACAAAAAGAGTGTTGAAAACCGCTCTATCCAAAGAAAGGTTAAACTCTGTCAGCGGAATGCGCACATCACAGAGCAGCTTCAGAGAACAATTATGTCTAGTTTTTCTGTGAAGATAGTTTCTCTTCTACATAGGCCTGAAACCGCTCTAAATATTCACTTGGAAATTCTACAAAAAGAATATTTCAACACTCTTCTATCAAAAGGAAGGTTGAACTCTGAGAGTTAAACACACACATCACAGAGAAGTTTCTGAGAATTCTTCTGTCAAGGTTTATATGAAGAAACCCCGTTTCCAATGAAGGCCTCAAAAAAGTCCAAATATTTACTTGCCGATTCCACAGAAAGAGTGTTTCATAACTGGTCTATCAAAAGAAAGGTTAAACTCAGTGAGTTGAACCCACGCATCCCAAAGTAGCTTCTGAGAATCATTCTGTCTAGTTCTCCTACGAAGATATTGCCTTTTCTACCATAGGCCTCAAACGGCGCTAAATATCCACCTGGAAATTCTACCAAAACTGAGTTTCAAAAGTGCTCTATTGAAAGGAAGCTTCACCTCTGTGGGTTGAAGGTACACATCACAAAGAAGTTTCTGAGTATTCTTCTGTCTAGTTGTAAATGCAGAAATCACGTTTCAAACGAAGGCCACAAAGAGGTCCAAATATCCAGCTGCAGATTCTGCAAAAAGAGGGTTTCAAATCTGCTCCATCAAGAGGAATGTTCAACTCTGTGCGTTGAATGCAAATATCACAAATAAGTTTCTGACAATACTTCTGTCTAGCTTTTATGTGAAGATATTTCCTTTCCTACTGTAGGCCTCAAAACGCTCTAAATATACACTTGCAAATTCCACAAAAAGAGTGTTTCCAAACTGCTCTATCAAAGGAAGTTTAAACTCTGTCAGCTTAATGCAAGCATCACAAAACAGCTTCGGAGAATGAATCTGCCTAGTTTTTCTGTGGAGATATTCCTTTTTCTGCCATAGACCTCAAACCGCTGTAAAAATCCAATTGGAAATTCTACAAAAAGAGTATTTCAAAACTCTTCTATCGAAAGGAAGTTTCAACTCCATGAGTTAAACGCACATATCACAAATAATTTTCTGAGGATTCTTCTTTCAAATTTTATATGAAGAAATCCCGTTTCCAAAGATGGCCTCAGAAAAGTCCCAATATACACTGGCAGATTCTACAAAAAGAGTTTTTCAAAACTGCTCTATCAAAAGGAAGGTTAAACTCTGTGAGTTGAAGGCACACATCACAGAGTAGTTTCTGAGAATCATTCTGTCTAGTTTTTCTATGAAGATATCACCTTCTCCACCATAGGCCTCAAACGGCGCTAAATATCCACTTGGAAATTCTACAAAAAGAGAGTTACAAGACTGCTCTATCGAAAGGAAGCTTCAACTCTGCGAGTGGAAAGCACACATCACGAAGAAGTTTATGAGAATTCTTCTGTCTAGTTTTGTATGAAGAAGTCACGTCTCAAACGAAGGCCACAAAGAGGTCCAAATATCCACTTGGAGATTCAACAAAAAGAGTTTTTCAAAACTGCTCCGTCAAGAGGAATATTCAACTCTGAGAGTTGAGGGCAGGTATCACAAAGTAGTTTCCGACAACGCTTCTGTCTAGATTTTATGTGAAGACATTCCCTTTTGTACCACAGGCCTGAAAGCACTCTAAGTATACAATTGCAAATTCCAAAAAAAAGAGTGTTTAAAACCGCTCTATCCAAAGAAAGGTTAAACTCTGTCAGCTGAATGCGCACATCACAGAGCAGCTTCAGAGAACAATTATGTCTAGTTTTTCTGTGAAGATATTTTCTCTTCTACTTAGGCCTGAAACCGCTCTAAATATTCACTTGGAAATTCTACAAAAAGAATATTTCAACCCTCTTCTATCAAAAGGAAGGTTGAACTCTGAGAGTTAAATGCACACATCACAGAGAAGTTTCTGGGAATTTTTCTGTCAAGGTTTCTATGAAGAAATCCCGTTTCCAATGAAGGCCTCAAAAAAGTCCAAATATTTACTTGCAGATTCTTCAAAAAGAGTGTTTCATAACTGGTCTATCAAAAGAAAGGTTAAACTCAGTGAGTTGAACCCACACATCACAATTTAGTTTCTGAGAATCATTCTGTCTAGTTTTTCTACGAAGATATTGCCTTTTCCACCATAGGCCTCAAACGGCGCTAAATATCCACCTGGAAATTCTACAGAAACTGAGTTTCAAAAGTGCTCTAATGAAAGGAAGCTTCAACTCTGTGAGTTGAAAGTACACATCACAAAGAAGTTTCTGAGAATTCTTCTGTCTAGTTGTAAATGAAGAAATCACGTTTCAAACGAAGGCCACAAAGAGGTCCAAATATCCACCTGCAGATTCTGCAAAAAGAGTGTTTCAAAACTGCTCCATCAAGAGGAATGTTCAACTCTGTGTGTTGAATGCAAATATCACAAGTAAGTTTCTGACAATACTTCTGTGTAGTTTTTATGTGAAGATATTTCCTTTCCTACTGTAGGCCTCAAAACGCTCTAAATATACACTTGCAAATTCCACAAAAAGAGTGTTTCCAAACTGCTCTATCAAAGGAAGTTTAAACTCTGTCCGCTTAATGCAAGCATCACAAAACAGCTTCGGAGAATGAATCTGCCTAGTTTTTCTGTGAAGATATTACTTTTTCTGCCATAGACCTCAAACCGCTGTAAAAATCCACTTGGAAATTCTACAAAAAGAGTATTTCAAAGCTCTTCTATCGAAAGGAAGTTTCAGCTCCATGAGTTAAATGCACATATCACAAATAATTTTCTGAGGATTCTTCTTTCAAGTTTTATATGAAGAAATCCCGTTTCCAAAGATAGCCTCAGAAAAGTCCCAATATACACTTGCAGATTCTACAAAAAGAGTTTTTCAAAACTGCTCTATCAAAAGAAAGGTTAAACTCTGTGAGTTGAAGGCACACATCACAAAGTAGTTTCTGAGAATCATTCGGTCTAGTTTTTCTATGAAGATATTGCCTTTTCCACCATGGGCCTCAAAAGGCGCTAAATATCCACCGGGAAATTTTACAAAAAGAGAGTTAGAAAACTGCTCTATCGAAAGGAAGCTTCAACGCTGCCAGTTGAAAGCACACATCACGAAGAAGTTTATGAGAATTCTTCTGTCCAGTTTTGTATGAAGCAGTCGCGTTTCAAACGAAGGCCACAAAGAGGTCCAAATATCCACTTAGAGATTCAACAAAAAGAGTTTTTCAAAACTGCTCCATCAAGAGGAATATTCAACTCTGAGAGTTGAAGGCAGGTTTCACAAAATAGTTTCCGACAATGCTTCTGTCTAGATTTTATGTGAAGACATTCCCTTTTGTACCACAGGCCTGAAAGCACTCTAAATACAGAATTGCAAATTCCACAAAAAGAGGGTTTAAAACCGCTCTATCCTAAGAAAGGTTAAATTCTGTCAGCTGAATGCGCACATCACAGAGTAGCTTCAGAGAACAATTATGTCTAGTTTTTCCGTGAAGATAGTTTCTCTTCCACATAGGCCTGAGACCGCTCTAAATATTCAATTGGAAATTCTGCAAAAAGAATATTTCAACACTCTTCTATCAAAAGGAAGGTTGAACTCTGAGAGTTAAACGCACACATCACAGAGAAGTTTCTGAGAATTCTTCTGTCAAGGTTTCTATGAAGAAATCCCGTTTCCAATGAAGGCCTCAAAAAAGTCCAAATATTTACTTGCAGATTCTACAAAAAGAGTGTTTCGTAACTGGTCTATCAAAAGAAAGGTTAAACTCAGTGAGGTGAACCAACACGTCACAAAGTAGTTTCTGAGAATCGTTCTGTCTAGTTTTTCTACGAAGATATTGCCTTTTCCACCATAGGCCTCAAACGGCGCTAAATATCCACCTGGAAATTCTACAGAAACTGAGTTTCAAAAGTGCTCTATTGAAAGGAAGCTTCAACTCTGTGAGTTGAAAGTACACATCACAAAGAAGTTTCTGAGAATTCTTCTGTCTAGTTGTAAATGAAGAAATCACGTTTCCCACGAAGGCCACAAAGAGGTCCAAATACCCACTTGCAGATTCCACAAAAAGAGTGCCTCAAAACGGCTCCATCAAGAGGAATGTTCAACTCCGTCCGTTGAATGCAAATATCACAAATAAGTTTCTGACAATACTTCTGTCTAGTTTTTATGTGAAGATATTTCCTTTCCTACTGTAGGCCTCAAAACGCTCTAAATATACACTTGCAAATTCCACATAAAGAGTGTTTCCAAACTGCTCTAGCAAAGGAAGTTTAAACTCTGTCAGCTTAATGCAAGCATCACAAAACAGCTTCGGAGAATGAATCTGCCTAGTTTTTCTGTGAAGATATTCCTTTTTCCGCCATAGACCTCAAACCGCTGTAAAAATCCACTTGGAAATACTACAAAAAGAGTATTTCAAAACGCTTCTATCGAAAGGAAGTTTCAACTCCATGAGTTAAATGCACATATCTCAAATAATTTTCTGAGGATTCTTCCTTCAAGTTTTATACGAAGAAATCCCGTTTCCAAAGATGGCCTCAGAAAAGTCCCAATATACACTTGCAGATTCTACAAAAAGAGTTTTTCAAAACTGCTCTATCAAAAGAAAGGTTAAACTCTGTGAGTTGAAGGCACACATCACAATGTAGTTTCTGAGAATCATTCTGTCTAGTTTTTCTAGGAAGATATTGCCTTTTCCACCATAAGCCTCAAACTGCGCCAAATATCCACATGGAAATTCTACAAAAAGAGAGTCACAAAAGTGCTCTATCGAAAGGAAGCTTCAACGCTGCGAGTTGAAAGCACACATCACGAAGAAGTTTATGAGAATTCTTCTGTCTACTTTTGTATGAAGCAGTCACGTTTCAAACGAAGGCCACAAAGAGGTCCAAATACCCACGTGGAGATTCAACAAAAAGAGTTTTTCAAAACTGCTCCATCAAGAGGAATATTCAACTCTGAGAGTTGAAGGCAGGTATCACCAAGTCGTTTCCGACAATGCTTCTGTCTAGATTTTATGTGAGGACATTCCCTTTTGTACCACAGGCCTGAAAGCACTCTAAATATAGAATTGCAAATTCCACAAAAAGAGTGTTTAAAACCGCTCGACCCAAAGAAAGGTTAAACTCTGTAAGCTGAATGCGCACATCACAAAGTAGCTTCAGAGAACAATTATGTCTAGTTTTTCTGTGACGATATTTTCTCTTCTACTTAGGCCTGAATCCGCTCTAAATATTCACTTGGAAATTCTACAGAAAGAATACTTCAACACTCTTCTATCAAAATGAAGGTTGAACTCTGAGAGTTAAATGCACACATCACAGAGAAGTTTCTGGGAATTCTTCTGTCAAGGTTTATATGAAGAGATCCCGTTTCCAATGAAGGCCTCAAAAAAGTCCAAATATTTACTTGCAGATTCTACAAAAAGAGTGTTTCATAACTGGTCTATCAAAAGAAAGGTTAAACTCCGTGAGTTGAACGCACACATCACAAAGTTGTTTCTGAGAATCATTCTGTCTAGTTTTTCTACGAAGATATTGCCTTTTCCACCATAGGCCTCAAACGGCGCTAAATATCCACCTGGAAATTCTACAGAAACTGAGTTTCAAAAGTGCTCTATTGAAAGGAAGCTTCAACTCTGTAAGTTGAAAGTACACATCACAAAGAAGTTTCTGAGAATTCTTCTGTCTAGTTGTAAATGAAGAAAGCAAGTTTCACACGAAGGCCACAAAGAGGTCCAAATATCCACTTGCAGATTCCACATAAAGAGTGCTTCAAAACGGCTCCATCAAGAGGAATGTTCAACTCCGTGCGTTGAATGCAAATATCACAAATAAGTTTCTGACAATACTTCTGTCTAGTTTTTAGGTGAAGATATTTCCTTTCCTACTGTAGGCCTCAAAACGCTCTAAAGAGACACTTGCAAATTCCACAAAAAGAGTGTTTCAAAACTGCTCTATCAAAGGAAGTTTAAACTCCGTCAGCTGAATGCAAGCATCACAAAACAGCTTCGGAGAATGAATCTGCCTAGTTTTTCTGTGAAGATATTTCTTTTTCTGCCATAGACTTCAAACCGCTGTAAAAATCCACTTGGAAATTCTGCAAAAAGAGTATTTCAAAACTCTTCTATCGAAAGGAAGTCTCAACTCCATGAGTTAAATGCACATATCACAAATAATTTTCTGAGGATTCTTCTTTCAAGTTTTATAGGAAGAAATCCCGTTTCCAAAGATGGCCTCAGAAAAGTCCCAATATACACTTGCAGATTCTACAAAAAGTGTTTTTTAAAACTGCTCTATCAAAAGAAAGGTTAAACTCTGTGAGTTGAAGGCACACATCACAAAGTAGTTTCTGAGAATCATTCTGTCTAGTTTTTCTATGAAGATATTGCCTTTTCCACCATAGGCCTCAAACGGCGCTAAATATCCACTTGGAAATTCTACAAAAAGAGAGTTACTAAACTGCTCTATCGAAAGGAAGCTTCAACGCTGCGAGTTGAAAGCACACATCACGAAGAAGTTTATGAGAATTCTTCTGTCTACTTTTGTATGAAGCAGTCACGTTTCAAACGAAGGCCACAAAGAGGTCCAAATATCCACTTGGAGATTCAACAAAAAGAGTTTTTCAAAACTGCTCCGTCAAGACGAATATTCAAATCTGAGAGTTGAAGGCAGGTATCACAAAGTAGTTCCCGACAATGCGTCTGTCTAGATTTTATGTGAAGGCATTCCCTTTTGTACCACAGGCCTGAAAGCACTCTAAATATAGAATTGCAAATTCCACAGAAAGAGTGCTTAAAACCGCTCTATCCAAAGAAAGGTTAAACTCTGTCCGCTGAAGGCGCACCTCACAAAGTAGCTTCAGAGAACAATTATGTCTAGTTCTTCTGTGAAGATAGTTTCTCTTCTACATAGGCCTGAAACCGCTCTAAATATTCACTTGGAAATTCTACAGAAAGAATACTTCAACACTCTTCTATCAAAAGGAAGGTTGAACTCTGAGAGTTAAATGCACACACCACAGAGAAGTTTCTGGGAATTCTTCTGTCAAGGTTTATATGAAGAAATCCCGTTTCCAATGAAGGCCTCAAAAAAGTCCAAATATTTACTTGCAGATTCTACAAAAAGAGTGTTTCATAACTGGTCTATCAAAAGAAAGGTTTAACTCCGTGAGTTGAACGCACACATCACAAAGTTGTTTCTGAGAATCATTCTGTCTAGTTTTTCTACGAAGATATTGCCTTTTCCACCATAGGCCTCAAACGGCGCTAAATATCCACCTGGAAATTCTACAGAAACTGAGTTTCAAAAGTGCCCTATTGAAAGGAAGCTTCACCTCTGTGAGTTGAAAGTACACATCACAAAGAAGTTTCTGAGAATTCTTCTGTCTAGTTGTAAATGAAGAAATCACGTTTCCCACGAAGGCCACAAAGAGGTCCAAATATCCACTTGCAGATTCCACAAAAAGAGTGCTTCAAAACGGATCCATCAAGAGGAATGTTCAACTCCGTGCGTTGAATGCAAATATCACAAATAAGTTTCTGACAATACTTCTGTCTAGTTTTTATGTGAAGATATTTCCTTTCCTACTGTAGGCCTCAAAACGCTCTAAAGAGACACTTGCAAATTCCACAAAAAGAGGGTTTCAAAACTGCTCTATGAAAGGAAGTTTAAACTCTGTAAGCTGAATGCAAGCATCACAAAACAGCTTCGGAGAATGAATCTGCATAGTTTTTCTGTGAAGATATTTCTTTTTCTGCCATAGACCTCAAACCGCAGTGAAAATCCACTTGGAAATTCTACAAAAAGAGTATTTAAAAACTCTTCTGTCGAAAGGAAGTTTCAACTCCATGAGTTAAATGCACATATCACAAATAATTTTCTGAGGATTCTTCTTTCAAGTTTTATATGAAGAAATCCCTTTTCCAAAGATGGCCTCAGAAAAGTCCCAATATACACTTGCAGATTCTACAAAAAGAGTTTTTCAAAACTGCTCTACCAAAAGGAAGGTTAAACTCTGTGAGTTGAAGGCACACATCACAAAGTAGTTTCTGAGAATCATTCTGTCTAGTTTTTCTATGAAGATATTGCCTTTTCCACCATAGGCCTCAAACGGCGCTAAATATCCACTTGGAAATTCTACAAAAAGAGAGTTACTAAACTGCTCTATCGAAAGGAAGCTTCAACGCTGCGAGTTGAAAGCACACATCACGAAGAAGTTTATGAGAATTCTTCTGTCTACTTTTGTATGAAGCAGTCACGTTTCAAACGAAGGCCACAAAGAGGACCAAATATCCACTTGGAGATTCAACAAAAAGAGTTTTTCAAAAGTGCTCCTTCAAGAGGAATATTCAACTCTGAGAGTTGAAGGCAGGTATCACAAAGTAGTTCCCGACAATGCTTCTGTCTAGATTTTATGTGAAGACATTCCCTTTTGTACCACATGCCTGAAAGCCCTCTATATATAGAATTGCAAATTCCACAAAATATTGTTGAAAACCGCTCTATCCAAAGAAAGGTTAAAATCTGTCAGCTGAATGCGCACATCACAGAGCAGCTTCAGAGAACAGTTATGTCTAGTTTTTCTGTGAAGATAGTTTCTCTTCTACATAGGCCTGTAACCGCTCTAAATATTCACTTGGAAATTCTACAAAAAGAATATTTCAACACTCTTCTATCAAAAGGAAGGTTGAACTCTGAGAGTTAAACGCACACATCACAGAGAAGTTTCTGAGAATTCTTCTGTCAAGGTTTATATGAAGAAATCCCGTTTCCAATGAAGGCCTCAAAAAAGTCCAAATATTTACTTGCAGATTCTACAAAAAGAGTGTTTCATAACTGGTCTATCAAAAGAAAGGTTAAACACCGTGAGTTGAACGCACACATCACAAAGTTGTTTCTGAGAATCATTCTGTCTAGTTCTCCTACGAAGATATTGCCTTTTCTACCATAGGCCTCAAACGGCGCAAAATATCCACCTGGAAATTCTACCAAAACTGAGTTTCAAAAGTGCTCTATTGAAAGGAAGCTTCACCTCTGTGAGTTGAAGGTACACATCACAAAGAAGTTTCTGAGAATTCTTCTGTCTAGTTGTAAATGAAGAAATCACGTTTCAAATGAAGGCCACAAAGAGGTCCAAATATCCACCTGCAGATTCTGCAAAAAGAGGGTTTCAAAACTGCTCCATCAAGAGGAATGTTCAACTCTGTGCGTTGAATGCAAATATCACAAAGAAGTTTCTGACAATACTTCTGTCTAGTTTTTATG
Organism: Homo sapiens; assembly: GCF_000001405.40. NCBI lineage: Eukaryota > Metazoa > Chordata > Mammalia > Primates > Hominidae > Homo > Homo sapiens. Next base: position 90,939,801 of record NC_000003.12, on the reverse strand, counting down.
TGAAGATATTTCCTTTCCTACTGTAGGCCTCAAAACGCTCTAAATAAACACTTGCAAACTCCACAAAAAGAGTGTTTCCAAACTGCTCTATCAAAGGAAGTTTAAACTCTGTCAGCTGAATGCAAGCATCACAAAACAGCTTCGGAGAATGAATCTGCCTAGTTTTTCTGTGAAGATATTTCTTTTTCTGCCATAGACCTCAAACCGCTGTAAAAATCCACTTGGAAATTCTACAAAAAGAGGATGTCAAAACTCTTCTATCGAAAGGAAGTTTCAACTCCATGAGTTAAATGCACATATCACAAATAATTTTCTGAGGATTCTTCTTTCAAGTTTTATATGAAGAAATCCCGTTTCCAAACATGGCCTCAGAAAAGTCCCACTATACACTGGCAGATTCTACAGAGAGAGTTTTTCAAAACTGCTCTATCAAAAGAAAGGTTAAACTCTGTGAGTTGAAGGCACACATCACCAAGTAGTTTCTGAGAATCATTCTGTCTAGTTTTTCTATGAAGATATTGCCTTTTCCACCATAGGCCTCAAACGGCGCTAAATATCCACTTGGAAATTCTACAAAAAGAGGGTTACAAAACTGCTCTATTGAAAGGAAGCTTCAACTCTGCGAGTTGAAAGCACACATCACGAAGAAGTTTATGAGAATTCTTCTGTCTAGTTTTCTATGAAGAAGTCACGTTTCAAACGAAGGCCACAGAGAGGTCCAAATATCCACTTGGAGATTCAACAAAAAGAGTTTTTCAAAACTGCTCCATCAAGAAGAATATTCAACTCTGAGAGTTGAAGGCAGGTATCACAAAGTAGTTTCCGACAATGCTTCTGTCTGGATTTTATGTGAAGACATTCCCTTTTGTACCACAGGCCTGAAAGCATTCTAAATATAGAATTGCAAATTCCACAAAAAGAGTGTTTAAAACCGCTCTATCCAAAGAAAGGTTAAACTCTGTCAGCTGAATGCGCACATCACAGAGTAGCTTCAGAGAACAATTATGTCTAGTTTTTCCGTGAAGATAGTTTCTCTTCCACATAGGCCTGAGACCGCTCTAAATATTCACTTGGAAATTCTGCAAAAAGAATATTTCAACACTCTTCTATCAAAAGGAAGGTTGAACTCTGAGAGTTAAACGCACACATCACAGAGAAGTTTCTGAGAATTCTTCTGTCAAGGTTTATATGAAGAAACCCCGTTTCCAATGAAGGCCTCAAAAAAGTCCAAATATTTACTTGCAGATTCCACAAAAAGAGTGTTTCATAACTGGTCTATCAAAAGAAAGGTTAAACTCAGTGAGTTGAACCCACACATCACAAAGTAGCTTCTGAGAATCATTCTGTCTAGTTCTCCTACGAAGATATTGCCTTTTCTACCATAGGCCTCAAACGGCGCTAAATATCCACCTTTAAATTCTACCAAAACTGAGCTTCAAAAGTGCTCTATTGAAAGGAAGCTTCACTTCTGTGAGTTGAAGGTACTCATCACAAAGAAGTTTCTGAGAATTCTTCTGTCTAGTTGTAAATGAAGAAATCACGTTTCAAACGAAGGCCACAAAGAGGTCCAAATATCCACCTGCAGATTCTACAAAAAGAGTGTTTCAAAACTGCTCCATCAAGAGGAATGTTCAACTCTGTGCGTTGAATGCAAATATCACAAATAAGTTTCTGACAATACCTCTGTCTAGTTTTTAGGTGAAGATGTTTCCTTTCCTACTGTAGGCCTCAAAACGCTCTAAATATACACTTGCAAATTCCACAAAAAGAGTGTTTCCAAACTGCTCTATCAAAGGAAATTTAAACTCTGTCAGCTGAATGCAAGCATCACAAAACAGCTTCGGAGAATGAATCTGCCTAGTTTTTCTGTGAAGATATTTCTTTTTCTGCCATAGACCTCAAACCGCTGTGAAAATCCACTTGGAAATCCTACAAAAAGAGTATGTCAAAACTCTTCTAGCGAAAGGAAGTTTCAACTCCATGAGTTAAATGCACATACCACAAATAATTTTCTGAGGATTCTTCTTTCAAGTTTTATATGAAGAAATCCCGTTTCCAAAGATGGCCTCAGAAAAGTCCCAATATACACTTGCAGATTCTACAAAAAGAGTTTTTCAAAACTGCTCTATCAAAAGAAAGGTTAAACTCTGTGAGTTGAAGGCACACATCACAAAGTAGTTTCTGAGAATCATTCTGTCTAGTTTTTCTATGAAGATATTGCCTTTTCCACCATTGGCCGCAAACGGCGCTAAATATCCACTTGGAAATTCTACAAAAAGAGAGTTACAGAACTGCTCTATCGAAAGGAAGCTTCAACGCTGCGAGTTGAAAGCACACATCACGAAGAAGTTGATGAGAATTCTTCTGTCTACTTTTGTATGAAGCAGTCACGTTTCAAACGAAGGCCACAAAGAGGTCCAAATATCCACTTGGAGATTCAACAAAAGGAGTTTTTCAAAACTGCTCCATCAAGAGGAATATTCAACTCTGAGAGTTGAAGGCAGGTATCACAAAGTAGTTCCCGACAATGCTTCTGTCTAGATTTTATGTGAAGACATTCCCTTTTGTACCACAGGCCTGAAAGCACTCTAAATATAGAATTGCAAATTCCACAAAAAGAGTGTTTAAAACCGCTCTATCCAAAGAAAGGTTAAACTCTGTCAGCTGAAGGCGCCCATCACAAAGTAGCTTCAGAGAACAATTATGTCTAGTTTCTCTGTGAAGATATTTTCTCTTCTACATAGGCTTGAAACCGCTCTAAATATTCACTTGGAAATTCTACAAAAAGAATATTTCAACACTCTTCTATCAAAAGGAAGGTTGAACTCTGAGAGTTAAATGCACACATCACAAAGAAGTTTCTGGGGATTCTTCTGTCAAGGTTTATATGAAGAAATCCCGTTTCCAATGAAGGCCTCAAAAAAGTCCAAATATTTACTTGCAGATTCTACAAAAAGAGTGTTTCATAACTGGTCTATCAAAAGAAAGGTTAAACTCAGTGAGTTGAACCCACACATCACAAAGTAGTTTCTGAGAATCATTCTGTCTAGTTTTTCTACGAAGATATTGCCTTTTCCACCATAGGCCTCAAACGGCGCTAAATATCCACCTGGAAATTCTACAGAAACTGAGTTTCAAAAGTGCTCTATTGAAAGGAAGCTTCAACTCTGTGAGTTGAAAGTACACAACAAAAAGAAGTTTCTGAGAATTCTTCTGTCTAGTTGTAAATGAAGAAATCACGTTTCACACGAAGGCCACAAAGAGGTCCAAATATCCACTTGCAGATTCCACAAAAAGAGTGCTTCAAAACGGCTCCATCAAGAGGAATGTTCAACACCGTGCGTTGAATGCAAATATCACAAATAAGTTTCTGACAATACTTCTGTCTAGTTTTTAGGTGAAGATATTTCCTTTCCTACTGTAGGCCTCAAAACGCTCTAAATATACACTTGCAAATTCCACAAAAAGAGTGTTTCCAAACTGCTCTATCAAAGGAAGTTTAAACTCTGTCAGCTGAATGCAAGCATCACAAAACAGCTTCGGAGAATGAATCTGCCTAGTTTTTCTGTGAAGATATTCCTTTTTCTGCCATAGACCTCAAACCGCTGTAAAAATCCACTTGGAAATTCTACAAAAAGAGTATTTCAAAACTTCTATCGAAAGGAAGTTTTACCTCCATGAGTTAAACGCACATATCACAAATAATTTTCTGAGGATTCTTCTTTCAAGTTTTATATGAAGAAATCCGGTTTCCAAAGATGGCCTCAGAAAAGTCCCAATATACACTTGCAGATTCTACAAAAAGAGTTTTTCAAAACTGCTCTATCAAAAGAAAGGTTAAACTCCGTGAGTTGAAGGCACACATCACAAAGTAGTTTCTGAGAATCATTCCGTCTAGTTTTTCTATGAAGATATCGCCTTCTCCACCATAGGCCTCAAACGGCGCTAAATATCCACTTGGAAATTCTACAAAAAGAGACTTACAAGACTGCTCTATCGAAAGGAAGCTTCAACTCTGCGAGTGGAAAGCACACATCACGAAGAAGTTTATGAGAATTCTTCTGTCTACTTTTGTATGAAGCGGTCACGTTTCAAACGAAGGCCACAAAGAGGTCCAAATATCCACTTGGAGATTCAACAAAAAGAGTTTTTCAAAACTGCTCCATCAAGAGGAATATTCAACTCTGAGAGTTGAAGGCAGGTATCCCAAAGTAGTTCCCGACAATGCTTCTGTCTAGATTTTATGTGAAGACATTCCCTTTTGTACCACAGGCCTGAAAGCACTCTAAATATAGAATTGCAAATTCCACAAAAAGAGTGTTTAAAACCGCTCTATCCAAAGTAAAGGTTAAACTCTGTCAGCTGAAGGCGCCCATCACAAAGTAGCTTCAGAGAACAATTATGTCTAGTTTTTCTGTGAAGATAGTTTCTCTTCTACATAGGACTGAAACCGCTCTAAATATTCACTTGGAAATTCTACAAAAAGAATATTTCAACACTCTTCTATCAAAAGGAAGGTTGAACTCTGAGAGTTAAACGCACACATCACAGAGAAGTTTCTGAGAATTCTTCTGTCAAGGTTTATATGAAGAAACCGCGTTTCCAATGAAGGCCTCCAAAAAGTCCAAATATTTACTTGCCGATTCCACAAAAAGAGTGTTTCATAACTGGTCTATCAAAAGAAAGGTTAAACTCAGTGAGTTGAACCCACACATCACAAAGTAGCTTCTGGGAATCATTCTGTCTAGTTTTTCTACGAAGATATTGCCTTTTCCACCATAGGCCTCAAACGGCGCTAAATATCCACCTGGAAATTCTACAGAAACTGAGTTTCAAAAGTGCTCTATTGAAAGGAAGCTTCAACTCTGTGAGTTGAAAGTACACATCACAAAGAAGTTTCTGAGAATTCTTCTGTCTAGTTGTAAATGAAGAAATCACGTTTCCCACGAAGGCCACAAAGAGGTCCAAATATCCACTTGCAGAATCCACAAAAAGAGTGCTTCAAAACGGCTCCATCAAGAGGAATGTTCAACTCCGTGCGTTGAATGCAAATATCACAAATAAGTTTCTGACAATACTTCTGTCTAGTTTTTAGGTGAAGATATTTCCTTTCCTACTGTAGGCCTCAAAACGCTCTAAATATACACTTGCAAATTCCACAAAAAGAGTGTTTCCAAACTGCTCTCTCAAAGGAAGTTTAAACTCTGTCAGCTGAATGCGAGCATCACAAAACAGCTTCGGAGAATGAATCTGCCTAGTTTTTCTGTGAAGATATTTCTTTTGCTGCCATAGACCTCAAAACGCTGTAAAAATCCACTTGGAAATTCTACAAAAAGAGTATTTCAAAACTCTTCTATCGAAAGGAAGTTTCAACTCCATGAGTTAAATGCACATATCACAAATAATTTTCTGAGGATTCTTCTTTCAAGTTTTATATGAAGAAATCCCGTTTCCAAAGATGGCCTCAGAAAAGTCCCAATATACACTTGCAGATTCTACAAAAAGAGTTTTTCAAAACTGCTCTACCAAAAGGAAGGTTAAACTCTGTGAGTTGAAGGCACACATCACAAAGCAGTTTCTGAGAATCATTCTGTCTAGTTTTTCTACGAAGATATTGCCTTTTCTACCATAGGCCTCGAACGGCGCTAAATATCCACTTGGAAATACTACAAAAAGAGAGTTTCAAAACTCCTCTATCGAAAGGAAGCTGCAAATCTGCGAGTTGAAAGCACACATCGCAAAGAAGTTGATGAGAATTCTTCTGTCTAGTTTTGTATGAAGAAGTCACGTTTCAAACGAAGGCCACAAAGAGGTCCAAATATCCACTTGGAGATTCAACAAAAAGAGTTTTTCAAAACTGCTCCATCAAGAGGAATATTCAACTCTGAGAGTTGAAGGCAGGTATCCCAAAGTAGTTCCCGACAATGCTTCTGTCTAGATTTTATGTGAAGACATTCCCTTTTGTACCACAGGCCAGAAAGCACTCTAAAAATAGAATTGCAAATTCCACAAAAAGAGTGTTTAAAACCGCTCTATCCAAAGAAAGGTTAAACTCTGTCAGCTGAATGCGCACATCACAAAGTAGCTTCAGAGAACAATTATGTCTAGTTTCTCTGTGAAGATATTTTCTCTTCTACATAGGCTTGAAACCGCTCTAAATATTCACTTGGAAATTCTACAAAAAGAATATTTCAACACTCTTCTATCAAAAGGAAGGTTGAACTCTGAGAGTTAAATGCACACATCACAAAGAAGTTTCTGGGGATTCTTCTGTCAAGCTTTATATGAAGAGATCCCGTTTCCAATGAAGGCCTCAAAAAAGTCCAAATATTTACTTGCAGATTCTACAAAAAGAGTGTTTCATAACTGGTCTATCAAAAGAAAGGTTAAACTCCGTGAGTTGAACGCACACATCACAAAGTTGTTTCTGAGAATCATTCTGTCTAGTTCTCCTACGAAGATATTGCCTTTTCTAGCATAGGCCTCAAACGGCGCTAAATATCCACCTGGAAATTCTACCGAAACTGAGTTTCAAAAGTGCTCTATTGAAAGGAAGCTTCACCTCTGTGAGTTGAAGGTACACATCACAAAGAAGTTTCTGAGAATTCTTCTGTCAAGTTGTAAATGAAGAAATCACGTTTCAAACGAAGGCCACAAAGAGGTCCAAATATCCACCTGCAGATTCTGCAAAAAGAGGGTTTCAAAACTGCTCCATCAAGAGGAATGTTCAACTCTGTGCGTTGAATGCAAATATCACAAAGTAGTTTCTGACAATACTTCTGTGTAGTTTTTATGTGAAGATATTTCCTTTCCTACTGTAGGCCTCAAAATGCTCTAAATATACACTTGCAAATTCTACAAAAAGAGTGTTTCCAAACTGCTCTATCAAAGGAAGTTTAAACTCTGTCCGCTTAATGCAAGCATCACAAAACAGCTTTGGAGAATGAATCTGCCTAGTTTTTCTGTGAAGATATTTCTTTTGCTGCCATAGACCTCAAACTGCTGTAAAAATCCACTTGGGAATTCTACAGAAAGAGTATTTCAAAACTCTTCTATCGAAAGGAAGTTTCAACTCCATGAGTTAAATGCACATATCACAAATAATTTTCTGAGGATTCTTCTTTGAAGTTTTATATGAAGAAATCCCGTTTCCAAAGATGGCCTCAGAAAAGTCCCAATATACCCTTGCAGATTCTACAAAAAGAGTTTTTCAAAACTGCTCTATCCAAAGAAAGGTTAAACTCTGTGAGTTGAAGGCACACATCACAAAGTAGTTTCTGAGAATCATTCTGTCTAGTTTTTCTATGAAGATATTGCCTTTTCCACCATAGGCCTCAAACGGCGCTAAATATCCACTTGGAAATTCTACAAAAAGAGAGTTACAAAACTGCTCTATCGAAAGGAAGATGCAACTCTGCGAGTTGAAAGCACACATCGCGAAGAAGTTGATGAGAATTCTTCTGTCTACTTTTGTATGAAGAAGTCACGTCTCAAACGAAGGCCACAAAGAGGTCCAAATATCCACTTGGAGATTCAACAAAAAGAGTCTTTCAAAACTGCTCCATCAAGAGGAATATTCAACTCTGAGAGTTGAAGGCAGGTATCACAAAGTAGTTTCCGACAATGCTTCTGTCTAGATTTTATGTGAGGACATTCCCTTTTGTACCACAGGCCTGAAAGCACTCTAAATATAGAACTGCAAATTCCACAAAAAGAGTGTTTAAAACCGCTCTATCCAAAGAAAGGTTAAACTCTGTAAGCTGAAAGCACACATCACAAAGTAGCATCAGAGAACAATTATGTCTAGTTTCTCTGTGAAGATATTTTCTCTTCTACATAGGCCTGAAACCGCTCTAAATATTCACTTGGAAATTCTACAAAAAGAATATTTCAACACTCTTCTATCAAAAGGAAGGTTGAACTCTGAGAGTTAAATGCACACATCACAAAGAAGTTTCTGGGGATTCTTCTGTCAAGGTTTATATGAAGAAAGCCCGTTTCCAATGAAGGCCTCAAAAAAGTCCAAATATTTACTTGCAGATTCTACAAAAAGAGTGTTTCTTAACTGGTCTATCAAAAGAAAGGTTAAACTCAGTGAGTTGAACCCACACATCACAAAGTAGTTTCTGAGAATCATTCTGTCTAGTTTTTCTACGAAGATATTGCCTTTTCCACCATAGGCCTCAAACGGCGCTAAATATCCACCTGGAAATTCTACAGAAACTGAGTTTCAAAAGTGCTCTATTGAAAGGAAGCTTCAACTCTGTGAGTTGAAAGTACACATCACAAAGAAGTTTCTGAGAATTCTTCTGTCTAGTTGTAAATGCAGAAATCACGTTTCAAACGAAGGCCACAAAGAGGTCCAAATATCCACCTGCAGATTCTGCAAAAAGAGGGTTTGAAAACTGCTCCATCAAGAGGAATGTTCAACTCTGTGCGTTGAATGCAAATATCACAAAGAAGTTTCTGACAATACTTCTGTCTAGTTTTTAGGTGAAGATATTTCCTTTCCTACTGTAGGCCTCAAAACGCTCTAAATATACACTTGCAAATTCCGCAAAAAGAGTGTTTCAAAACTGCTCTATCAAAGGAAGTTTAAACTCTGTCAGCTGAATGCAAGCATCACAAAACAGCTTCGGAGAATGAATCTGCCTAGTTTTTCTGTGAAGATATTTCTTTTTCTGCCATAGACCTCAAACCGCTGTAAAAATCCACTTGGAAATTCTACAAAAAGAGGATGTCAAAACTCTTCTATCGAAAGGAAGTTTCAACTCCATGAGTTAAATGCACATATCACAAATAATTTTCTGAGGATTCTTCTTTCAAGTTTTATATGAAGAAATCCCGTTTCCAAACATGGCCTCAGAAAAGTCCCAATATACAATTGCAGATTCTACAGAAAGAGTTTTTCAAAACTGCTCTATCAAAAGAAAGGTTAAACTCTGTGAGTTGAAGGCACACATCACAAAGTAGTTTCTGAGAATCATTCTGTCTAGTTTTTCTATGAAGATATTGCCTTTTCCACCATAGGCCTCAAACGGCTCTAAATATCCACTTGGAAATTCTACAAAAAGAGGGTTACAAAACTGCTCTATCAAAAGGAAGCTTCAGCTCTGCGAGTTGAAAGCACACATCACGAAGAAGTTTATGAGAATTCTTCTGTCTACTTTTGTATGAAGCAGTCACGTTTCAAACGAAGGCCACAAAGAGGTCCAAATATCCACTTGGAGATTCAACAAAAAGAGTTTTTCAAAACTGCTCCATCAAGAGCAACATTCAACTCTGAGAGTTGAAGGCAGGTATCCCAAAGTAGTTTCCGACAATGCTTCTGTCTAGATTTTATGTGAAGACATTCCCTTTTGTACCAGAGGTCTGAAAGCACTCTAAATACAGAATTGCAAATTCCACAAAAAGAGGGTTTAAAACCGCTCTATCCAAAGAAAGGTTAAACTCTGTCAGCTGAATGCGCACATCACAGAGTAGCTTCAGAGAACAATTATGTCTAGTTTTTCTGTGAAGATAGTTTCTCTTCTACATAGGCCTGAATCCGCTCTAAATATTCACTTGGAAATTCTACAAAAAGAATATTTCAACACTCTTCTATCAAAAGGAAGGTTGAACTCTGAGAGTTAAACGCACACATCACAGAGAAGTTTCTGAGAATTCTTCTGTCAAGGTTTCTATGAAGAAATCCCGTTTCCAATGAAGGCCTCAAAAAAGTCCAAATATTTACTTGCAGATTCTACAAAAAGAGTGTTTCGTAACTGGTCTATCAAAAGAAAGGTTAAACTCAGTGAGTTGAACCCACACATCACAAAGTAGTTTCTGAGAATCATTCTGTCTAGTTTTCCTACGAAGATATTGCCTTTTCTACCATAGGCCTCAAACGGCGCTAAATATCCACCTGGAAATTCTACAAAAACTGAGTTTCAAAAGTGCTCTTTTGAAAGGAAGCTTCAACTCTGTGAGTTGAAGGTACACATCACAAAGAAGTTTCTGAGAATTCTTCTGTCTAGTTGTAAATGAAGAAATCACGTTTCACACTGAAGGCCACAAAGAGGTCCAAATATCCACTTGCAGATTCCACAAAAAGAGTGCTTCAAAACGGCTCCATCAAGAGGAATGTTCAACTCCGTGCGTTGAATGCAAATATCACAAATAAGTTTCTGACAATACTTCTGTCTAGTTTTTAGGTGAAGATATTTCCTTTCCTACTCTGGGCCTCAAAACGCTCTAAATATACACTTGCAAATTCCACAAAAAGAGTGTTTCCAAACTGCTCTCTCAAAGGAAGTTTAAACTCTGTCAGCTGAATGCGAGCATCACAAAACAGCTTCGGAGAATGAATCTGCCTAGTTTTTCTGTGAAGATATTTCTTTTTCTGCCATAGACCTCAAACCGCTGTAAAAATCCACTTGGAAATTCTACAAAAAGAGTATTTCAAAGCTCTTCTACCGAAAGGAAGTTTCAGCTCCATGAGTTAAATGCACATATCACAAATAATTTTCTGAGGATTCTTCTTTCAAGTTTTATCTGAAGAAATCCCGTTTCCAAAGATGGCCTCAGAAAAGTCCCAATATACACTTGCAGATTCTACAAAAAGAGTTTTTCAAAACTGCTCTACCAAAAGGAAGGTTAAACTCTGTGAGTTGAAGGCACACATCACAAAGTAGTTTCTGAGAATCATTCTGTCTAGTTTTTCTATGAAGATATCGCCTTCTCCACCATAGGCCTCAAACGGCGCTAAATATCCACTTGGAAATTCTACAAAAAGAGAGTTACAAGACTGCTCTATCGAAAGGAAGCTTCAACTCTGCGAGTTGAAAGCACACATCACGAAGAAGTTTATGAGAATTCTTCTGTCTACTTTTGTATGAAGCAGTCACGTTTCAAACGAAGGCCACAAAGAGGTCCAAATATCCACTTGGAGATTCAACAAAAGGAGTTTTTCAAAACTGCTCCATCAAGAGGAATATTCAACTCTGAGAGTTGAAGGCAGGTATCACAAAGTAGTTCCCGACAATGCTTCTGTCTAGATTTTATGTGAAGACATTCCCTTTTATACCACAGGCCTGAAAGCACTCTAAATATGGAATTGCAAATTCCACAAAAAGAGTGTTTAAAACCGCTCGATCCAAAGAAAGGTTAATCTCTGTAAGCTGAATGCGCACATCACAAAGTAGCTTCAGAGAACAATTATGTCTAGTTTTTCCGTGAAGATAGTTTCTCTTCCACATAGGCCTGAGACCCCTCTAAATATTCACTTGGAAATTCTGCAAAAAGAATATTTCAACACTCTTCTATCAAAAGGAAGGTTGAACTCTGAGAGTTAAACGCACACATCACAGAGAAGTTTCTGAGAATTCTTCTGTCAAGGTTTATATGAAGAGATCCCGTTTCCAATGAAGGCCTCAAAAAAGTCCAAATATTTACTTGCAGATTCTACAAAAAGAGTGTTTCATAACTGGTCTATCAAAAGAAAGGTTAAACTCCGTGAGTTGAACGCACATATCACAAAGTTGTTTCTGAGAATCATTGTGTCTAGTTCTCCTACGAAGATATTGCCTTTTCTACCATAGGCCTCAAACGGCGCAAAATATCCACCTGGAAATTCTACCAAAACTGAGTTTCAAAAGTGCTCTATTGAAAGGAAGCTTCACCTCTGTGAGTTGAAGGTACACATCACAAAGGAGTTTCTGAGAATTCTTCTTTCTAGTTGTAAATGCAGAAATCACGTTTCAAACGAAGGCCACAAAGAGGTCCAAATATCCACCTGCAGATTCTGCAAAAAGAGGGTTTGAAAACTGCTCCATCAAGAGGAATGTTCAACTCTGTGCGTTGAATGCCAATATCACAAATAAGTTTCTGACAATACTTCTGTGTAGTTTTTATGTGAAGATATTTCCTTTCCTACTGTAGGCCTCAAAACGCTCTAAATATACACTTGCAAATTCCACAAAAAGAGTGTTTCCAAACTGCTCTCTCAAAGGAAGTTTAAACTCTGTCCGCTTAATGCAAGCATCACAAAACAGCTTCGGAGAATGGATCTGCCTAGTTTTTCTGTGAAGATATTTCTTTGTCTGCCATAGACCTCAAACTGCTGTAAAAATCCACTTGGAAATTCTACAAAAAGAGTATTTCAAAGCTCTTCTATCGAAAGGAAGTTTCAACTCCATGAGTTAAATGCACATATCACAAATAATTTTCTGAGGATTCTTCCTTCAAGTTTTATATGAAGAAATCCCGTTTCCAAAGATGGCCTCAGAAAAGTCCCAATATACACTTGCAGATTCTACAAAAAGAGTTTTTCAAAACTGCTCTATCAAAAGAAAGGTTAAACTCTGTGAGTTGAAGGCACACATCACAAAGTAGTTTCTGAGAATCATTCTGTCTAGTTTTTCTATGAAGATATTGCCTTTTCCACCATTGGCCTCAAACGGCGCTAAATATCCACTTGGAAATTCTACAAAAAGAGAGTTACAGAACTGCTCTATCGAAAGGAAGCTTCAACACTGCGAGTTGAAAGCACACATCACGAAGAAGTTTATGAGAATTCTTCTGTCTACTTTTGTATGAAGCACTCACGTTTCAAACGAAGGCCACAAAGAGGTCCAAATATCCACTTGGAGATTCAACAAAAAGAGTTTTTCAAAACTGCTCCATCAAGAGGAATATTCAACTCTGAGAGTTGAAGGCAGGTATGCCAAAATAGTTCCCGACAATGCTTCTGTCTAGATTTTATGTGAAGACATTCCCTTTTATACCACAGGCCTGAAAGCACTCTAAATATAGAATTGCAAATTCCACAAAAAGAGGGTTTAAAACCGCTCTATCCAAAGAAAGGTTAAACTCTGTCAGCTGAATGCGCACATCACAGAGTAGCTTCAGAGAACAATTATGTCTAGTTTTTCCGTGAGGATAGTCTCTCTTCTAAATAGGCCTGAGACCGCTCTAAATATTCACTTGGAAATTCTGCAAAAAGAATATTTCAACACTCTTCTATCAAAAGGAAGGTTGAACTCTGAGAGTTCAACGCACACATCACAGAGAAGTTTCTGAGAATTCTTCTGTCAAGGTTTATATGAAGAGATCCCGTTTCCAATGAAGGCCTCAAAAAAGTCCAAATATTTACTTGCAGATTCTACAAGAAGAGTGTTTCATAACTGGTCTATCAAAAGAAAGGTTAAACTCCGTGAGTTGAACGCACACATCACAAAGTTGTTTCTGAGAATCATTCTGTCTAGTTTTTCTACGAAGATATTGCCTTTTCCACCATAGGCCTCAAACGGCGCTAAATATCCACCTGGAAATTCTACAGAAACTGAGTTTCAAAAGTGCTCTATTGAAAGGAAGCTTCAAATCTGTGAGTTGAAAGTACACATCACAAAGAAGTTTCTGAGAATTCTTCTGTCTAGTTGTAAATGAAGAAATCACGTTTCAAACGAAGGCCACAAAGAGGTCCATATATCCACCTGCAGATTCTACAAAAAGAGTGTTTCAAAACTGCTCCATCAAGAGGAATGTTCAACACTGTGCGTTGAATGCAAATATCTCAAATAAGTTTCTGACAATATTTCTGTCTAGTTTTTATGTGAAGATATTTCCTTTCCTACTGTAGGCCTCAAAACGCTCTAAATATACACTGGAAAATTCCACAAAAAGAGTGTTTCCAAACTGCTCTATCAAAGGAAGTTTAAACTCTGTCAGCTTAATGCAAGCATCACAAAACAGCTTCGGAGAATGAATCTGCCTAGTTTTTCTGTGAAGATATTTCTTTTGCTGCCATAGACCTCCAACCGCTGTAAAAATCCACTTGGGAATTCTACAAAAAGAGTATTTCAAAACTCTTCTATCGAAAGGAAGTTTCAACTCCATGAGTTAAATGCACATATCACAAATAATTTTCTGAGGATTCTTCTTTCAAGTTTTATATGAAGAAATCCCGTTTCCAAACATGGCCTCAGAAAAGCCCCACTATACACTTGCAGATTCTACAGAAAGAGTTTTTCAAAACTGCTCTATCAAAAGGAAGGTTAAACTCTGTGAGTTGAAGGCACACATCACAAATTAGTTTCTGAGAATCATTCTGTCTAGTTTTTCTATGAAGATATTGCCTTTTCCACCATAGGCCTCAAACGGCGCTAAATATCCACTTGGAAATTCTACAAAAAGAGAGTTACAGAACTGCTCTATCGAAAGGAAGCTTCAACGCTGCAAGTTGAAAGCACACATCCCGAAGAAGTTTATGAGAATTCTTCTGTCTACATTTGTATGAAGCAGTCACGTCTCAAACGAAGGCCACAAAGAGGCCCAAATATCCACTTGGAGATTCAACAAAAAGAGTTTTTCAAAACTGCTCCATCAAGAGGAATATTCAACTCTGAGAGTTGAAGGTAGGTATCACAAAGCAGTTTCCGACAATGCTTCTATCAAGATTTTATGTGAAGACATTCCCTTTTGTACCACAGGCCTGAAAGCACTCTAAAGATAGAATAGCAAATTCCACAAAAAGAGGGTTTAAAACCGCTCTATCCAACGAAAGGTTAAACTCTGTCAGCTGAATGCGCACATCTCAGAGTAGCTTCAGAGAACAATTATGTCTAGTTTTTCCGTGAAGATAGTTTCTCTTCCACATAGGCCTGAGACCGCTCTAAATATTCACTTGGAAATTCTGCAAAAAGAATATTTCAACACTCTTCTATCAAAAGGAAGGTTGAACTCTGAGAGTTAAACGCACACATCACAGAGAAGTTTCTGAGAATTCTTCTGCCAAGGTTTATATGAAGAAATCCCGTTTCCAATGAAGACCTCAAGAAAGTCCAAATATTTACTTGCAGATCCTACAAAAAGAGTGTTTCATAACTGGTCTATCAAAAGAAAGGTTAAACTCAGTGAGTTGAACCCACACATCACAAAGTAGTGTCTGAGAATCATTCTGTCTAGTTCTCCTACGAAGATATTGCCTTTTCTACCATAGGCCTCAAACGGCGCTAAATATCCACCTGGAAATTCTACCAAAACTGAGCTTCAAAAGTGCTCTATTGAAAGGAAGCTTCACCTCTGTGAGTTGAAGGTACACATCACAAAGAAGTTTCTGAGAAGTCTTCTGTCTAGTTGTAAATGAAGAAATCACGTTTCAAAAGAAGGCCACAAAGAGGTCCAAATATCCACCTGCAGATTCTACAAAAAGAGTGTTTCATAACTGCTCCATCAAGAGGAATGTTCAACTCTGTGCGTTGAATGCAAATATCACAAGTAAGTTTCTGAGAATACTTCTGTGTAGTTTTTATGTGAAGATATTTCCTTTCCTACTGTAGGCCTCAAAACGCTCTAAATATACACTTGCAAATTCCACATAAAGAGTGTTTCCAAACTGCTCTCTCAAAGGAAGTTTAAACTCTGTCCGCTTAATGCAAGCATCACAAAAGAGCTTCGGAGAATGAATCTGCCTAGTTTTTCTGTGAAGATATTTCTTTTGCTGCCATAGACCTCAAAACGCTGTAAAAATCCACTTGGGAATTCTACAAAAAGAGTATTTCAAAACTCTTCTATCGAAAGGAAGTTTCAACTCCATGAGTTAAATGCACATATCACAAATAATTTTCTGAGGATTCTTCTTTCAAGTTTTATATGAAGAAATCCCGTTTCCAAAAATGGCCTCAGAAAAGTCCCAATATACACTTGCAGATTCTACAAAAAGAGTTTTTCAAAACTGCTCTATCAAAAGAAAGTTAAACTCTGTGAGTTGAAGGCACACATCACAAAGTAGTTTCTGAGAATCATTCTGTCTAGTTTTTCTATGAAGATATTGCCTTTTCCACCATAGGCCTCAAACGGCGCTAAATATCCACTTGGAAATTCTACAAAAAGAGAGTTACTAAACTGCTCTATCGAAAGGCAGCTTCAACGCTGCGAGTTGAAAGCACACATCACGAAGAAGTTTATGAGAATTCTTCTGTCTACTTTTGTATGAAGCAGTCACGTTTCAAACGAAGGCCACAAAGAGGTCCAAATATCCACTTGGAGATTCAACAAAAAGAGTTTTTCAAAACTGCTCCATCAAGAGGAATATTCAACTCTGAGAGTTGAAGGCAGGTATCCCAAAGTAGTTCCCGACAATGCTTCTGTCTAGATTTTATGTGAAGACATTCCCTTTTGTACCACAGGCCTGAAAGCACTCTAAATATAGAATTGCAAATTCCACAAAAAGAGTGTTGAAAACCGCTCTATCCAAAGAAAGGTGAAACTCTGTCAGCTGAATGCGCACATCACAGAGTAGCTTCAGAGAACAATTATGTCTAGTTTTTCTGTGAAGATATTTTCTCTTCTACTTAGGCCTGAAACCGCTCTAAATATTCACTTGGAAATTCTACAAAAAGAATATTTCAACCCTCTTCTATCAAAAGGAAGGTTGAACTCTGAGAGTTAAATGCACACATCACAGAGAAGTTTCTGGGAATTCTTCTGTCAAGGTTTACATGAAGAGATCCCGTTTCCAATGAAGGCCTCAAAAAAGTCCAAATATTTACTTGCAGATTCTACAAAAAGAGTGTTTCATAACTGGTCTATCAAAAGAAAGGTTAAACTCCGTGAGTTGAACGCACATATCACAAAGTTGTTTCTGAGAATCATTGTGTCTAGTTCTCCTACGAAGATATTGCCTTTTCTACCATAGGCCTCAAACGGCGCTAAATATCCACCTGGAAATTCTACCAAAACTGAGCTTCAAAAGTGCTCTATTGAAAGGAAGCTTCACCTCTGTGAGTTGAAGGTACACATCACAAAGAAGTTTCTGAGAATTCTTCTGTCTAGTTGTAAATGAAGAAATCACGTTTCCCACGAAGGACACAAAAAGGTCCAAATATCCACTTGCAGATTCCACAAAAAGAGTGCTTCAAAACGGCTCCATCAAGAGGAATGTTCAACTCCGTGCGTTGAATGCAAATATCACAAATAAGTTTCTGACAATACTTCTGTCTAGTTTTTATGTGAAGATATTTCCTTTCCTACTGTAGGCCTCAAAACGCTCTAAATATACACTTGCAAATTCCACAAAAAGAGTGTTTCCAAACTGCTCTCTCAAAGGAAGTTTAAACTCTGTCCGCTTAATGCAAGCATCACAAAACAGCTTCGGAGAATGAATCTGCCTAGTTTTTCTGTGAAGATATTTCTTTTTCTGCCATAGACCTCAAACCGCTGTAAAAATCCACTTGGAAATTCTACAAAAAGGGTATTTCAAAGCTCTTCTATCGAAAGGAAGTTTCAGCTCCATGAGTTAAATGCACATATCACAAATAATTTTGCTGAGGATTCTTCCTTCAAGTTTTATATGAAGAAATCCCGTTTCCAAAGATGGCCTCAGAAAAGTCCCAATATACACTTGCAGATTCTACAAAAAGAGTTTTTCAAAACTGCTCTATCAAAAGAAAGTTTAAACTCTGTGAGTTGAAGGCACACATCACAAAGTAGTTTCTGAGAATCATTCTGTCTAGTTTTTCTATGAAGATATTGCCTTTTCCACCATAGGCCTCAAACGGCGCTAAATATCCACTTGGAAATTCTACAAAAAGAGAGTTACAAGACTGCTCTATCGAAAGGAATCTTCAACTCTGCGAGTTGCAGGCACACATCCCAAAGAAGTTTATGAGAATTCTTCTGTCTAGTTTTGTATGAAGAAGTCACGTCTCAAACGAAGGCCACAAAGAGGTCCAAATATCCACTTGGAGATTCAACAAAAAGAGTTTTTAAAAACTGCTCCATCAAGAGGAATATTCAACTCTGAGAGTTGAAGGCAGGTATCACAAAGTAGTTTCCGACAATGCTTCTGTCTAGATTTTATGTGAGGACATTCCCTTTTGTACCACAGGCCTGAAAGCACTCTAAATATAGAATTGCAAATTCCACAAAAAGAGTGTTTAAAACCGCTCTATCCAAAGAAAGGTTAAACTCTGTAAGCTGAATGCGCACATCACAAAGTAGCTTCAGAGAACAATTGTGTCTAGTTTTTCTGTGAAGATATTTTCTCTTCTACATAGGCCTGAAACCGCTCAAAATATTCACTTGGAAATTCTACAAAAAGAATATTTCAACACTCTTCTATCAAAAGGAAGGTTGAACTCTGAGAGTTAAACGCACACATCACAGAGAAGTTTCTGAGAATTCTTCTGTCAAGGTTTATATGAAGAAACCCCGTTTCCAATGAAGGCCTCCAATAAAGTCCAAATATTTACTTGCAGATTCTACAAAAACAGTGTTTCATAACGGGTCTATCAAAAGAAAGGTTAAACTCAGTGAGTTGAACCCACACATCACAAGGTAGCTTCTGAGAATCATTCTGTCTAGTTCTCCTACGAAGATATTGCCTTTTCTAGCATAGGCCTCAAACGGCGCTAAATATCCACCTGGAAATTCTACCGAAACTGAGTTTCAAAAGTGCTCTATTGAAAGGAAGCTTCACCTCTGTGAGTTGAAGGTACACATCACAAAGAAGTTTCTGAGAATTCTTCTGTCTAGTTGTAAATGAAGAAATCACGTTTCAAACGAAGGCCACAAAGAGGTCCAAATATCCACCTGCAGATTCTGCAAAAAGAGTGTTTCAAAACGGCTCCATCAAGAGGAATGTTCAACTCTGTGCGTTGAATGCAAATATCACAAATAAGTTTCTGACAATACTTCCGTCTAGTTTTTATGTGAAGATATTTCCTTTCCTACTGTAGGCCTCAAAACGCTCTAAAGAGACACTTGCAAATTCCACAAAAAGAGGGTTTCAAAACTGCTCTATCAAAGGAAGTTTAAACTCTTTAAGCTGAATGCAAGCATCACAAAACAGCTTCGGAGAATGAATCTGCCTAGTTTTTCTGTGAAGATATTTCTTTTTCTGCCATAGACCTCAAACCGCTGTAAAAATCCACTTGGAAATTCTACAAAAAGAGTATTTCAAAGCTCTTCTATCGAAAGGAAGTTTCAGCTCCATGAGCTAAATGCACATATCACAAATAATTTTCTGAGGATTCTTCTTTCAAGTTTTATATGAAGAAATCCCGTTTCCAAAGATGGCCTCAGAAGAGTCCCAATATACACTTGCAGATTCTACAAAAAGAGTTTTTCAAAACTGCTCTACCAAAAGGAAGGTTAAACTCTGTGAGTTGAAGGCACACATCACAAAGTAGTTTCTGAGAATCATTCTGACTAGTTTTTCTATGAAGATATTGCCTTTTCCACCATAGGCCTCAAATGGCGCTAAATATCCACTTGGAAATTCTACAAAAAGAGAGTTACTAAACTGCTCTATCGAAAGGAAGCTTCAACTCTGCGAGTTGAAAGCACACATCACGAAGAAGTTTATGAGAATTCTTCTGTCTACTTTTGTATGAAGAAGTCACGTCTCAAACGAAGGCCACAAAGAGGTCCAAATATCTACTTGGAGATTCAACAAAAAGAGTTTTTCAAAACTGCTCCATCAAGAGGAACATTCAACTCTGAGAGTTGAAGGCAGGTATCACAAAGTAGTTTCCGACAATGCTTCTGTCTAGATTTTATGTGAGGACATTACCTTTTGTACCACAGGCCTGAAAGCACTCTAAATATAGAATTGCAAATTCCACAAAAAGAGTGTATAAAACCGCTCTATCCAAAGAAAGGTTAAACTCTGTAAGCTGAATGCGCACATGACAAAGTAGCTTCAGAGAAAAATTATGTCTAGTTTTTCTGTGAAGATATTTTCTCTTCTACATAGGCCTGAAACCGCTCTAAATATTCACTTGGAAATTCTACAAAAAGAATATTTCAACCCTCTTCTATCAAAAGGAAGGTTGAACTCTGAGAGTTAAATGCACACATCACAGAGAAGTTTCTGGGAATTTTTCTGTCAAGGTTTATATGAAGA
The DNA here is from genome assembly GCF_000001405.40 of Homo sapiens. Taxonomy (NCBI): domain Eukaryota; kingdom Metazoa; phylum Chordata; class Mammalia; order Primates; family Hominidae; genus Homo; species Homo sapiens. The sequence continues at coordinate 90,919,916 of NC_000003.12, read as the reverse complement.
AACCCCGTTTCCAATGAAGGCCTCAAAAAAGTCCAAATATTTACTTGCAGATTCCACAAAAAGAGTGTTTCATAACTGGTCTATCAAAAGAAAGGTTAAACTCAGTGTGTTGAACCCACACATCACAAAGTAGCTTCTGAGAACAATTCTGTCTAGTTCTCCTACGAAGATATTGCCTTTTCTACCATAGGCCTCAAACGGCGCTAAATATCCACCTGGAAATTCTACCAAAACTGAGCTTCAAAAGTGCTCTATTGAAAGGAAGCTTCACCTCTGTGAGTTGAAGGTACACATCACAAAGAAGTTTCTGAGAATTCTTCTGTCTAGTTGTAAATGAAGAAATCACGTTTCACACGACGGCCACAAAGAGGTCCAAATATCCACTTGCAGATTCTACAAAAAGAGTGTTTCAAAACAGCTCCATCAAGAGGAATGTTCAACTCTGTGCGTTGAATGCAAATATCACAAATAAGTTTCTGAAAATACTTCTGTCTAGTTTTTATGTGAAGTTATTTCCTTTCCTACTGTAGGCCTCAAAATGCTCTAAATATACACTTGCAAATTCCACAAAAAGAGTGTTTCCAAACTGCTCTATCAAAGGAAGTTTAAACTCTGTCAGCTTAATGCAAGCATCACAAAACAGCTTCGGAGAATGAATCTGCCTAGTTTTTCTGTGAAGATATTTCTTTTTCTGCCATAGACCTCAAACCGCTGTAAAAATCCACTTGGAAATTCTACAAAAAGAGGATGTCAAAACTCTTCTATCGAAAGGAAGTTTCAACTCCATGAGTTAAATGCACATATCACAAATAATTTTCTGAGGATTCTTCTTTCAAGTTTTATATGAAGAAATCCCGTTTCCAAAGATGGCCTCAGAAAAGTCCCAATATACACTTGCAGATTCTACAAAAAGAGTTTTTCAAAACTGCTCTATCAAAAGGAAGGTTAAACTCTGTGAGTTGAAGGCACACATCACAGAGTAGTTTCTGAGAATCATTCTGTCTATTTTTTCTATGAAGATATTGCCTTTTCCACCATAGGCCTCAAACGGCGCTAAATATCCACTTGGAAATTCTACAAAAAGAGAGTTACAAAACTGCTCTATCGAAAGGAAGCTTCAGCTCCGCGAGTTGAAAGCACACATCACGAAGAAGTTTATGAGAATTCTTCTGTCTACTTTTGTATAAAGCAGTCACGTCTCAAACGAAGGCCACAAAGAGGTCCAAATATCCACTTGGAGATTCAACAAAAAGAGTTTTTCAAAACTGCTCCATCAAGAGGAATATTCAACTCTGAGAGTTGAGGGCAGGTATCACAAAGTAGTTTCCGACAATGCTTCTGTCTAGATTTTATGTGAGGACATTCCCTTTTGTACCACAGGCCTGAAAGCACTCTAAATATAGAACTGCAAATTCCACAAAAAGAGTGTTTAAAACCGCTCTATCCAAAGAAAGGTTAAACTCTGTAAGCTGAATGCGCACATCACAAAGTAGCTGCAGAGAACAATTATGTCTAGTTTTTCTGTGAAGATAGTTTCTCTTCTACATAGGTCTGAAACCGCTCTAAATATTCACTTGGAAATTCTACAGAAAGAATACTTCAACACTCTTCTATCAAAAGGAAGGTTGAACTCTGAGAGTTAAATGCACACACCACAGAGAAGTTTCTGGGAATTCTTCTGTCAAGGTTTATATGAAGAAACCCCGTTTCCAATGAAGGCCTCAAAAAAGTCCAAATATTTACTTGCAGATTCCACAAAAAGAGTGTTTCATAACTGGTCTATCAAAAGAAAGGTTAAACTCAGTGAGTTGAACCCACACATCACAAAGTAGCTTCTGAGAATCATTCTGTCTAGTTTTCCTATGAAGATATTGCCTTTTCTACCATAGGCCTCAAACGGCGCTAAATATCCACCTGGAAATTCTACAAAAACTGAGTTTCAAAAGTGCTCTTTTGAAAGGAAGCTTCAACTCTGTGAGTTGAAGGTACACATCACAAAGAAGTTTCTGAGAATTCTTCTGTCTATTTGTAAATGCAGAAATCACGTTTCAAACGAAGGCCACAAAGAGGTCCAAATATCCAGCTGCAGATTCTGCAAAAAGAGGGTTTGAAATCTGCTCCATCAAGAGGAATGTTCAACTCTGTGCGTTGAATGCAAATATCACAAATAAGTTTCTGACAATACTTCTGTCTAGTTTTTATGTGAAGATATTTACTTTCCTACTGTAGGCCTCAAAAGGCTCTAAATATACACTTGCAAATTCCACAAAAAGAGTGTTTCCAAACTGCTCTATCAAAGGAAGTTTAAACTCTGTCAGCTTAATGCAAGCATCACAAAACAGCTTCAGAGAATGAATCTGCCCAGTTTTTCTGTGAAGATATTTCTTTTGCTGCCATAGACCTCACACCGCTGTAAAAATCCACTTGGAAATTCTACAAAAAGAGTATTTCAAATCCTTTCTATCGAAAAGAAGTTTCAAATCCATGAGTTAAATGCACATATCACAAATAATTTTCTGAGGATTCTTCCTTCAAGTTTTATAGGAAGAAATCCCGTTTCCAAAGATGGCCTCAGAAAAGTCCCAATATACACTTGCAGATTCTACAAAAAGAGTTTTTCAAAACTGCTCTATCAAAACAAAGGTTAAACTCTGTGAGTTGAAGGCACACATCACAAAGAAGTTTCTGAGAATCATTCTGTCTAGTTTTTCTATGAAGATATTGCCTTTTCCACCATAGGCCTCAAACGGCGCTGAATATCCACTTGGAAATTCTACAAAAAGAGAGTTACTAAACTGCTCTATCGAAAGGAAGCTTCAACGCTGCGAGTTGAAAGCACACATCACGAAGTAGTTTATGAGAATTCTTCTGTCTACTTTTGTATGAAGCAGTCACGTTTCAAACGAAGGCCACGAAGAGGTCCAAATATCCACTTGGAGATTCAACAAAAAGAGTTTTACAAAACTGCTCCATCAAGAGGAATATTCAACTCTGAGAGTTGAAGGCAGGTATCACAAAATAGTTCCCGACAATGCTTCTGTGTAGATTTTATGTGAAGACATTCCCTTTAGTACCACAGGCCTGAAAGCACTCTAAATATAGAATTGCAAATTCCACAAAAAGAGTGTTTAAAACCGCTCGATCCAAAGAAAGGTTAAACTCTGTAAGCTGAATGCGCACATCACAAAGTAGCTTCAGAGAACAATTATGTCTAGTTTCTCTGTGAAGATATTTTCTCTTCTACATAGGCCTGAAACCGCTCTAAATATTCACTTGGAAATTCTACAAAAAGAATATTTCAACACTCTTCTATCAAAAGGAAGGTTGAACTCTGAGAGTTAAATGCACACATCACAAAGAAGTTTCTGGGAATTCTTCTGTCAAGGTTTCTATGAAGAAATCCCGTTTCCAATGAAGGCCTCAAAAAAGTCCAAATATTTACTTGCAGATTCTACAAAAAGAGTGTTTCATAACTGGTCTATCAAAAGAAAGGTTAAACTCAGTGAGTTGAACCCACACATCACAAAGTAGTTTCTGAGAATCATTCTGTCTAGTTTTCCTACGAAGATATTGCCTTTTCTACCATAGGCCTCAAACGGCGCTAAATATCCACCTGGAAATTCTACAAAAACTGAGTTTCAAAAGTGCTCTATTGAAAGGAAGCTTCAACTCTGTGAGTTGAAGGTACACATCACAAAGAAGTTTCTGAGAATTCTTCTGTCTAGTTGTAAATGCAGAAATCACGTTTCAAACGAAGGCCACAAAGAGGTCCAAATATCCACCTGCAGACTCTGCAAAAAGAGGGTTTGAAAACTGCTCCATCAAGAGGAATGTTCAACTGCTGTGCGTTGAATGCAAATATCACAAATAACTTTCTGACAATACTTCTGTGTAGTTTTTATGTGAAGATATTTCCTTTCCTACTGTAGGCCTCAAAACGCTCTAAATATACACTTGCAAATTCCACAAAAAGAGTGTTTCCGAACTGCTCTATCAAAGGAAGTTTAAACTCTGTCCGCTTAATGCAAGCATCACAAAACAGCTTCGGAGAATGAATCTGCCTAGTTTTTCTGTGAAGATATTTCTTTTTCTGCCATAGACCTCAAACCGCTGTAAAAATCCACTTGGAAATTCTACAAAAAGAGTATTTCAAAACTCTTCTATCGAAAGGAAGTCTCAACTCCATGTGTTAAATGCACATATCACAAATAATTTTCTGAGGATTCTTCTTTCAAGTTTTATATGAAGAAATCCCGTTTCCAAAGATGGCCTCAGAAAAGTCCCATTATACACTTGCAGATTCTACAAAAAGAGTTTTTCAAAACTGCTCTACCAAAAGGAAGGTTAAACTCTGTGAGTTGAAGGCACACATCACAAAGTAGTTTCTGAGAATCATTCTGTCTAGTTTTTCTATGAAGATATTGCCTTTTCCACCATAGGCCTCAAACGGCGCTAAATATCCACTTGGAAATTCTACAAAAAGAGAGTTACTAAACTGCTCTATCGAAAGGAAGCTTCAAGGCTGCGAGTTGAAAGCACACATCACGAAGAAGTTTATGAGAATTCTTCTGTCTACTTTTGTATGAAGCAGTCACGTTTCAAACGAAGGCCACAACGAGGTCCAAATATCCACTTGGAGATTGAACAAAAAGAGTTTTTCAAAACTGCTCCATCAAGAGGAATATTCAACTCTGAGAGTTGAAGGCAGGTATCACAAAGTAGTTCCCGGCAATGCTTCTGTCTAGATTTTAGGTGAAGACATTCCCTTTTGTACCACAGGCCTGAAAGCACTCTAAATACAGAATTGCAAATTCCACAAAAAGAGGGTTTAAAACCGCTCTATGCAAAGAAAGGTTAAACTCTGTCAGCTGAATGCGCACATCACAGAGTAGCTTCAGAGAACAATTATGTCTAGTTTTTCCGTGAAGATAGTTTCTCTTCCACATAGGCCTGAGACGGCTCTAAATATTCACTTGGAAATTCTGCAAAAAGAATATTTCAACACTCTTCTATCAAAAGGAAGGTTGAACTCTGAGAGTTAAACGCACACATCACAGAGAAGTTTCTGAGAATTCTTCTGTCAAGGTTTCTATGAAGAAATCCCGTTTCCAATGAAGGCCTCAAAAAAGTCCAAATATTTACTTGCATGTTCTACCAAAAGGGTGTTTCATAACTGGTCTATCAAAAGAAAGGTTAAACTCAGTGAGTTGAACCCACACATCACAAAGTAGTTTCTGAGAATCATTCTGTCTAGCTCTCCTACGAAGATATTGCCTTTTCTACCATAGGCCTCAAACGGCGCTAAATATCCACCAGGAAATTCTACAAAAACTGAGTTTCAAAAGTGCTCTATGGAAAGGAAGCTTCAACTCTGTGAGTTGAAGGTACACATCACAAAGAAGTTTCTGAGAATTCTTCTGTCTAGTTGTAAATGAAGAAATCACGTTTCACACGAAGGCCACAAAGAGGTCCAAATATCCACTTGCAGATTCTACAAAAAGAGTGTTTCAAAACGGCTCCATCAAGAGGAATGTTCAACTCTGTGCGTTGAATGCAAATATCACAAATAAGTTTCTGACAATACTTCTGTCTAGTTTTTATGTGAAGATATTTCCTTTCCTACTGTAGGCCTCAAAACGCTCTAAAGAGACACTTGCAAATTCCACAAAAAGAGGGTTTCAAAACTGCTCTATCAAAGGAAGTTTAAACTCTGTCAGCTGAATGCAAGCATCACAAAACAGCTTCGGAGAATGAATCTGCCTAGTTTTTCTGTGAAGATATTTCTTTTGCTGCCATAGACCTCAAACCGCTGTAAAAATCCACTTGGAAATTCTACAAAAAGAGTATTTCAAAACTCTTCTATCGAAAGGAAGTTTCAACTCCATGAGTTAAATGCACATATCACAAATAATTTTCTGAGGATTCTTCTTTCGAATTTTATATGAAGAAATCCCGTTTCCAAAGATGGCCTCAGAAAAGTCCCAAGATACACTTGCAGATTCTACAAAAAGAGTTTTTCAAAACTGCTCTATCAAAAGAAAGGTTAAACTCTGTGAGTTGAAGGCACACATCACAAAGTAGTTTCTGAGAATCATTCTGTCTAGTTTTTCTATGAAGATATTGCCTTTTCCACCATAGGCCTCAAACGGCGCTAAATATCCACTTGGAAATTCTACAAAAAGAGAGTTACAAAACTGCTCTATCGAAAGGAAGCTTCAGCTCCGCGAGTTGAAAGCACACATCGCGAAGAAGGTGATGAGAATTCTTCTGTCTACTTTTGTATGAAGCAGTCACGTCTCAAACGAAGGCCACAAAGAGGTCCAAATATCCACTTGGAGATTCAACAAAAAGAGTTTTTCAAAACTGCTCCATCAAGAGGAATATTCAACTCTGAGAGTTGAAGGCAGGTATCACAAAGTAGTTTCCGACAATGCTTCTGTCTAGATTTTATGTGAGGACATTCCCTTTTGTACCACAGGCCTGAAAGCACTCTAAATATAGAACTGCAAATTCCACAAAAAGAGTGTTTAAAACCGCTCTATCCAAAGAAAGGTTAAACTCTCTAAGCTGAATGCGCACATCACAAAGTAGCTTCAGAGTACAATTATGTCTAGTCTTTCTGGGAAGATATTTTCTCTTCTACATAGGCCTGAAACTGCTCTAAATATTCACTTGGAAATTCTACAAAAAGAATACCTCAACACTCTTCCATCAAAAGGAAGGTTGAACTCTGAGAGTTAAACGCACACATCACAGAGAAGTTTCTGAGAATTCTTCTGTCAAGGTTTATATGAAGAAACCCCGTTTCCAATGAAGGCCTGAAAACAGTCCAAATATTTACTTGCAGATTCCACAAAAAGAGTGTTTCATAACTGGTCTATCAAAAGAAAGGTGAAACTCAGTGAGTTGAACCCACACATCACAAAGTAGCTTCTGAGAATCATTCTGTTTAGTTCTCCTACGAAGATATTGCCTTTTCTACCATAGGCCTCAAACGGCGCAAAATATCCACCTGGAAATTCTACCAAAACTGAGTTTCAAAAGTGCTCTATTGAAAGGAAGCTTCACCTCTGTGAGTTGAAGGTACACATCACAAAGAAGTTTCTGAGAATTCTTCTGTCAAGTTGTAAATGAAGAAATCACGTTTCAAACGAAGGCCACAAAGAGGTCCAAATATCCACCTGCAGATTCTGCAAAAAGAGGGTTTCAAAACTGCTCCATCAAGAGGAATGTTCAACTCTGTGCGTTGAAGGCAAATATCACAAATAAGTTTCTGACAATACTTCTGTCTAGTTTTTATGTGAAGATATTTACTTTCCTACTGTAGGCCTCAAAAGGCTCTAAATATACACTTGCAAATTCCACAAAAAGAGTGTTTCCAAACTGCTCTATCAAAGGAAGTTTAAACTCTGTCAGGTTAATGCAAGCATCACAAAACAGCTTCAGAGAATGAATCTGCCTAGTTTTTCTGTGAAGATATTTCTTTTGCTGCCATAGACCTCAAACCGCTGTAAAAATCTACTTGGGAATTCTACAAAAAGAGTATTTCAAAACTCTTCTATCGAAAGGAAGTTTCAACTCCATGAGTTAAATGCACATATCACAAATTATTTTCTGAGGATTCTTCTTTCAAGTTTTATCTGAAGAAATCCCGTTTCCAAAGATGGCCTCAGAAAAGTCCCAATATACACTTGCAGATTCTACAAAAAGAGTTTTTCAAAACTGCTCTATCAAAAGAAAGGTTAAACTCTGTGAGTTGAAGGCACACATCACAAAGTAGTTTCTGAGAATCATTCTGTCTAGTTTTTCTATGAAGATATCGCCTTCTCCACCATAGGCCTCAAGCGGCACTAAATATCCACTTGGAAATTCTACAAAAAGAGAGTTACAAGACTGCTCTATCGAAAGGAAGCTTCAACTCTGCGAGTTGAAAGCACACATCACGAAGAAGTTTATGAGAATTCTTCTGTCTAGTTTTGTAGGAAGAAGTCACGTCTCAAACGAAGGCAACAAAGAGGTCCAAATATCCACTTGGAGATTCCACAAAAAGCGTTTTTCAAAACTGCTCCGTCAAGAGGAATATTCAACTCTGAGAGTTGAAGGCAGGTATCACAAAGTAGTTTCCGACAACGCTTCTGACTAGATTTTATGTGAAGACATTCCCTTTTGTACCACAGGCCTGAAAGCACTCTAAATATAGAATTGCAAATTCCACAAAAAGAGTGTTTAAAACCGCTCTATCCAAAGAAAGGTTCAACTCTGTCAGCTGAAGGCGCACATCACAAAGTAGCTTCAGAGAAAAATTATGTCTAGTTTTTCTGTGAAGATAGATTCTCTTCTACATAGGCCTGAAACCGCTCTAAATATTCACTTGGAAATTCTACAAAAAGAATATTTCAACACTCTTCTATCAAAAGGAAGGTTGAACTCTGAGAGTTAAGCGCACACATCACAGAGAAGTTTCTGAGAATTCTTCTGTCCAGGTTTATATGAAGAAATCCCGTTTCCAATGAAGGCCTCAAAAAAGTCCAAATATTTACATGCAGATTGTACAAAAAGAGTGTTTCATAACTGGTCTATCAAAAGAAAGGTTAAACTCAGTGAGTTGAACCCACACATCACAAAGTAGTTTCTGAGAATCATTCTGTCTAGTTTTCCTACGAAGATATTGCCTTTTCTACCATAGGCCTCAAACGGCGCTAAATATCCACCTGGAAATTCTACAAAAACTGAGTTTCAAAAGTGCTCTTTTGAAAGGAAGCTTCAACTCTGTGAGTTGAAGGTACACATCACAAAGAAGTTTCTGAGAATTCTTCTGTCTAGTTGTCAATGAAGAAATCACGTTTCACACGAAGGCCACAAAGAGGTCCAAATATCCACTTGCAGATTCTACAAAAAGAGTGTCTCAAAACGGCTCCATCAAGAGGAATGTTCAACTCTGTGCGGTGAATGCAAATATCACAAATAAGTTTCTGACAATACTTCTGTCTAGTTTTTAGGTGAAGATATTTCCTTTCCTACTGTAGGCCTCAAAACGCTCTAAATATACACTTGCAAATACCGCAAAAAGAGTGTTTCAAAACTGCTCTATCAAAGGAAGTTTAAACTCTGTCAGCTGAATGCAAGCATCACAAAACAGCTTCGGAGAATGAATCTGCCTAGTTTTTCTGTGAAGATATTTCTTTTGCTGCCATAGACCTCAAACCGCTGTAAAAATCCACTTGGGAATTCTACAAAAAGAGTATTTCAAAACTCTTCTATCGAAAGGAAGTTTCAACTCCATGAGTTAAATGCACATATCACAAATAATTTTCTGAGGATTCTTCTTTCAAGTTTTATATGAAGAAATCCCGTTTCCAAAGTTGGCCTCAGAAAAGTCCCAATATACACTTGCAGATTCTACAAAAAGAGTTTTTTAAAACTGCTCTATCAAAAGGAAGGTTAAACTCTGTGAGTTGAAGGCACACATCACTGAGTAGTTTCTGAGAATCATTCTGTCTAGTTTTTCTATGAAGATATCGCCTTCTCCACCATAGGCCTCAAGCGGCGCTAAATATCCACTTGGAAATTCTACAAAAAGAGAGTTACAAGACTGCTCTATCGAAAGGAAGCTTCAACTCTGCGAGTTGAAAGCACACATCACGAAGAACTTTATGAGAATTCTTCTGTCTACTTTTGTATGAAGCAGTCACGTTTCAAACGAAGGCCACGAAGAGGTCCAAATATCCACTTGGAGATTCATCAAAAAGAGTTTTACAAAACTGCTCCATCAAGAGGAATATTCAACTCTGAGAGTTGAAGGCAGGTATCACAAAGTAGTTCCCGACAATGCTTCTGTCTAGATTTTATGTGAGGACATTCCCTTTTGTACCACAGGCCTGAAAGCACTCTAAATATAGAATTGCAAATTCCACAAAAAGAGTGTTTAAAACCGCTCGATCCAAAGAAAGGTTAAACTCTGTAAGATGAATGCGCACATCACAAAGTAGCTTCAGAGAACAATTATGTCTAGTTTTTCCGTGAAGATAGTTTCTCTTCCACATAGGCCTGAGACCGCTCTAAATATTCACTTGGAAATTCTGCAAAAAGAATATTTCAACACTCTTCTATCAAAAGGAAGGTTGAACTCTGAGAGTTAAACGCACACATCACAGAGAAGTTTCTGAGAATTCTTCTGTCAAGGTTTATATGAAGAAACCCCGTTTCCAATGAAGGCCTCAAAAAAGTCCAAAAATTTACTTGCAGATTCCACAGAAAGAGTGTTTCATAACTGGTCTATCAAAAGAAAGGTTAAACTCAGTGAGTTGAACCCACACATCACAAAGTAGCTTCTGAGAATCATTCTGTCTAGTTCTCCTACGAAGATATTGCCTTTTCTACCATAGGCCTCAAACGGCGCTAAATATCCACCTGGAAATTCTACCAAAACTGAGCTTCAAAAGTGCTCTATTGAAAGGAAGCTTCACCTCTGTGAGTTGAAGGTACACATCACAAAGAAGTTTCTGAGAAGTCTTCTGTCTAGTTGTAAATGAAGAAATCACGTTTCACACGAAGGCAACAAAGAGGTCCAAATATCCACTTGCAGATTCCACAAAAAGAGTGCTTCAAAACGGCTCCATCAAGAGGAATGTTCAACTCCGTGCGTTGAATGCAAATATCACAAATAAGTTTCTGACAATACTTCTGTGTAGTTTTTATGTGAAGATTTTTCCTTTCCTACTGTAGGCCTCAAAACGCTCTAAATATACACTTGCAAATTCCACAAAAAGAGTGTTTCCAAACTGCTCTATCAAAGGAAGTTTAAACCCTGTCCGCTTAATGCAAGCATCACAAAACAGCTTCGGAGAATGAATCTGCCTAGTTTTTCTGTGAAGATATTTCTTTTTCTGCCATAGAAATCAAACCGCTGTAAAAATCCACTTGGAAATTCTACAAAAAGAGTATTTCAAAACTCTTCTATCGAAAGGAAGTCTCAACTCCATGAGTTAAATGCACATATCACAAATAATTTTCTGAGGATTCTTCTTTCAAGTTTTATATGAAGAAATCCCGTTTCCAAAGATGGCCTCAGAAAAGTCCCAATATACACTTGCAGATTCTACAAAAAGAGTTTTTCAAAACTGCTCTACCAAGAGGAAGGTTAAACTCTGTGAGTTGAAGGCACACATCACAAAGTAGTTTCTGAGAATCATTCTGTCTAGTTTTTCTATGAAGATATTGCCTTTTCCACCATAGGCCTCAAACGGCGCTAAATATCCACTTGGAAATTCTACAAAAAGAGAGTTACTAAACTGCTCTATCGAAAGGAAGCTTCAACGCTGCGAGTTGAAAGCACACATCACCAAGAAGTTTATGAGAATTCTTCTGTCTACTTTTGTATGAAGCAGTCACGTTTCAAACGAAGGCCACAAAGAGGACCAAATATCCACTTGGAGATTCAACAAAAAGTGTTTTTCAAAACTGCTCCTTCAAGAGGAATATTCAACTCTGAGAGTTGAAGCCATGTATCACAAAGTAGTTACCGACAATGCTTCTGTCCAGATTTTATGTGAAGACATTCCCTTTTGTACCACAGGCCTGAAAGCACTCTAAATATAGAATTGCAAATTCCACAAAAAGAGTGTTTAAAACGGCTCTATCCAAAGAAAGGTGAAACTCTGTAAGCTGAATGCGCACATCACAGAGTAGCTTCAGAGAACAATTATGTCTAGTTTCTCTGTGAAGATATTTTCTCTTCTACATAGGCCTGAAACCGCTCTAAATATTCACTTGGAAATTCTACAAAAAGACTATTTCAACACTCTTCTATCAAAAGGAAGGTTGAACTCTGAGAGTTCAATGCACACATCACAAAGAAGTTTCTGGGGATTCTTCTGTCAAGGTTTCTATGAAGAAATCCCGTTTCCAATGAAGGCCTCAAAAAAGTCCAAATATTTACTTGCAGATTCTACAAAAAGAGTGTTTCATAACTGGTCTATCAAAAGAAAGGTTAAACTCAGTGAGTTGAACCCACACATCACAAAGTAGTTTCTGAGAATCATTCTGTCTAGTTTTCCTACGAAGATATTGCCTTTTCTACCATAGGCCTCAAACGGTGCTAAATATCCACCTGGAAATTCTACAAAAACTGAGTTTCAAAAGTGCTCTATTGAAAGGAAGCTTCAACTCTGTGAGTTGAAAGTACACATCACAAAGAAGTTTCTGAGAATTCTTCTGTCTAGTTGTAAATGCAGAAATCACGTTTCAAACGAAGGCCACAAAGAGGTCCAAATATCCAGCTGCAGATTCTGCAAAAAGAGGGTTTGAAAACTGCTCCATCAAGAGGAATGTTCAACTCTGTGCGTTGAATGCAAATATCACAAATAACTTTCTGACAATACTTCTGTCTAGTTTTTAGGTGAAGGTATTTCCTTTCCTACTGTAGGCCTCAAAACGCTCTAAATATACACTTGCAAATTCCACAAAAAGAGTGTTTCAAAACTGCTCTATCAAAGGAAAGTTTAAACTCTGTCAGCTGAATGCAAGCATCACAAAGCAGCTTCGGAGAATGAATCTGCCTACTTTTTCTGTGAAGATATTTCTTTTTCCGCCATAGACCTCAAACCGCTGTAAAAATCCACTTGGAAATTCTACAAAAAGAGTATTTCAAAACTCTTCTATCGAAAGGAAGTCTCAACTCCATGAGATAAATGCACATATCACAAATAATTTTCTGAGGATTCTTCTTTCAAATTTTATATGAAGAAATCCCGTTTCCAAAGATGGCCTCAGAAAAGTCCCAATATACACTTGCAGATTCTACAAAAAGAGTTTTTCAAAACTGCTCTATCAAAAGAAAGGTTAAACTCTGTGAGTTGAAGGCACACATCACACAGTAGTTTCTGAGAATCATTCTGTCTAGTTTTTCTATGAAGATATTGCCTTTTCCACCATAGGCCTCAAACGGCGCTAAATATCCACTTGGAAATTCTACAAAAAGAGAGTTACAAAACTGCTCTATCGAAAGGAAGCTGCAACTCTGCGAGTTGAAAGCACACATCGCGAAGAAGTTGATGAGAATTCTTCTGTCTACTTTTGTATGAAGCAGTCACGTTTCAAACGAAGGCCACAAAGAGGTCCAAATATCCACTTGGAGATTCAACAAAAAGAGTTTTTCAAAACTGCTCCATCAAGAGGAATATTCAACTCTGAGAGTTGAAGGCAGGTATCCCAAAGTAGTTCCCGACATGCTTCTGTCTAGATTTTATGTGAAGACATTCCCTTTTGTACCACAGGCCTGAAAGCACTCTAAGTATAGAATTGCAAATTCCAAAAAAAAGAGTGTTTAAAACCGCTCTATCCAAAGAAAGGTTAAACTCTGTCAGCTGAATGCGCACATCACAGAGCAGCTTCAGAGAACAATTATGTCTAGTTTTTCCGTGAAGATAGTTTCTCTTCCACATAGGCCTGAGACCGCTCTAAATATTCACTTGGAAATTCTGCAAAAAGAATATTTCAACACTCTTCTATCAAAAGGAAGGTTGAACTCTGAGAGTTAAACGCACACATCACAGAGAAGTTTCTGAGAATTCTTCTGTCAAGGTTTATATGAAGAAACCCAGTTTCCAATGAAGGCCTCAAAAAAGTCCAAAAATTTGCTTGCAGATTCCACAAAAAGAGTGTTTCATAACTGGTCTATCAAAAGAAAGGTTAAACTCAGTGAGTTGAACCCACACATCACAAAGTAGCTTCTGAGAATCATTGTGTCTAGTTCTCCTACGAAGATATTGCCTTTTCTACCATAGGCCTCAAACGGCGCTAAATATCCACCTGGAAATTCTACCAAAACTGAGCTTCAAAAGTGCTCTATTGAAAGGAAGCTTCACCTCTGTGAGTTGAAGGTACACATCACAAAGAAGTTTCTGAGAATTCTTCTGTCTAGTTGTAAATGAAGAAATCACGTTTCAAACGAAGGCCACAAAGAGGTCCAAATATCCACTTGCAGATTCTACAAAAAGAGTGTTTCAAAACGGCTCCATCAAGAGGAATGTTCAACTCTGTGCTTTGAATGCAAATATCACAAATAAGTTTCTGACAATACTTCTGTCTAGTTTTTATGTGAAGTTATTTCCTTTCCTACTGTAGGCCTCAAAACGCTCTAAATATACACTTGCAAATTCCACAAAAAGAGTGTTTCCAAACTGCTCTATCAAAGGAAGTTTAAACTCTGTCAGCTTAATGCAAGCATCACAAAACAGCTTCGGAGAATGAATCTGCCTAGTTTTTCTGTGAAGATATTTCTTTTGCTGCCATAGACCTCAAACCGCTGTAAAAATCCACTTGGGAATTCTACAAAAAGAGTATTTCAAAACTCTTCTATCGAAAGGAAGTTTCAACTCCATGAGTTAAATGCACATATCACAAATAATTTTCTGAGGATTCTTCTTTCAAGTTTTATCTGAAGAAATCCCGTTTCCAAAGATGGCCTCAGAAAAGTCCCAATATACACTTACAGATTCTACAAAAAGAGTTTTTCAAAACTGCTCTATCAAAAGAAAGGTTAAACTCTGTGAGTTGAAGGCACACATCACAAAGTAGTTTCTGAGAATCATTCTGTCTAGTTTTTCTATGAAGATATCGCCTTCTCCACCATAGGCCTCAAACGGCGCTAAATATCCACTTGGAAATTCTACAAAAAGAGAGTTACAAGACTGCTCTATCGAAAGGAAGCTTCAACTCTGCGAGTTGAAAGCACACATCACGAAGAAGTTTATGAGAATTCTTCTGTCTACTTTTGTATGAAGCAGTCACGTCTCAAACGAAGGCCACAAAGAGGTCCAAATATCCACTTGGAGATTCAACAAAAAGAGTTTTTCAAAACTGCTCCATCAAGAGGAACATTCAACTCTGAGAGTTGAAGGCAGGTATCACAAAGTAGTTTCCGACAATGCTTCTGTCTAGATTTTATGTGAAGACATTCCCTTTTGTACCACAGGCCTGAAAGCACTCTAAATATAGAATTGCAAATTCCACAAAAAGAGGGTTCAAAACCGCTCTATCCAAAGAAAGGTTAAACTCTGTCAGCTGAATGCGCACATCACAGAGCAGCTTCAGAGAACAATTATGTCTAGTTTTTCCGTGAAGATAGTTTCTCTTCTACATAGGCCTGAGACCGCTCTAAATATTCACTTGGAAATTCTGCAAAAAGAATATTTCAACACTCTTCTATCAAAAGGAAGGTTGAACTCTGAGAGTTAAACGCACACATCACAGAGAAGTTTCTGAGAATTCTTCTGTCAAGGTTTATATGAAGAAACCCCGTTTCCAATGAAGGCCTCAAAAAAGTCCAAAAATTTACTTGCAGATTCCACAGAAAGAGTGTTTCATAACTGGTCTATCAAAAGAAAGGTTAAACTCATTGAGTTGAACCCACACATCACAAAGTAGCTTCTGAGAATCATTCTGTCTAGTCCTCCTACGAAGATATTGCCTTTTCTACCGTAGGCCTCAAACGGCGCTAAATATCCACCTGGAAATTCTACAAAAACTGAGTTTCTAAGGTGCTCTATTGAAAGGAAGCTTCAACTCTGTGAGTTGAAGGTACACATCACAAAGAAGTTTCTGAGAATTCTTCTGTCTAGTTGTAAATGAAGAAATCACGTTTCCCACGAAGGCCACAAAGAGGTCCAAATATCCACTTGCAGATTCCACAAAAAGAGTGCTTCAAAACGGCTCCATCAAGAGGAATGTTCAACTCCGTGCGTTGAATGCAAATATCACAAATAAGTTCCTGACAATACTTCTGTCTAGTTTTTAGGTGAAGATATTTCCTTTCGTACTGTAGGCCTCAAAACGCTCTAAATATACACTTGCAAATTCCGCAAAAAGAGTGTTTCAAAACTGCTCTATCAAAGGAAGTTTAAACTCTGTCAGCTGAATGCAAGCATCACAAAACAGCTTCGGAGAATGAATCTGCCCAGTTTTTCTGTGAAGATATTTCTTTTGCTGCCATAGACCTCACACCGCTGTAAAAATCCACTTGGAAATTCTACAAAAAGAGTATTTCAAATCCTTTCTATCGAAAAGAAGTTTCAAATCCATGAGTTAAATGCACATATCACAAATAATTTTCTGAGGATTCTTCTTTCAAGTTTTATATGAAGAAATCCCGTTTCCAAAGATGGCCTCAGAAAAGTCCCAATATACACTTGCAGATTCTACAAAAAGAGTTTTTCAAAACTGCTCTATCAAAAGAAAGGTTAAACTCTGTGAGTTGAAGGCACACATTACAAAGTAGTTTCTGAGAATCATTCTGTCTAGTTTTTCTATGAGGAGATTGCCTTTTCCACCATAGGCCTCAAACGGCGCTAAATATCTACTTGGAAATTCTACAAAAAGAGAGTTACAAAACTGCTCTATCGAAAGGAAGCTTCAACGCTGCGAGTTGAAAGCACACATCACGAAGAAGTTTATGAGAATTCTTCTGTCTAGTTTTCTATGAAGAAGTCACGTTTCAAACGAAGGCCACAAAGAGGTCCAAATATACACTTGGAGATTCAACAAAAAGAGTTTTTCAAAACTGCTCCATCAAGAGGAATATTCAACTCTGAGAGTTGAAGGCAGGTATCACAAAGTAGTTTCCGACAATGCTTCTGTCTAGATTTTATGTGAGGACATTCCCTTTTGTACCACAGGCCTGAAAGCACTCTAAATATAGAATTGCAAATTCCACAAAAAGAGTGTTTAAAACCGCTCGATCCAAAGAAAGGTTAAACTCTGTAAGCTGAATGCGGACATCACAAAGTAGCTTCAGAGAACAATTATGTCTAGTTTTTCTGTGAAGATATTTTCTCTTCTACTTAGGCCTGAAACCGCTCTAAATATTCACTTGGAAATTCTATAAAAAGAATATTTCAACCCTCTTCTATCAAAAGGAAGGTTGAACTCTGAGAGTTAAATGCACACATCACAGAGAAGTTTCTGGGAATTCTTCTGTCAAGGTTTATATGGGGAGATCCCGTTTCCAATGAAGGCCTCAAAAAAGTCCAAATGTTTACTTGCAGATTCTACAAAAAGAGTGTTTCATAACTGGTCTATCAAAAGAAAGGTTAAACTCCGTGAGTTGAACGCACACATCACAAAGTTGTTTCTGAGAATCATTCTGTCTAGTTTTCCTACGAAGATATTGCCTTTTCTACCTTAGGCCTCAAACGGCGCTAAATATCCACCTGGAAATTCTACAAAAACTGAGTTTCAAAAGTGCTCTATTGAAAGGAAGCTTCAACTCTGTGAGTTGAAGGTACACATCACAAAGAAGTTTCTGAGAATTCTTCTGTCTAGTTGTCAATGAAGAAATCACGTTTCACACGAAGGCCAAAAAGAGGTCCAAATATCCACTTGCAGATTCTACAAAAAGAGTGTTTCAAAACGGCTCCATCAAGAGGAATGTTCAACTCTGTGCGTTGAATGCAAATATCACAAATAAGTTTCAGACAATACTTCTGTCTAGTTTTTATGTGAGGATATTTCCTTTCCTACTGTAGGCCTCAAAACGCTCTAAAGAGACACTTGCAAATTCCACAAAAAGAGGGTTTCAAAACTGCTCTATCAAAGGAAGTTTAAACTCTGTCAGCTGAATGCAAGCATCACAAAACAGCTTCGGAGAATGAATCTGCCTAGTTTTTCTGTGAAGATATTTCTTTTTCTGCCATAGACCTCAAACCGCTGTGAAAATCCACTTGGAAATCCTACAAAAAGAGTATGTCAAAACTCTTCTAGCGAAAGGAAGTTTCAACTCCATGAGTTAAATGCACATACCACAAATAATTTTCTGAGGATTCTTCTTTCAAGTTTTATATGAAGAAATCCCGTTTCCAAAGATGGCCTCAGAAAAGTCCCAATATACACTTGCAGATCCTACAAAAAGAGTTTTTCAAAACTGCTCTACCAAAAGGAAGGTTAAACTCTGTGAGTTGAAGGCACACATCACAAAGTAGTTTCTGAGAATCATTCTGTCTAGTTTTTCTATGAAGATATTGCCTTTTCCACCATAGGCCTCAAACGGCGCTAAGTATCCACTTGGAAATTCTGCAAAAAGAGAGTTACTAAACTGCTCTATCGAAAGGAAGCTTCAACGCTGCGAGTTGAAAGCACACATCACGAAGAAGTTTATGAGAATTCTTCTGTCTACTTTTGTATGAAGCAGTCACGTTTCAAACGAAGGCCACAAAGAGGTCCAAATATCCACTTGGAGATTCAACAAAAAGAGTTTCTCAAAACTGCTCCATCAAGAGGAATATTCAACTCTGAGAGTTGAAGGCAGGTATCCCAAAGTAGTTCCCGACAATGCTTCTGTCTAGATTTTATGTGAAGACATTCCCTTTTGTACCACAGGCCTGAAAGCACTCTAAATACAGAATTGCAAATTCCACAAAAAGAGGGTTTAAAACCGCTCTATCCTAAGAAAGGTTAAACTCTGTCAGCTGAATGCGCACCTCACAGAGTAGCTTCAGAGAACAATTATGTCTAGTTTTTCCGTGAAGATAGTTTCTCTTCCACATAGGCCTGAGACCGCTCTAAATATTCACTTGGAAATTCTGCAAAAAGAATATTTCAACACTCTTCTATCAAAAGGAAGGTTGAACTCTGAGAGTTAAACGCACACATCACAGAGAAGTTTCTGAGAATTCTTCTGTCAAGGTTTATATGAAGAAACCCCGTTTCCAATGAAGGCCTCAAAAAAGTCAAAATATTTACTTGCAGATCCTACAAAAAGAGTGTTTCATAACTGGTCTATCAAAAGAAAGGTTAAACTCAGTGAGTTGAACCCACACATCACAAAGTAGCTTCTGAGAAACATTGTGTCTAGTTCTCCTACGAAGATATTGCCTTTTCTACCATAGGCCTCAAACGGCGCTAAATATCCACCTGGAAATTCTACCAAAACTGAGCTTCAAAAGTGCTCTATTGAAAGGAAGCTTCACCTCTGTGAGTTGAAGGTACACATCACAAAGAAGTTTCTGAGAATTCTTCTGTCTAGTTGTAAATGAAGAAATCACGTTTCAAACGATGGCCACAAAGAGGTCCAAATATCCACCTGCAGATTCTGCAAAAAGAGGGTATCAAAACTGCTCCATCAAGAGGAATGTTCAACTCTGTGTTTTGAATGCAAATATCACATGTAAGTTTCTGACAATATTTCTGTCTAGTTTTTAGGTGAAGATATTTCCTTTCCTACTGTAGGCCTCAAAACGCTCTAAATATACACTTGCAAATTCCACAAAAAGAGTGTTTCCAAACTGCTGTATCAAAGGAAGTTTAAACTCTGTCAGCTGAATGCAAGCATCAGAAAACAGCTTCGGAGAATGAATCTGCCTAGTTTTTCTGTGAAGATATTTCTTTTTCTGCCATAGACCTCAAACCGCTGTAAAAATCCACTTGGAAATTCTACAAAAAGAGTATTTCAAAGCTCTTCTATCGAAAGGAAGTTTCAGCTCCATGAGCTAAATGCACATATCACAAATAATTTTCTGAGGATTCTTCTTTCAAGTTTTATATGAAGAAATCCCGTTTCCAAAGATGGCCTCAGAAAAGTCCCAATATACACTTGCAGATTCTACAAAAAGAGTTTTTCAAAACTGCTCTATCAAAAGGAAGATTAAACTCTGTGAGTTGAAGGCACACATCACAGAGTAATTTCTGAGAATCATTCTGTCTAGTTTTTCTATGTAGATATCGCCTTCTCCACCATAGGCCTCAAGCGGCGCTAAATATCCACTTGGAAATTCTACAAAAAGAGAGTTACAAGACTGCTCTATCGAAAGGA
The DNA here is from genome assembly GCF_000001405.40 of Homo sapiens. NCBI lineage: Eukaryota > Metazoa > Chordata > Mammalia > Primates > Hominidae > Homo > Homo sapiens. The sequence continues at coordinate 90,900,112 of NC_000003.12, read as the reverse complement.
AGCTTCAACTCTGCGAGTTGAAAGCACACATCACGAAGAAGTTTATGAGAATTCTTCTGTCTACTTTTGTATGAAGCAGTCACGTTTCAAACGAAGGCCACAAAGAGGTCCAAATATCCACTTGGAGATTCAACAAAAGAGTTTTACAAAACTTCTCCATCAAGAGGAATATTCAACTCTGAGAGTTGAAGGCAGGTATCACAAAGTAGTTCCCGACAATGCTTCTGTCTAGATTTTATGTGAAGACATTCCCTTTTGTATCACAGGCCTGAAAGCAATCTAAATATAGAATTGCAAATTCCACAAAAAGAGTGTTTAAAACCGCTCGATCCAAAGAAAGGTTAATCTCTTTAAGCTGAATGCACACATCACAAAGTAGCTTCAGAGAACAATTATGTCTACTTTCTCTGTGAAGATATTTTCTCTTCTACATAGGCCTGAAACCGCTCTAAATATTCACTTGGAAACTCTAGAAAAAGAATATTTCAACACTCTTCTGTCAAAAGGAAGGTTGAACTCTGAGAGTTAAATGCTCACATCACAAAGAAGTTTCTGGGAATTCTTCTGTCAAGGTTTATATGAAGAAACCCCGTTTCCAATGAAGGCCTCAAAAAAGTCCATATATTTACTTGCAGATTCCACAAAAAGAGTGTTTCATAACTGGTCTATCAAAAGAAAGGTTAAACTCAGTGAGTTGAACCCACACATCACAAAGTAGCTTCTGAGAATCTTTCTGTCTAGTCCTCCTACGAAGATATTGCCTTTTCTACCATAGGCCTCAAACGGCGCTAAATATCCACCTGGAAATTCTTCAAAAACTGAGTTTAAAAAGTGCTCTGTTGAAAGGAAGCTTCAACTCTGTGAGTTGAAGGTACACATCACAAAGAAGTTTCTGAGAATTCTTCTGTCTAGTTGTAAATGCAGAAATCACGTTTCAAACGAAGGCCACAAAGAGGTCCAAATATCCAGCTGCAGATTCTGCAAAAAGAGGGTTTCAAATCTGCTCCATCAAGAGGAATGTTCAACTCTGTGCGTTGAATGCAAATATCACAAATAATTTTCTGACAATACTTCTGTCTAGCTTTTATGTGAAGATATTTCCTTTCCTACTGTAGGCCTCAAAACGCTCTAAATATACACTTGCAAATTCCACAAAAAGAGTGTTTCCAAACTGCTCTATCAAAAAAAGTTTAAACTCTGTCAGCTTAATGCAAGCATCACAAAACAGCTTCGGAGAATGAATCTGCCTAGTTTTTCTGTGAAGATATTTCTTTTTCTGCCATAGACCTCAAACCGCTGTAAAAATCCACTTGGAAATTCTACAAAAAGAGGATGTCAAAACTCTTCTATCGAAAGGAAGTTTCAACTCCATGAGTTAAATGCACATATCACAAATAATTTTCTGAGGATTCTTCTTTCAAGTTTTATATGAAGAAATCCCGTTTCCAAAGATGGCCTCAGAAAAGTCCCAATAAACACTTGCAGATTCTACAAAAAGAGTTTTCCAAAACTGCTCTATCAAAAGAAAGGTTAAACTCTGTGAGTTGAAGGCACACATCACAAAGTAGTTTCTGAGAATCATTCTGTCTAGTTTTTCTATGAAGATATTGCCTTTTCCACGATAGGCCTCAAACGGCGCTAAATATCCACTTGGAAATTCTACAAAAAGAGAGTTACAAGACTGCTCTATCGAAAGGAAGCTTCAACTCTGCGAGTTGAAAGCACACATCACGAAGAAGTTTATGAGAATTCTTCTGTCTACTTTTGTATGAAGCAGTCACGTTTCAAACGAAGGCCACAAAGAGGTCCAAATATCCACTTGGAGATTCAACAAAAAGAGTTTTTCAAAACTGCTCCGTCAAGAGGAATATTCAACTCTGAGAGTTGAAGGCAGGTATCACAAAGTAGTTCCCGGTAATGCTTCTGTCTAGATTTTATGTGAAGACATTCCCTTTTGTACCACAGGCCTGAAAGCACTCTAAGTATAGAATTGCAAATTCCAAAAAAAAGACTGTTTAAAACCGCTGTATCCAAAGAAAGGTTAAACTCTGTCAGCTGAATGCGCACATCACAGAGCAGCTTCAGAGAACAATTATGTCTAGTTTTTCTGTGAAGATAGTTTCTCTTATACATAGGCCTGAAACTGCTCTAAATATTCACTTGGAAATTCTACAAAAAGAATATTTCAACACTCTTCTATCAAAAGGAAGGTTGAACTCTGAGAGTTAAACGCACACATCACAGAGAAGTTTCTGAGAATTCTTCTGTCAAGGTTTATATGAGGAAACCCCGTTTCCAATGAAGGCCTCAAAAAAGTCCAAATATTTACTTGCAGATTCCAGAAAAAGAGTGTTTCATAACTGGTCTATCAAAAGAAAGTTTAAACTCAGTGAGTTGAACCCACAAATCACAAGGTAGCTTCTGAGAATCATTCTGTCTAGTTCTCCTACGAAGATATTGCCTTTTCTACCATAGGCCTCAAACGGCGCTAAATATCCACCTGGAAATTCTACCAAAACTGAGCTTCAAAAGTGCTCTATTGAAAGGAAGCTTCAACTCTGTGAGTTGAAGGTACACATCACAAAGAAGTTTCTGAGAATTCTTCTGTCTAGTTGTAAATGAAGAAATCACGTTTCAAAAGAAGGCCACAAAGAGGTCCAAATATCCACCTGCAGATTCTACAAAAAGAGTGTTTCAAAACTGCTCCATCAAGAGGAATGTTCAACTCTGTGCGTTGAATGCAAATATCACAAGTAAGTTTCCGAGAATACTTCTGTGTAGTTTTTATGTGAAGATATTTCCTTTCCTACTGTAGGCCTCAAAACGCTCTAAATATACACTTGCAAATTCCACAAAAAGAGTGTTTCCAAACTGCTCTATCAAAGGAAGTTTAAACTCTGTCCGCTTAATGCAAGCATCACAAAACAGCTTCGGAGAATGAATCTGCCTTGTTTTTCTGTGAAGATATTTCTTTTTCTGCCATAGACCTCAAACCGCTGTAAAAATCCACTTGGAAATTCTACAAAAAGAGGATGTCAAAACTCTTCTATCGAAAGGAAGTTTCAATTCCATGAGTTAAATGCACATATCACAAATAATTCTCTGAGGATTCTTCTTTCAAGTTTTATATGAAGAAATCCCGTTTCCAAAGATAGCCTCAGAAAAGTCCCAATATACACTTGCAGATTCTACAAAAAGAGTTTTTCAAAACTGCTCTATCAAAAGAAAGGTTAAACTCTGTGAGTTGAAGGCACACATCACAAAGTAGTTTCTGAGAATGATTCGGTCTAGTTTTTCTATGAAGATATTGCCTTTTCCACCATGGGCCTCAAAAGGCGCTAAATATCCACCGGAAAATTCTACAAAAAGAGAGTTAGAAAACTGCTCTATCGAAAGGAAGCTTCAACGCTGCCAGTTGAAAGCACACATCACGAAGAAGTTTATGAGAATTCTTCTGTCCAGTTTTGTATGAAGCAGTCACGTTTCAAACGAAGGCCACAAAGAGGTCCAAATATCCACTTGGAGATTCAACAAAAAGAGTTTTTCAAAACTGCTCCATCAAGAGGAATATTCAACTCTGAGAGTTGAAGGCAGGTATCACAAAATAGTTTCCGACAATGCTTCTGTTTTGATTTTTTGTGAAGACATTCCCTTTTGTACCACAGGCCTGAAAGCACTCTAAATATAGAACTGCAAATTCCACAAAAGGAGTGTTTAAAACCGCTCTATCCAAAGAAAGGTTAAACTCTGTCAGCTGAATGCGCACATCACAGAGTAGCTTCAGAGAACAATTATGTCTAGTTTTTCCGTGAAGATAGTTTCTCTTCTACATAGGCCTGAGACAGCTCTTAATATTCACTTGGAAATTCTACAAAAAGAATATTTCAACACTCTTCTATCAAAAGGAAGGTTGAACTCTGAGAGTTAAACGCACACATCACAGAGAAGTGTCTGAGAATTCTTCTGTCAAGGTTTATATGAAGAAACCCCGTTTCCAATGAAGGCCTCAAAAAAGTCCAAATATTTACTTGCAGATTCCACAGAAAGAGTGTTTCATAACTGGTCTATCAAAAGAAAGGTTAAACTCAGTGAGTTCAACCCACACATCACAAAGTAGCTTCTGAGAATCCTTCTGTCTAGTTTTCCTACGAAGATATTGCCTTTTCTACCATAGGCCTCAAACGGCGCTAAATATCCACCTGGAAATTCTACAAAAACTGAGTTTCAAAAGTGCTCTATTGAAAGGAAGCTTCAACTCTGTGAGTTGAAGGTACACATCACAAAGAAGTTTCTGTGAATTCTTCTGTCTAGTTGTAAATGCAGAAATCACGTTTCAAACGAAGGCCACAAAGAGGTCCAAATATCCAGCTGCAGATTCTGCAAAAAGAGGGTTTCAAATCTGCTCCATCAAGAGGAATGTTCAACTCTGTGCGTTGAATGCAAATATCACAAATAAGTTTCTGACAATACTTCTGTCTAGTTTTTATGTGAAGATATTTCCTTTCCTAATGTAGGCCTCAAAACGCTCTAAATATACACTTGCAAATTCCACAAAAAGAGTGTTTCCAAACTGCTCTATCAAAGGAAGTTTAAACTCTGTCAGCTTAATGCAAGCATCACAAAACAGCTTCGGAGAATGAATCTGCCTAGTTTTTCTGTGAAGATATTTCTTTTTCTGCCATAGACCTCAAACCGCTGTAAAAATCCACTTGGAAATTCTACAAAAAGAGTATTTCAAAACTCTTCTATCGAAAGGAAGTCTCAACTCCATGAGTTAAATGCACATATCACAAATAATTTTCTGAGGATTCTTCTTTCAAGTTTTATATGAAGAAATCCCGTTTCCAAAGATGGCCTCAGAAAAGTCCCAATATACACTTGCAGATTCTACAAAAAGAGTTTTTCAAAACTGCTCTACCAAGAGGAAGGTTAAACTCTGTGAGTTGAAGGCACACATCACAAAGTAGTTTCTGAGAATCATTCTGTCTAGTTTTTCTATGAAGATATTGCCTTTTCCACCATAGGCCTCAAACGGCGCTAAATATCCACTTGGAAATTCTACAAAAAGAGAGTTACTAAACTGCTCTATCGAAAGGAAGCTTCAACGCTGCGAGTTGAAAGCACACATCACCAAGAAGTTTATGAGAATTCTTCTGTCTACTTTTGTATGAAGCAGTCACGTTTCAAACGAAGGCCACAAAGAGGACCAAATATCCACTTGGAGATTCAACAAAAAGTGTTTTTCAAAACTGCTCCTTCAAGAGGAATATTCAACTCTGAGAGTTGAAGCCATGTATCACAAAGTAGTTACCGACAATGCTTCTGTCTAGATTTTATGTGAAGACATTCCCTTTTGTACCACAGGCCTGAAAGCACTCTAAATATAGAATTGCAAATTCCACAAAAAGAGTGTTGAAAACCGCTCTATCCAAAGAAAGGTTAAACTCTGTCAGCTGAATGCGCACATCACAGAGCAGCTTCAGAGAACAGTTATGTCTAGTTTTTCCGTGAAGATAGTTTCTCTTCCACATAGGCCTGAGACCGCTCTAAATATTCACTTGGAAATTCTGCAAAAAGAATATTTCAACACTCTTCTATGAAAAGGAAGGTTGAACTCTGAGAGTTAAACGCACACATCACAGAGAAGTTTCTGAGAATTCTTCTGTCAAGGTTTATATGAAGAAACCCCGTTTCCAATGAAGGCCTCAAAAAAGTCCAAAAATTTACTTGCAGATTCCACAAAAAGAGTGTTTCATAACTGGTCTATCAAAAGAAAGGTTAAACTCAGTGATTTAAACCCACACATCACAAAGTAGCTTCTGAGAATCATTGTGTCTAGTTCTCCTACGAAGATATTGCCTTTTCTATCATAGGCCTCAAACGGCGCTAAATATCCACCTGGAAATTCTACCAAAACTGAGCTTCAAAAGTGCTCTATTGAAAGGAAGCTTCACCTCTGTGAGTTGAAGGTACACATCACAAAGAAGTTTCTGAGAATTCTTCTGTCTAGTTGTAAATGAAGCAATCACGTTTCAAACGAAGGCCACAAAGAGGTCCAAATATCCACCTGCAGATTCTGCAAAAAGAGTGTTTCAAAACTGCTCCATCAAGAGGAATGTTCAACTCTGTGCGTTGAATGCAAATATCACAAGTAATTTCTGACAATACTTCTGTGTAGTTTTTATGTGAAGATATTTCCTTTCCTACTGTAGGCCTCAAAACGCTCTAAATATACACTTGCAAATTCCACAAAAAGAGTGTTTCCAAACTGCTCTCTCAAAGGAAGTTTAAACTCTGTCCGCCTAATGCAAGCATCACAAAACAGCTTCGGAGAATGAATCTGCCTAGTTTTTCTGTGAAGATATTTCTTTTTCTGCCATAGACCTCAAACCGCTGTAAAAATCCACTTGGAAATTCTACAAAAAGGGTATTTCAAAGCTCTTCTATCGAAAGGAAGTTTCAGCTCCATGAGTTAAATGCACATATCACAAATAATTTTCTGAGGATTCTTCTTTCAAGTTTTATATGAAGCAATCCCGTTTCCAAAGATGGCCTCAGAAAAGTCCCAATATACACTTGCAGATTCTACAAAAAGAGTTTTTCAAAACTGCTCTATCAAAAGAAAGTTTAAACTCTGTGAGGTGAAGGCACACATCACAAAGTAGTTTCTGAGAATCATTCTGTCTAGTTTTTCTATGAAGATATTGCCTTTTCCACCATTGGCCTCAAACGGCGCTAAATATCCACTTGGAAATTCTACAAAAAGAGAGTTACAGAACTGCTCTATCGAAAGGAAGCTTCAACGCTGCGAGTTGAAAGCACACATCACGAAGAAGTTGATGTGAATTCTTCTGTCTACTTTTGTATGAAGAAGTCATGTCTCAAACGAAGGCCACAAAGAGGTCCAAATATCCACTTGGAGATTCAACAAAAAGAGTTTTTCAAAACTGCTCCATCAAGAGGAACATTCAACTCTGAGAGTTGAAGGCAGGTATCACAAAGTAGTTTCCGACAATGCTTCTGTCTTGATTTTAAGTGAGGACATTCCCTTTTGTACCACAGGCCTGAAAGCACTCTAAATATAGAATTGCAAATTCCACAAAAAGAGTGTTTAAAACCGCTCGATCCAAAGAAAGGTTAAACTCTGTAAGCTGAATGCGCACATCACAAAGTAGCTTCAGAGAACAATTATGTCTAGTTTTTCTGTGACGATATTTTCTCTTCTACTTAGGCCTGAAACCGCTCTAAATATTCACTTGGAAATTCTACAAAAAGAAAATTTCAACCCTCTTCTATCAAAAGGAAGGTTGAACTCTGAGAGTTAAATGCACACATCACAGAGAAGTTTCTGGGAATTCTTCTGTCAAGGTTTATATGAAGAAACCCCGTTTCCAATGAAGACCTCAAAAAAATCCAAATATTTACTTGCCGATTCCACAGAAAGAGTGTTTCATAACTGGTCTATCAAAAGAAAGGTTAAACTCAGTGAGTTGAACCCACTCATCACAAAGTAGCTTCTGAGAATCATTCTGTCTAGTTCTCCTACGAAGATATTGCCTTTTCTACCATAGGCCTCAAACGGCGCTAAATATCCACCTGGAAATTCTACCAAAACTGAGTTTCAAAAGTGCTCTATTGAAAGGAAGCTTCACCTCTGTGGGTTGAAGGTACACATCACAAAGAAGTTTCTGAGAATTCTTCTGTCTAGTTGTAAATGAACAAATCACGTTTCACACGAAGGCCACAAAGAGGTCCAAATATCCACTTGAAGATTCTACAAAAAGAGTGTTTCAAAACGGCTCCATCAAGAGGAATGTTCAACTCTGTGCGTTGAATGCAAATATCACAAATAAGTTTCTGACAATACTTCCGTCTAGTTTTTATGTGAAGATATTTCCTTTCCTACTGTCGGCCTCAAAACGCTCTAAATATACACTTGCAAATTCCACAAAAAGAGGGTTTCAAAACTGCTCTATCAAAGGAAGTTTAAACTCTGTAAGCTGAATGCAAGCATCACAAAACAGCTTCGGAGAATGAATCTGCCTATTTTTTCTGTGAAGATATTTCTTTTTCTGCCATAGACCTCAAAGCGCTGTAAAAATCCACTTGGAAATTCTACAAAAAGAGTATTTCGAAACTATTCTATCGAAAGGAAGTCTCAACTCCATGAGTTAAATGCACATATCACAAATAATTTTCTGAGGATTCTTCTTTCAAGTTTTATATGAAGAAATCCCGTTTCCAAAGATGGCCTCAGAAAAGTCCCAATATACACTTGCAGATTCTACAAAAAGAGTTTTTCAAAACTGCTCTACCAAAAGGAAGGTTAAACTCTGTGAGTTGAAGGCACACATCACAGAGTAGTTTCTGAGAATCATTCTGTCTAATTTTTCTATGAAGATATTGCCTTTTCCACCGTAGGCCTCAAACGGCGCTAAATATCCACTTGGAAATTCTACAAAAAGAGAGTTACTAAACTGCTCTATCGAAAGGAAGCTTCAACGCTGCGAGTTGAAAGCACACATCACGAAGAAGTTTATGAGAATTCTTCTGTCTACTTTTGTATGAAGCAGTCACCGTTTCAAACGAAGGCCACAAAGAGGTCCAAATATCCACTTGGAGATTCAACAAAAAGAGTTTTTCAAAACTGCTCCGTCAAGAGGAATATTCAACTCTGAGAGTTGAAGGCAGGTATCCCAAAGTAGTTCCCGACAATGCTTCTGTCTAGATTTTATGTGAAGACATTCCCTTTTGTACCAGAGGCCTGAAAGCACTCTAAATATAGAATTGCAAATTCCACAAAAAGAGTGTTGAAAACCGCTCTATCCAAAGAAAGGTTAAACTCTGTCAGCTGAATGCGCACATCACAGAGCAGCTTCAGAGAACAGTTATGTCTAGTTTTTCTGTGAAGATAGTTTCTCTTCTACATAGGCCTGAAACCGCTCTAAATATTCACTTGGAAATTCTACAAAAAGAATATTTCAACACTCTTCTATCAAAAGGAAGGTTGAACTCTGAGAGTTAAACGCACACATCACAGAGAAGTTTCTGAGAATTCTTCTGTCAAGGTTTATATGAAGAAACCCCGTTTCCAATGAAGGCCTCAAAAAAGTCCAAATATTTACTTGCCGATTCCACAGAAAGAGTGTTTCATAACTGGTCTATCAAAAGAAAGGTTAAACTCAGTGACTTGAACCCACACATCACAAAGTAGCTTCTGAGAATCATTCTGTCTAGTTTTTCTACGAAGATATTGCCTTTTCCACCATAGGCCTCAAACGGCGCTAAATATCCACCTGGAAATTCTACAGAAACTGAGTTTCAAAAGTGCTCTATTGAAAGGAAGCTTCAACTCTGTGAGTTGAAAGTACACATCACAAAGAAGTTTCTGAGAATTCTTCTGTCTAGTTGTAAATGAAGAAATCACGTTTCAAACGAAGGCCACAAAGAGGTCCAAATATCCACCTGCAGATTCTACAAAAAGAGTGTTTCCAAACTGCTCCATCAAGAGGATTGTTCAACTCGGTGCGTTGAATGCAAATATCACAAATAAGTTTCTGACAATACTTCTGTCTAGTTTTTATGTGAAGATATTTCCTTTCCTACTGTAGGCCTCAAAACGCTCTAAATAAACACTTGCAAACTCCACAAAAAGAGTGTTTCCAAACTGCTCTATCAAAGGAAGTTTAAACTCTGTCAGCTGAATGCAAGCATCACAAAACAGCTTCGGAGAATGAATCTGCCTAGTTTTTCTGTGAAGATATTTCTTTTTCTGCCATAGACCTCACACCGCTGTAAAAATCCACTTGGAAATTCTACAAAAAGAGTATTTCAAAACTCTTCTATCGAAAGGAAGTTTCAACTCCATGAGTTAAATGCACATATCACAAATAATTTTCTGAGGATTCTTCTTTGAAGTTTTATATGAAGAAATCCCGTTTCCAAAGATGGCCTCAGATAAGTCCCAATATACACTTGCAGATTCTACAGAAAGAGTTTTTCAAAACTGCTCAATCAAAAGAAAGGTTAAACTCTGTGAGTTGAAGGCACACATCACAAAGTAGTTTCTGAGAATCATTCTGTCTAGTTTTTCTATGAAGATATTGCCTTTTCCACCATAGGCCTCAAACGGCGCTAAATATCCACTTGGAAATTCTACAAAAAGAGAGTTACAAAACTGCTCTATCGAAAGGAAGCTGCAACTCTGCGAGTTGAAAGCACACATCGCGAAGAAGGTGATGAGAATACTTCTGTCTACTTTTGTATGAAGCAGTCACGTTTCAAACGAAGGCCACAAAGAGGTCCAAATATCCACTTGGAGATTCAACAAAAAGAGTTTTTCAAAACTGCTCCATCAAGAGGAATATTCAACTCTGAGAGTTGAAGGCAGGTATCACAAAGTAGTTCCCGACAATGCTTCTGTCTAGATTTTATGTGAAGACATTCCCTTTTGTACCAGAGGCCTGAAAGCACTCTAAATATAGAATTGCAAATTCCACAAAAAGAGGGTTTAAAACCGCTCTATCCAAAGAAAGGTTAAACTCTGTCAGCTGAATGCGCACATCACAGAGTAGCTTCAGAGAACAATTATGTCTAGTTTTTCCGTGAAGATAGTTTCTCTTCTACATAGGCCTGAGACCGCTCTAAATATTCACTTGGAAATTCTGCAAAAAGAATATTTCAACACTCTTCTATCAAAAGGAAGGTTGAACTCTGAGAGTTAAACGCACACATCACAGAGAAGTTTCTGAGAATTCTTCTGTCAAGGTTTATATGAAGAAACCCCGTTTCCAATGAAGGCCTCAAAAAAGTCCAAAAATTTACTTGCAGATTCCACAAAAAGAGTGTTTCATAACTGGTCTATCAAAAGAAAGGTTAAACTCAGTGAGGTGAACCCACACATCACAAAGTAGCTTCTGAGAATCATTCTGTCTAGTTCTCCTACGAAGATATTGCCTTTTCTACCATAGGCCTCAAACGGCGCTAAATATCCACCTGGAAATTCTACCAAAACTGAGTTTCAAAAGTGCTCTAGTCAAAGGAAGCTTCACCTCTGTGAGTTGAAGGTACACATCACAAAGCAGTTTCTGAGAATTCTTCTGTCTAGTTGTAAATGAAGAAATCACGTTTCACACGAAGGCCACAAAGAGGTCCAAATATCCACTTGCAGATTCTACAAAAAGAGTGTTTCAAAACGGCTCCATCAAGAGGAATGTTCAACTCTGTGCGTTGAATGCAAATATCACAAATAAGTTTCTGACAATACTTCTGTCTAGTTTTTATGTGAAGATATTTCCTTTCCTACTGTAGGCCTCAAAACGCTCTAAAGAGACACTTGCAAATTCCACAAAAAGAGGGTTTCAAAACTGCTCTATCAAAGGAAGTTTAAACTCTGTAAGCTGAATGCAAGCATCACAAAACAGCTTCGGAGAATGAATCTGCCTAGTTTTTCTGTGAAGATATTTCTTTTTCTGCCATAGACCTCAAACCGCTGTGAAAATCCACTTGGAAATTCTACAAAAAGAGTATTTCAAAACTCTTGTGTCGAAAGGAAGTTTCAACTAAATGAGTTAAATGCACATATCACAAATAATTTTCTGAGGATTCTTCTTTGAAGTTTTATATGAAGAAATCCCGTTTCCAAAGATGGCCTCAGATAAGCCCCAATATACACTTGCAGATTCTACAAAAAGAGCTTTTCAAAACTGCTCTACCAAAAGAAAGGTTAAACTCTGTGAGTTGAAGGCACACATGACAAAGCAGTTTCTGAGAATCATTCTGTCTAGTTTTTCTATGAAGATATTGCCTTTTCCACGATAGACCTCAAACGGCGCTAAATATCCTCTTGGAAATTCTACAAAAAGAGAGTTACAAAACTGCTCTATCGAAAGGAAGCTGCAACTCTGCGAGTTGAAAGCACACATCGCGAAGAAGTTGATGTGAATTCTTCTGTCTAGTTTTGTAGGAAGAAGTCACGTCTCAAACGAAGGCCACAAAGAGGTCCAAATATCCACTTGGAGATTCCACAAAAAGCGTTTTTCAAAACTGCTCCGTCAAGAGGAATATTCAACTCTGAAAGTTGAAGGCAGGTATCACAAAGTAGTTTCCGACAACGCTTCTGTCTAGATTTTATGTGAAGACATTCCCTTTTGTATCACAGGCCTGAAAGCACTCTAAATATAGAATTGCAAATTCCACAAAAAGAGAGTTTAAAACCGCTCTATCCAAAGAAAGGTTAAACTCTGTCAGCTGAAGGCGCCCATCACAAAGTAGCTTCAGAGAACAATTATGTCTAGTTTTTCTGTGAAGATAGTTTCTCTTCTACATAGGCTTAAAACCGCTCTAGATATTCACTTGGAAATTTTACAAAAGGAATATTTCAACACTCTTCTATCAAAAAGAAGGTTGAACTCTGAGAGTTAAAGGCACACATCACAGTGAAGTTTCTGAGAATTCTTCTGTCAGGGTTTATATGAAGAAACCCCGTTTCCAATGAAGGCCTCAAAAAAGTCCAAATATTTACTTGCAGATTCCACAGAAAGAGTGTTTCATAACTGGTCTATCAAAAGAAAGGTTAAACTCAGTGAGTTGAACCCACACATCACAAAGTAGCTTCTGAGAATCATTCTGTTTAGTTTTCCTACGAAGATATTGCCTTTTCTACCATAGGCCTCAAACGGCGATAAATATCCACCTGGAAATTCTACCAAAACTGAGTTTCAAAAGTGCTCTATTGAAGGGAAGCTTCACCTCTGTGAGTTGAAGGTACACATCACAAAGAAGTTTCTGAGAATTCTTCTGTCTAGTTGTAAATGCAGAAATCTCGTTTCAAACGAAGGCCACAAAGAGGTCCAAATATCCAGCTGCAGATTCTGCAAATTAGGGTTTGAAAACTGCTCCATCAAGAGGAATGTTCAACTCTGTGCGTTGAATGCAAATATCACAAATAAGTTTCTGACAATACTTCTGTCTAGTTTTTATGTGAAGATATTTCCTTTCCTACTGTAGGCCTCAAAACGCTCTAAATATACACTTGCAAATTCCACATAAAGAGTGTTTCCAAACTGCTCTAGCAAAGGAAGTTTAAACTCTGTCAGCTTAATGCAAGCATCACAAAACAGCTTCGGAGAATGAATCTGCCTAGTTTTTCTGTGAAGATATTTCTTTTTCCGCCATAGACCTCAAACCGCTGTAAAAATCCACTTGGAAATTCTACAAAAAGAGTATTTCAAAACGCTTCTATCGAAAGGAAGTTTCAACTCCATGAGTTAAATGCACATATCTCAAATAATTTTCTGAGGATTCTTCCTTCAAGTTTTATACGAAGAAATCCCGTTTCCAAAGATGGCCTCAGAAAATTCCCAATATACACTTGCAGATTCAACAAAAAGAGTTTTTCAAAAGTGCTCTATCAAAAGAAAGGTGAAACTCTGTGAGTTGAAGGCACACATCACAATGTAGTTTCTGAGAATCATTCTGTCTAGTTTTTCTATGAAGATATTGCCTTTTCCACAATAGGCCTCAAACGGCGCTAAATATCCACTTGGAAATTCTACAAAAAGAGAGTTACAAGACTGCTCTATCGAAAGGAAGCTTCAACTCTGTGAGTTGCAAGCACACATCACGAAGAAGTTTATGAGAATTCTTCTGTCTAGTTTTCTATGAAGAAGTCACGTTTCAAACGAAGGCCACAAAGAGGTCCAAATATCCACTTGGAGATTCAACAAAAAGAGTTTTTCAAAACTGCTCCATCAAGAGGAATATTCAACTCTGAGAGTTGAAGGCAGGTATCACAAAGTAGTTCCCGACAATGCTTCTGTATAGATTTTATGTGAAGACATTCCCTTTTGTACCACAGGCCTGAAAGCACTCTAAATATAGAATTGCAATTTCCACAAAAAGAGTGTATAAAACCCCTCAATCCAAAGAAAGGTTAAACTGTGTAAGCTGAATGCGCACATCACAAAGTAGCTTCAGAGAACAATTATGTCTAGTTTTTCTGTGAAGATAGTTTCTCTTCTACATAGGCTTAAAACCGCTCTAGATATTCACTTGGAAATTTTACAAAAGGAATATTTCAACACTCTTCTATCAAAAAGAAGGTTGAACTCTGAGAGTTAAAGGCACACATCACAGTGAAGTTTCTGAGAATTCTTCTGTCAAGGTTTATATGAAGAAACAACGTTTCCAATGAAGGCCTCAAAAAAGTCCAAATATTTACTTGCAGATTCTACAAAAAGAGTGTTTCATAAACTGGTCTATCAAAAGAAAGGTTAAACTCAGTGAGTTGAACCCACACATCACAAAGTAGCTTCTGAGAATCATTCTGTCTAGTCCTCCTACGAAGATATTTCCTTTTCTACCATAGGCCTCAAACGGCGCTAAATATCCACCTGGAAATTCTACAAAAACTGAGTTTCTAAGGTGCTCTATTGAAAGGAAGCTTCAACTCTCTGAGTTGAAGGTACACATCACAAAGAAGTTTCTGAGAATTCTTCTGTCTAGTTGTAAATGAAGAAATCGCGTTTCAAACGAAGGCCACAAAGAGGTCCAAATATCCACCTGCAGATTCTGCAAAAAGAGGGTTTCAAAACTGCTCCATCAAGAGGAATGTTCAACTCTGTGCGTTGAATGCAAATATCACAAATAAGTTTCTGACAATACTTCTGTCTAGCTTTTATGTGAAGATATTTCCTTTCCTAGTGTAGACCTCAAAACGCTCTAAATATACACTTGCAAATTCCACAAAAAAAGTGTTTCCAAACTGCTCTATCAAAGGAAGTTTAAACTCTGTCAGGTTAATGCAAGCATCACAAACCAGCTTCGGAGAATGAATCTGCCTAGTTTTTCTGTGAAGATATTTCTTTTGTTGCCATAGACCTCAAACCGCTGTAAAAATCCACTTGGGAATTCTACAAAAAGAGTATTTCAAAACTCTTCTATCGAAAGGAAGTTTCAACTCCATGAGTTAAATGCACATATCACAAATAATTTTCTGAGGATTCTTCTTTCAAGTTTTATATGAAGAAATCCCGTTTCCAAAGATGGCCTCAGAAAAGTCCCAATATACACTTGCAGATTCTACAAAAAGCGTTTTTCAAAACTGCTCTACCAAAAGGAAGGTTAAACTCTGTGAGTTGAAGGCACATATCACAAAGTAGTTTCTGAGAATCATTCTGTCTAGTTTTTCTATGAAGATATTGCCTTTTCCACCATTGGCCTCAAACGGCGCTAAATATCCACTTGGAAATTCTACAAAAACAGAGTTACAGAACTGCTCTATTGAAAGGAAGCTTCAACGCTGCGAGTTGAAAGCACACATCACGAAGAAGTTGATGAGAATTCTTCTGTCTAGTTTTGTATGAAGAAGTCACGTCTCAAACGAAGGCCACAAAGAGGTCCAAATATCCACTTGGAGATTCAACAAAAAGAGTTTTTCAAAACTGCTCCGTCAAGAGGAATATTCAACTCTGAGAGTTGAGGGCAGGTATCACAAAGTAGTTTCCGACAACGCTTCTGTCTAGATTTTATGTGAGGACATTCCCTTTTGTACCACAGGCCTGAAAGCACTCTAAATATAGAACTGCAAATTCCACAAAAAGAGTGTTTAAAACCGCTCTATCCAAAGAAAGGTTAAACTCTGTAAGCTGAATGCGCACATCACAAAGAAGCTTCAGAGAACAATTATGTCTAGTTTTTCCGTGAAGATAGTTTCTCTTCTACATAGGCCTGAGACCGCTCTAAATATTCACTTGGAAATTCTGCAAAAAGAATATTTCAACACTCTTCTATCAAAAGGAAGGTTGAACTCTGAGAGGTAAACGCACACATCACAGAGAAGTTTCTGAGAATTCTTCTGTCAAGGTTTATATGAAGAAACCCCATTTCCAATGAAGGCCTCAAAACAGTCCAAATATTTACTTGCAGATTCCACAAAAAGAGTGTTTCATAACTGGTCTATCAAAAGAAAGGTGAAACTCAGTGAGTTGAACCCACACATCACAAATTAGCTTCTGAGAATCATTGTGTCTAGTTCTCCTACGAAGATATTGCCTTTTCTACCATAGGCCTCAAACGGCGCTAAATATCCACCTGGAAATTCTACCAAAACTGAGCTTCAAAAGTGCTCTATTGAAAGGAAGCTTCACCTCTGTGAGTTGAAGGTACTCATCACAAAGAAGTTTCTGAGAATTCTTCTGTCTAGTTGTAAATGAAGAAATCACGTTTCAAACGAAGGCCACAAAGAGGTCCAAATATCCACCTGCAGATTCTGCAAAAAGAGGGTTTCAAAACTGCTCCATCAAGAGGAATGTTCAACTCTGTGCGTTGAATGCAAATATCACAAATAAGTTTCTGACAATACTTCTGTCTAGTTTTTATGTGAAGATATTTCCTTTCCTACTGTAGGCCTCAAAACGCTCTAAATATACACTTGCAAATTCCACAAAAAGAGTGTTTCAAAACTGCTCTATCAAAGGAACTTTAAACTCTGTAAGCTTAATGCAAGCATCACAAAAGAGCTTCGGAGAATGAATCTGCCTAGTTTTTCTGTGAAGATATTTCTTTTTCTGCCATAGACCTCACACCGCTGTAAAAATCCACTTGGAAATTCTACAAAAAGAGTATTTCAAAACTCTTCTATCGAAAGGAATTTTCAACTCCATGAGTTAAATGCACATATCACAAATAATTTTCTGAGGATTCTTCTTTCAAGTTTTATATGAAGAAATCCCGTTTCCAAAGATGGCCTCAGAAAAGTCCCAATATACACTTGCAGATTCTACAAAAAGAGTTTTTCAAAACTGCTCTATCAAAAGAAAGGTTAAACACTGTGAGTTGAAGGCACACATCACAAAGTAGTTTCTGAGAATCATTCTGTCTAGTTTTTCTATGAAGATATTGCCTTTTCCACCACAGGCCTCAAACGGCGCTAAATATCCACTTGGAAATTCTACAAAAAGAGAGTTACAAAACTGCTCTATCGAAAGGAAGCTGCAACTCTGCGAGTTGAAAGCACACATCGCGAAGAAGTTGATGAGAATTCTTCTGTCTAGTTTTGTATGAAGAAGTCACGTCTCAAACGAAGGCCACAAAGAGGTCCAAATATCCACTTGGAGATTCAACAAAAAGAGTTTTTCAAAACTGCTCCGTCAAGATTAATATTCAACTCTGAGAGTTGAGGGCAGGTATCACAAACAACTTTCCGACAACGCTTCTGTCTAGATTTTATGTGAGGACATTCCCTTTTGTACCACAGGCCTGAAAGCACTCTAAATATAGAATTGCAAATTCCACAAAAAGAGTGTTTAAAACCGCTCGATCCAAAGAAAGGTTAAACTCTGTAAGCTGAATGCGCACATCACAAAGTAGATTCAGAGAACAATTATGTCTAGTTTTTCTGTGAAGATATTTTCTCTTCTACTTAGGCCTGAAACCGCTCTCAATATTCACTTGGAAATTCTACAAATGAAAATTTCAACCCACTTCTATCAAAAGGAAGGTTGAACACTGAGAGTTAAATGCACACATCACAGAGAAGTTTCTGGGAATTCTTCTGTCAAGGTTTATATGAAGAGATCCCGTTTCCAATGAAGGCCTCAAAAAAGTCCAAATATTTACTTGCAGATTCTACAAAAAGAGTGTTTCATAACTGGTCTATCAAAAGAAAGGTTAAACTCCGTGAGTTGAACGCACACATCACAAAGTTGTTTCTGAGAATCATTCTGTCTAGTTTTTCTACGAAGATATTGCCTTCTCCACCATAGGCCTCAAACGGCGCTAAATATCCACCTGGAAATTCTACAGAAACTGAGTTTCAAAAGTGCTCTATTGAAAGGAAGCTTCAACTCTGTGAGTTGAAAGTACACATCACAAAGAAGTTTCTGAGAATTCTTCTGTCTAGATGTAAATGAAGAAATCACGTTTCACACGAAGGCCACTAAAGAGGTCCAAATATCCACTTGCAGATTCCACAAAAAGAGTGCTTCAAAACGGCTCCATCAAGAGGAATGTTCAACTCCGTGCGTTGAATGCAAATATCACAAATAAGTTTCTGACAATACTTCTGTCTAGTTTTTAGGTGAAGATATTTCCTTTCCTACTGTAGGCCTCAAAGCGCTCTAAATATACACTTGCAAATTCCACAAAAAGAGTGTTTCCAAACTGCTCTATCAAAGGAAGTTTAAACTCTGTCAGCTGAATGCAAGCATCACAAAACAGCTTCGGAGAATGAATCTGCCTAGTTTTTCTGTGAAGATATTTCTTTTGCTGCCATAGACCTCAAACCGCTGTAAAAATCCACTTTGGAATTCTACAAAAAGAGTATTTCAAAACTCTTCTATCGAAAGGAAGTTTCAACTCCATGAGTTAAATGCACATATCACAAATAATTTTCTGAGGATTCTTCTTTCAAGTTTTATCTGAAGAAATCCCGTTTCCAAAGATGGCCTCAGAAAAGTCCCAATATACACTTGCAGATTCTACAAAAAGAGTTTTTCAAAACTGCTCTATCAAAAGAAAGGTTAAACTCTGTGAGTTGAAGGCACACATCACAAAGTAGTTTCTGAGAATCATTCTGTCTAGTTTTTCTATGAAGATATTGCCTTTTCCACCATAGGCCTCAAACGGCGCTAAATATCCACTTGGAAATTCTACAAAAAGAGAGTTACAAAACTGCTCTATCGAAAGGAAGCTTCAGCTCCGCGAGTTGAAAGCACACATCGCGAGGAAGGTGATGAGAATTCTTCTGTCTACTTTTGTATGAAGAAGTCACGTCTCAAATGAAGGCCACAAAGAGGTCCAAATATCCACTTGGAGATTCAACAAAAAGAGTTTTTCAAAACTGCTCCATCAAGAGGAACATTCAACTCTGAGAGTTGAAGGCAGGTATCACAAAGTAGTTTCCGACAATGCTTCTGTATAGATTTTATGTGAAGACATTCCCTTTTGTACCACAGGCCTGAAAGCACTCTAAATATAGAATTGCAAATTCCACAAAAAGAGTGTATAAAACCCCTCAATCCAAAGAAAGGTTAAACTGTGTAAGCTGAATGCGCACATCACAAAGTAGCTTCAGAGAACAATTATGTCTAGTTTCTCTGTGAAGATATTTTCTCTTCTACATAGGCCTGAAACCGCTCTAAATATTCACTTGGAAACTCTAGAAAAAGAATATTTCAACACTCTTCTGTCAAAAGGAAGGTTGAACTCTGAGAGTTAAATGCACACATCACAAAGAAGTTTCTGGGAATTCTTCTGTCAAGGTTTATATGAAGAAATCCCGTTTCCAATGAAGGCCTCAAAAAAGTCCAAATATTTACTTGCAGATTCTACAAAAAGAGTGTTTCATAACTGGTCTATCAAAAGAAAGGTTAAACTCCGTGAGTTGAACGCACACATCACAAAGTTGTTTCTGAGAATCATTCTGTCTAGTTTTTCTATGAAGATATTGCCTTTTCCACCATAGGCCTCAAACGGCGCTAAATATCCACCTGGAAATTCTACAGAAACTGAGTTTCAAAAGTGCTCTATTGAAAGGAAGCTTCAACTCTGTGAGTTGAAAGTACACATCACAAAGAAGTTTCTGAGAATTCTTCTGTCTAGTTGTAAATGAAGAAATCACGTTTCCCACGAAGGCCACAAAGAGGTCCAAATATCCACTTGCAGATTCCACAAAAAGAGTGCTTCAAAACGGCTCCATCAAGAGGAATGTTCAACTCCGTGCGTTGAATGCAAATATCACAAATAAGTTTCTGACAATACTTCTGTCTAGTTTTTAGGTGAAGATATTTCCTTTCCTACTGTAGGCCTCAAAACGCTCTAAATATACACTTGCAAATTCCACAAAAAGAGTGTTTCCAAACTGCTCTCTCAAAGGAAGTTTAAACTCTGTCAGCTGAATGCGAGCATCACAAAACAGCTTCGGAGAATGAATCTGCCTAGTTTTTCTGTGAAGATATTTCTTTTTCTGCCATAGACCTCAAACCGCTGTGAAAATCCACTTGGAAATTCTACAAAAAGAGTATTTCAAAACTCTTCTATCGAAAGGAAGTTTCAACTCCATGAGTTAAATGCACATATCACAAATAATTTTCTGAGGATTCTTCTTTCAAATTTTATATGAAGAAATCCCGTTTCCAAAGATGGCCTCAGAAAAGTCCCAATATACACTTGCAGATTCTACAAAAAGAGTTTTTCAAAACTGCTCTATCAAAAGAAAGGTTAAACTCTGTGAGTTGAAGGCACACATCACAAAGTAGTTTCTGAGAATCATTCTGACTAGTTTTTCTATGAAGATATTGCCTTTTCCACCATAGGCCTCAAACGGCGCTAAATATCCATTTGGAAATTCTACAAAAAGAGAGTTACTAAACTGCTCTATCGAAAGGAAGCTTCAACGCTGCGAATTGAAAGCACACATCATGAAGAAGTTTATGAGAATTCTTCTGTCTAGTTTTGTATGAAGAAGTCACGTCTCAAACGAAGGCCACAAAGAGGTCCAAATATCCACTTGGAGATTCAACAAAAAGAGTTTTTCAAAACTGCTCCGTCAGGAGGAATATTCAACTCTGAGAGTTGAGGGCAGGTATCACAAAGTAGTTTCCGACAACGCTTCTGTCTAGATTTTATGTGAAGACATTCCCTTTTGTACCACAGGCCTGAAAGCACTCTAAATACAGAATTGCAAATTCCACAAAAAAAGGGTTTAAAACCGCTCTATCCTAAGAAAGGTTAAACTCTGTCAGCTGAATGCGCACATCACAGAGTAGCTTCAGAGAACAATTATGTCTAGTTTTTCCGTGAAGATAGTTTCTCTTCTACATAGGCCTGAGACCGCTCTAAATATTCACGTGGAAATTCTGCAAAAAGAATATTTCAACACTCTTCTATCAAAAGGAATGTTGAACTCTGAGAGTTAAACGCACACATCACAGAGAAGTTTCTGAGAATTCTTCTGTCAAGGTTTATGTGAAGAAACCCCGTTTCCAATGAAGGCCTCAAAAAAGTCCAAATATTTACTTGCAGATTCCACAAAAAGAGTGTTTCATAACTGGTCTATCAAAAGAAAGGTTAAACTCAGTGAGGTGAACCCACACATCACAAAGTAGCTTCTGAGAATCATTGTGTCTAGTTCTCCTACGAAGATATTGCCTTTTCTACCATAGGCCTCAAACGGCGCTAAATATCCACCCGGAAATTCTACCAAAACTGAGCTTCAAAAGTGCTCTATTGAAAGGAAGCTTCACCTCTGTGAGTTGAAGGTACACATCACAAAGGAGTTTCTGAGAATTCTTCTGACTAGTTGTAAATGCAGAAATCACGTTTCAAACGAAGGCCACAAAGAGGTCCAAATATCCACATGCAGATTCTACAAAAAGAGTGTTTCAAAACTGCTCCATCAAGAGGAATGTTCAACTCTGTGCATTGAATGCCAATATCACAAATAAGTTTCTGACAATACTTCTGTCTAGTTTATATGTGAAGATATTTCCTTTCCTACTGTAGGCCTCAAAACGCTCTAAATATACACTTGCAAATTCCACAAAAAGAGTGTTTCCAAACTGCTCTATCAAAGGAAGTTTAAACTCTGTCCGCTTAATGCAAGCATCACAAAACAGCTTCGGAGAATGAATCTGCCTAGTTTTTCTGTGAAGATATTCCTTTTTCTGCCATAGACCTCAAACCGCTGTAAAAATCCACTGGAAATTCTACAAAAAGAGTATTTCAAAACTCTTCTATCGAAAGGAAGTTGCAACTCCATGAGTTAAACGCACATATCACAAATAATTTTCTGAGGATTCTTCTTTCAAGTTTTATATGAAGAAATCCCGTTTCCATAGATGGCCTCAGAAAAGTCCCAATATACACTTGCAGATTCTACAAAAAGAGTTTTTCAAAACTGCTCTATCAAAAGAAAGGTTAAACTCTGTGAGTTCAAGGCACACATCACAGAGTAGTTTCTGAGAATCATTCTGTCTAGTTTTTCTATGAAGATATCGCCTTCTCCACCATAGGCCTCAAACGGCGCTAAATATCCACTTGGAAATTCTACAAAAAGAGAGTTACAAGACTGCTCTATCGAAAGGAAGCTTCAACTCTGCGAGTTGAAAGCACACATCACGAAGAAGTTTATGAGAATTCTTCTGTCTACTTTTGTATGAAACAGTAACGTTTCAAACGAAGGCCACAAAGAGGTCCAAATATCCACTTGGAGATTCAACAAAAGGAGTTTTTCAAAACTGCTCCATCAAGAGGAATATTCAACTCTGAGAGTTGAAGGCAGGTATCACAAAGTAGTTCCCGACAATGCTTCTGTCTAGATTTTATGTGAAGACATTCCCTTTTGTACCACAGGCCTGAAAGCACTCTAAATATAGAATTGCAAATTCCAAAAAAAGAGGGTTCAAAACCGCTCTATCCAAAGAAAGGTTAAACTCTGTCAGCTGAATGCGCACATCACAGAGCAGCTTCAGAGAACAATTGTGTCTAGTTTTTCTGTGAAGATATTTTCTCTTCTACATAGGCCTGAAACCGCTCAAAATATTCACTTGGAAATTCTACAAAAAGAATATTTCAACACTCTTCTATCAAAAGGAAGGTTGAACTCTGAGAGTTAAACGCACACATCACAGAGAAGTTTCTGAGAATTCTTCTGTCAAGGTTTATATGAAGAAACCCCGTTTCCAATGAAGGCCTCAAAAAAGTCCAAATATTTACTTGCCGATTCCACAGAAAGAGTGTTTCATAACTGGTCTATCAAAAGAAAGGTTAAACTCAGTGAGTTGAACCCACACATCACAAAGTAGCTTCTGAGAATCATTCTGTCTAGTTCTCCTACGAAGATATTGCCTTTTCTACCATAGGCCTCAAACGGCGCTAAATATCCACCTGGAAATTCTACCAAAACTGAGCTTCAAAAGTGCTCTATTGAAAGGAAGCTTCACCTACTGTGAGTTGAAGGTACACATCACAAAGAAGTTTCTGAGAATTCTTCTGTCTAGTTGTAAATGAAGAAATCACGTTTCAAAAGAAGGCCACAAAGAGGTCCAAATATCCACCTGCAGATTCTACAAAAAGAGTGTTTCAAAACTGCTCCATCAAGAGGAATGTTCAACTCTGTGCGTTGAATGCAAATATCACAAGTAAGTTTCTGAGAATACTTCTGTCTAGTTTTTATGTGAAGATATTTCCTTTCCTACTGTAGGCCTCAAAACGCTCTAAAGAGACACTTGCAAATTCCACAGAAAGAGGGTTTCTAAACTGCTCTATCAAAGGAAGTTTAAACTCTGTAAGCTGAATGCAAGCATCACAAAACAGCTTTGGAGAATGAATCTGCCTGGTTTTTCTGTGAAGATATTCCATTTTCTGCCATAGACCTCAAACCGCTGTAAAAATCCACTTGGAAATTCTACAAAAAGAGTATTTCAAAACTCTTCTATCGAAAGGAAGTCTGAACTCCATGAGTTAAATGCACATATCACTAATAATTTTTTGTGGATTCTTCTTTCAAATTTTATGTGAAGAAATCCCGTTTCCAAAGATAGCCTCAGAAAAGTCCCAATATACACTTGCAGATTCTACAAAAAGAGTTTTTCAAAACTGCTCTATCAAAAGAAAGTTTAAACTCTGTGAGTTGAAGGCACACATCACAAAGTAGTTTCTGAGAATGATTCTGTCTAGTTTTTCTACGAAGATATTGCCTTTTCCACCATAGGCCTCAAACGGCGCTAAATATCCACTTGGAAATCCTACAAAAAGAGAGTTACAGAACTGCTCTATCGAAAGGAAGCTTCAACGCTGCGAGTTGAAAGCACACATCACGAAGAAGTTTATGAGAATTCTTCTGTCTACTTTTGTATGAAGAAGTCACGTCTCAAACGAAGGCCCCAAAGAGGTCCAAATATCCACTTGGAGATTCAACAAAAAGAGTTTTTCAAAACTGCTCCATCAAGAGGAACATTCAACTCTGAGAGTTGAAGGCAGGTATCACAAAGTAGTTTCCGACAATGCTTCTGTCTAGATTTTATGTGAGGACATTCCCTTTTGTACCACAGGCCTGAAAGCACTCTAAATATAGAATTGCAAATTCCTCAAAAAGAGTGTTTAAAACCGCTCCATCCAAAGAAAGGTTAAACTCTGTAAGCTGAATGCGCACATCACAAAGTAGCTTCAGAGAACAATTATGTCTAGTTTTTCTGTGAAGATATTTTCTCTTCTACATAGGCCTGAAACCGCTCTAAATATTCACTTGGAAATTCTACAAAAAGAATATTTCAACACTCCTCTATCAAAAGGAAGGTTGAACTCTGAGAGTTAAATGCACACATCACAAAGAAGTTTCTGGGGATTCTTCTGTCAAGGTTTATATGAAGAAATCCCGTTTCCAATGAAGGCCTCAAAAAAGTCCAAATATTTACTTGCAGATTCTACAAAAAGAGTGTTTCATAACTGGTCTATCAAAAGAAAGGTTAAACTCCGTGAGTTGAACGCACACATCACAAAGTTGTTTCTGAGAATCATTCTGTCTAGTTTTTCTATGAAGATATAGCCTTTTCTACCATAGGCCTCAAACGGCGCTAAATATCCACCTGGAAATTCTACAGAAACTGAGTTTCAAAAGTGCTCTATTGAAAGGAAGCTTCAACTCTGTGAGTTGAAAGTACACATCACAAAGAAGTTTCTGAGAATTCTTCTGTCTAGTTGTAAATGAAGAAATCACGTTTCCCACGAAGGCCACAAAGAGGTCCAAATATCCACTTGCAGATTCCACAAAAAGAGTGCTTCAAAACGGCTCCATCAAGAGGAATGTTCAACTCGGTGCGTTGAATGCAAATATCACAAATAAGTTTCTGACAATACTTCTGTCTAGTTTTTATGTGAAGATATTTCCTTTCCTACTGTAGGCCTCAAAACGCTCTAAATATACACTTGCAAATTCCACAAAAAGAGTGTTTCCAAACTGCTCTATCAAAGGAAGTTTAAACTCTGTCCGCTTAATGCAAGCATCACAAAACAGCTTCGGAGAATGAATCTGCCTAATTTTTCTGTGAAGATATTTCTTTTTCTGCCATAGACCTCAAACCGCTGTAAAAATCCACTTGGAAATTCTACAAAAAGAGTATTTCAAAACTCTTCTATCGAAAGGAAGTCTCAACTCCATGAGTTAAATGCACATATCACAAATAATTTTCTGAGGATTCTTCTTTCAAGTTTTATATGAAGAAATCCCGTTTCCAAAGATGGCCTCAGAAAAGTCCCAATATACACTTGCAGATTCTACAAAAAGAGTTTTTCAAAACTGCTCTACCAAAAGGAAGGTTAAACTCTGTGAGTTGAAGGCACACATCACAAAGTAGTTTCTGAGAATCATTCTGTCTAGTTTTTCTATGAAGATATTGCCTTTTCCACCATAGGCCTCAAACGGCGCTAAATATCCACTTGGAAATTCTACAAAAAGAGAGTTACTAAACTGCTCTATCGAAAGGAAGCTTCAACGCTGCGAGTTGAAAGCACACATCACGAAGAAGTTTATGAGAATTCTTCTGTCTACTTTTGTATGAAGAAGTCACGTCTCAAACGAAGGCCACAAAGAGGTCCAAATATCCACTTGGAGATTCAACAAAAAGAGTTTTTCAAAACTGCTCCATCAAGAGTAATATTCAACTCTGAGAGTTGAAGGCAGGTATCACAATGTAGTTTCCGACAATGCTTCTGTCTAGATTTTATGTGAGGACATTCCCTTTTGTACCACAGGCCTGAAAGCACTCTAAATATAGAATTGCAAATTCCACAAAAAGAGTGTTTAAAACCGCTCTATCCAAAGAAAGCTTAAACTCTGTAAGCTGAATGCGCACATCACAAAGTAGCTTCAGAGAACAATTATGTCTAGTTTTTCTGTGAAGATATTTTCTCTTCTACATAGGCCTGAAACCGCTCTAAATATTCACTTGGAAATTCTACAAAAAGAATATTTCAACCCTCTTCTATCAAAAGGAAGGTTGAACTCTGAGAGTTAAATGCACACATCACAGAGAAGTTTCTGGGAATTCTTCTGTCAAGGTTTCTATGAAGAAATCCCGTTTCCAATGAAGGCCTCAAAAAAGTCCAAATATTTACTTGCAGATTCTACAAAAACAGTGTTTCGTAACTGGTCTATCAAAAGAAAGCTTAAACTCAGTGAGTTGAACCCACACATCACAAAGTAGTTTCTGAGAATCATTCTGTCTAGTTCTCCTACGAAGATATTGCCTTTTCTACCATAGGCCTCAAACGGCGCTAAATATCCACCTGGAAATTCTACCAAAACTGAGTTTCAAAAGTTCTCTATTGAAAGGAAGCTTCACCTCTGTGAGTTGAAGGTACACATCACAAAGAAGTTTCTGAGAATTCTTCTGTCTAGTTGTAAATGAAGAAATCACGTTTCAAACGAAGGCCACAAAGAGGTCCAAATATCCACTTGCAGATTCTACAAAAAGAGTGTTTCAAAACTGCTCCATCACGAGGAATGTTCAACTCTGTGCGTTGAATGCAAATATCACAAATAAGTTTCTGACAATACTTCTGTCTAGTTTTTACGTGAAGATATTTCCTTTCCTACTGTAGGCCTCAAAACGCTCTAAATATACACTTGCAAATTCCACAAAAAGAGTGTTTCAAAACTGCTCTATCAAAGGAAGTTTAAACTCTGTAAGCCTAATGCAAGCATCACAAAACAGCTTCGGAGAATGAATCTGCCTAGTTTTTCTGTGAAGATATTTCTTTTTCTGCCATAGACCTCAAACCGCTGTAAAAATCCACTTGGAAATTCTACAAAAAGAGTATTTCAAAACTCTTCTATCGAAAGGCAGTTTCAACTCCATGAGTTAAATGCACATATCACAAATAATTTTCTGAGGATTCTTCTTTCAAGTTTTATATGAAGAAATCCCGTTTCCAAAGATGGCCTCAGAAAAGTCCCAATATACACTTGCCGATTCTACAAAAAGAGTTTTTCGAAACTGCTCTAACAAAAGAAAGGTTAAACTCTGTGAGTTGAAGGCACACATCACAAAGTAGTTTCTGAGAATCATTCTGTCTAGTTTTTCTATGAAGATATCGCCTTCTCCACCATAGGCCTCAAACGGCGCTAAATATCCACTTGGAAATTCTACAAAAAGAGAGTTACAAGACTGCTCTATCGAGAGGAAGCTTCAACTCTGCGAGTGGAAAGCACACATCACGAAGAAGTTTATGAGAATTCTTCTGTCTACTTTTGTATGAAGCAGTCACGTTTCAAACGAAGGCCACAAAGAGGTCCAAATATCCACTTGGAGATTCAACAAAAAGAGTTTTTCAAAACTGCTCCATCAAGAGGAATATTCAACTCTGAGAGTTGAAGGCAGGTATACCAAAGTAGTTCCCGACAATGCTTCTGTCTAGATTTTATGTGAAGACATTCCCTTTTGTACCACAGGCCTGAAAGCACTCTAAATATAGAATTGCAAATTCCACAAAAAGAGGGTTTAAAACCGCTCTATCCAAAGAAAGGTGAAACTCTGTCAGCTGAATGCGCACATCACAGAGTAGCTTCAGAGAACAATTATGTCTAGTTTTTCCGTGAAGATAGTTTCTCTTCTACATAGGCCTGAGACCGCTCTAAATATTCACTTGGAAATTCTGCAAAAAGAATATTTCAACACTCTTCTATCAAAAGGAAGGTTGAACTCTGAGAGGTAAACGCACACATCACAGAGAAGTTTCTGAGAATTCTTCTGTCAAGGTTTATATGAAGAGATCCCGTTTCCAATGAAGGCCTCAAAAAAGTCCAAATATTTACTTGCAGATTCTACAAAAAGAGTGTTTCATAACTGGTCTATCAAAAGAAAGGTTAAACTCCGTGAGTTGAACGCACACATCACAAAGTTGTTTCTGAGAATCATTCTGTCTAGTTTTTCTACGAAGATATTGCCTTTTCCACCATAGGCCTCAAACGGCGCTAAATATCCACCTGGAAATTCTACAGAAACTGAGTTTCAAAAGTGCTCTATTGAAAGGAAGCTTCAACTCTGTAAGTTGAAAGTACACATCACAAAGAAGTTTCTGAGAATTTTTCTGTCTAGTTGTAAATGAAGAAATCACGTTTCAAACGAAGGCCAAAAAGAGGTCCAAATATCCACCTGCAGATTCTACAAAAAGAGTGTTTCAAAACTGCTCCATCAAGAGGAATGTTCAACTCTGTGCGTTGAATGCAAATATCACAAGTAAGTTTCTGACAATACTTCTGTCTAGCTTTTATGTGAAGATATTTCCTTTCCTACTGTAGGCCTCAAAACACTCTAAATATACACTTGCAAATTCCACAAAAAGAGTGTTTCCAAACTGCTCTATCAAAGGAAGTTTAAACTCTGTCAGCTTAATGCAAGCATCACAAAACAGCTTCGGAGAATGAATCTGCCTAGTTTTTCTGTGAAGATATTTCTTTTTCTGCCATAGACCCCGAACCGCTGTAAAAATCCACTTGGAAATTCTACAAACAGAGTATTTCAAAGCTCTTCTATCGAAAGGAAGTTTCAGCACCATGAGTTAAATGCACATATCACAAATAATTTTCTGAGGATTCTTCTTTCAAGTTTTATATGAAGAAATCCCGTTTCCATAGATGGCCTCAGAAAAGTCCCAATATACACTTGCAGATTCTACAAAAAGAGTTTTTCAAAACTGCTCTATCAAAAGAAAGGTTAAACTCTGTGAGTTCAAGGCACACATCACAGAGTAGTTTCTGAGAATCATTCTGTCTAGTTTTTCTATGAAGATATTACCTTTTCCACCATAGGCCTCAAACGGCGCTAAATATCCACTTGGAAATTCTACAAAAAGAGAGTTACTAAACTGCTCTATCGAAAGGAAGCTTCAACGCTGCGAGTTGAAAGCACACATCACGAAGAAGTTTATGAGAATTCTTCTGTCTAGTTTTGTATGAAGAAGTCACGTTTCAAACGAAGGCCACAAAGAGGTCCAAATGTCCACTTGGAGATTCAACAAAAAGAGTTTTTCAAAACTGCTCCATCAAGAGGAATATTCAACTCTGAGAGTTGAAGGCAGGTATCACAAAGTAGTTTCCGACAATGCTTCTGTCTAGATTTTATGTGAAGACATTCCCTTTCGTACCACAGGCCTGAAAGCACTCTAAATATAGAATTGCAAATTCCACAAAAAGAGTGTTTAAAACCGCTCTATGCAAAGAAAGCTTAAACTCTGTCAGCTGAATGCGCACATCACAGAGTGGCTTCAGAGAACAATTATGTCTAGTTTTTCTGTGAAGACATTTTCTCTTCTACATAGGCCTGAAACCGCTCTAAATATTCACTTGGAAATTCTACAAAAGGAATATTTCAACCCTCTTTTATCAAAAGGTAGGTTGAACTCTGAGAGTTAAACGCACACTTCACAGAGTAGTTTCTGAGAATTCTTCTGTCAAGGTTTATATGAAGAAATCCCGTTTCCATGGAAGGCCTCAAAAAAGTCCAAATATTTACTTGCAGATTCTACAAAAAGAGTGTTTCATAACTGGTCTATCAAAAGAAAGGTTAAACTCAGTGAGTTGAACCCACACATCACAAAGTAGTTTCTGAGAATCATTCTGTCTAGTTCTCCTACGAAGATATTGCCTTTTCTACGATATGCCTCAGACGGCGCTAAATATCCACCTGGAAATTCTACCAAAACTGAGCTGGAAAAGTGCTCTATTGAAAGGAAGCTTCACCTCTGTGAGCTGAAGGTACACATCACAAAGAATTTTCTGAGAATTCTTCTGTCTAGTTGTAAATGCAGAAATCACGTTTCAAACGAAGGCCACAAAGAGGTCCAAATATCCACCTGCAGACTCTGCAAAAAGAGGGTTTGAAAACTGCTCCATCAAGAGGAATGTTCAACTCTGTGCGTTGAATGCAAATATCACAAATAAGTTTCTGACAATACTTCTGTGTAGTTTTTATGTGAAGATATTTCCTTTCCTACTGTAGGCCTCAAAACGCTCTAAATATACACTTGCAAATTCCACAAAAAGAGTGTTTCCAAACTGCTCTCTCAAAGGTAGTTTAAACTCTGTCCGCTTAATGCAAGCATCACAAAACAGCTTCGGAGAATGAATCTGCCTAGTTTTTCTGTGAAGATATTTCTTTTTCTGCCATAGACCTCAAACCGCTGTAAAAATCCACTTGGAAATTCTACAAAAAGAGTATTTCAAAGCTCTTCTATCGAAAGGAAGTTTCAACTCCATAAGTTAAATGCACATATCACAAATAATTTTCTGAGGATTCTTCTTTCAAGTTTTAGATGAAGAAATCCCGTTTCCAAAGTTGGCCTCAGAAAAGTCCCAATATACACTTGCAGATTCTACAAAAAGAGTTTTTCAAAACTGCTCTATCAAAAGGAAGGTTAAACTCTGTGAGTTGAAGGCACACATCACAGAGTAGTTTCTGAGAATCATTCTGTCTAGTTTTTCTATGAAGATATCGCCTTCTCCACCATAGGCCTCAAGCGGCGCTAAATATCCACTTGGAAATTCTACAAAAAGAGAGTTACAAGACTGCTCTATCGAAAGGAAGCTTCAACTCTGCGAGTTGAAAGCACACATCACGAAGAAGTTTATGAGAATTCTTCTGTCTACTTTTGTATGAAGCAGTCACGTTTCAAACGAAGGCCACAAAGAGGTCCAAATATCCACTTGGAGATTCAACAAAAAGAGTTTTTCAAAACTGCTCCATCAAGAGGAATATTCAACTCTGAGAGTTGAAGGCAGGTATCCCAAAGTAGTTCCCGACAATGCTTCTGTCTAGATTTTATGTGAAGACATTCCCTTTTGTACCACAGGCCTGAAAGCACTCTAAATACAAAATTGCAAATTCCACAAAAAGAGGGTTTAAAACCGCTCTATCCTAAGAAAGGTTAAACTCTGTCAGCTGAATGCGCACATCACAGAGTAGCTTCAGAGAACAATTATGTCTAGTTTTTCCGTGAAGATAGTTTCTCTTCCACATAGGCCTGAGACCGCTCTAAATATTCACTTGGAAATTCTGCAAAAAGAATATTTCAACACTCTTCTATCAAAAGGAAGGTTGAACTCTGAGAGTTAAACGCACACATCACAGAGAAGTTTCTGAGAATTCTTCCGTCAAGGTTTATATGAAGAAACCCCGTTTCCAATGAAGGCCTCAAAAAAGTCCAAAAATTTACTTGCAGATTCCACAAAAAGAGTGTTTCATAACTGGTCTATCAAAAGAAAGGTTAAACTCAGTGAGTTGAACCCACACATCACAAAGTAGCTTCTGAGAATCATTGTGTCTAGTTCTCCTACGAAGATATTGCCTTTTCTACCATAGGCCTCAAACGGCGCTAAATATCCACCTGGAAATTCTACCAAAACTGAGCTTCAAAAGTGCTCTATTGAAAGGAAGCTTCACCTCTGTGAGTTGAAGGTACACATCACAAAGAAGTTTCTGAGAATTCTTCTGTCTAGTTGTAAATGAAGAAATCACGTTTCAAACGAAGGCCACAAAGAGGTCCAAATATCCACCTGCAGATTCTGCAAAAAGAGTGTTTCAAAACTGCTCCATCAAGAGGAATGTTCAACTCTGTGCGTTGAATGCAAGTATCACAAGTAAGTTTCCGACAATACTTCTGTGTAGTTTTTATGTGAAGATATTTCCTTTCCTACTGTAGGCCTCAAAACGCTCTAAATATACACTTGCAAATTCCACAAAAAGAGTGTTTCCAAACTGCTCTATCAAAGGAAGTTTAAACTCTGTCCGCTTAATGCAAGCATCACAAAACAGCTTCGGAGAATGAATCTGCCTAGTTTTTCTGTGAAGATATTTCTTTTGCTGCCATAGACCTCAAACCGCTGTAAAAATCCACTTGGGAATTCTACAAAAAGAGTATTTCAAAACTCTTCTATCGAAAGGAAGTTTCAACTCCATGAGTTCAATGCACATATCACAAATAATTTTTTGAGGATTCTTCTTTCAAGTTTTATATGAAGAAATCCCGTTTCCAAAGATGGCGTCAGAAAAGTCCCAATATACACTTGCAGATTCTACAAAAAGAGTTTTTCAAAACTGCTCTATCAAAAGAAAGGTTAAACTCTGTGAGTTGAAGGCACACATCACAAAGTAGTTTCTGAGAATCATTCTGTCTAGTTTTTCTATGAAGATATCGCCTTCTCCACCATAGGCCTCAAGCGGCGCTAAATATCCACTTGGAAATTCTACAAAAAGAGAGTTACAAGACTGCTCTATCGAAAGGAAGCTTCAACTCTGCGAGTTGAAAGCACACATCACGAAGAAGTTTATGAGAATTCTTCTGTCTACTTTTGTATGAAGCAGTCACGTCTCAAACGAAGGCCACAAAGAGGTCCAAATATCCACTTGGAGATTCAACAAAAAGAGTTTTTCAAAACTGCTCCATCAAGAGGAATATTCAACTCTGAGAGTTGAAGGCAGGTATCACAAAGTAGTTTCCGACAATGCTTCTGTCTAGATTTTATGTGAAGACATTCCCTTTTGTACCACAGGCCTGAAAGCACTCAAAGTATAGAATTGCAACTCCAAAAAAAAGAGTTTTTAAAACCGCTCTATCCAAAGAAAGGTTAAACTCTGTCAGCTGAATGCGCACATCACAGAGCAGCTTCAGAGAACAATTATGTCTAGTTTCTCTGTGAATATATTTTCTCTTCTACATAGGCCTGAAACCGCTCTAAATATTCACTTGGAAATTCTAGAAAAAGAATATTTCAACACTCTTCTATCAAAAGGAAGGTTGAACTCTGAGAGTTCAATGCACACATCACAAAGAACTTTCTGGGAATTCTTCTGTCAAGGTTTATGTGAAGAAACCCCGTTTCCAATGAAGGCCTCAAAAAAGTCCAAATATTTACTTGCAGATTCCACAAAAAGAGTGTTTCATAACTGGTCTATCAAAAGAAAGGTTAAACTCAGTGAGGTGAACCCACACATCACAAAGTAGCTTCTGAGAATCATTCTGTCTAGTTCTCCTACGAAGATATTGCCTTTTCTACCATAGACCTCAAACGGCGCTAAATATCCACCTGGAAATTCTACCAAAACTGAGTTTCAAAAGTGCTCTATTGAAAGGAAGCTTCACCTCTGTGAGTTGAAGGTACACATCACAAAGAAGTTTCTGAGAATTCTTCTGTCTAGTTGTAAATGAAGAAATCACGTTTCACACGAAGGCCACAAAGAGGTCCAAATATCCAATTGCAGATTCCACAAAAAGAGTGCTTCAAAACGGCTCCATCAAGAGGAATGTTCAACTCCGTGCGTTGAATGCAAATATCACAAATAAGTTTCTGACAATACTTCTGTCTAGTTTTTATGTGAAGATATTTCCTTTCCTACTGTAGGCCTGAAAACGCTCTAAATATACACTTGCAAATTCCACAAAAAGAGTGTTTCAAAACTGCTCTAACAAAGGAACTTTAAACTCTGTAAGCCTAATGCAAGCATCACAAAACAGCTTCGGAGAATGAATCTGCCTAGTTTTTCTGTGAAGATATTTCCTTTGCTGCCATAGACCTCACACCGCTGTAAAAATCCACTTGGAAATTCTACAAAAAGAGTATTTCAAAACTCTTCTATCGAAAGGAAGTTTCAACTCCATGAGTTAAATGCACATATCACATATAATTTTCTGAGGATTCTTCTTTCAAGTTTTATATGAAGAAATCCCGTTTCCAAAGTATGGCCTCAGAAAAGTCCCAATATACACTTGCAGATTCTACAAAAAGAGTTTTTCAAAACTGCTCTACCAAGAGGAAGGTTAAACACTGTGAGTTGAAGGCACACATCACAAAGTAGTTTCTGAGAATCATTCTGTCTAGTTTTTCTATGAAGATATCGCCTTCTCCACCATAGGCCTCAAGCGGCACTAAATATCCACTTGGAAATTCTACAAAAAGAGAGTTACAAGACTGCTCTATCGAAAGGAAGCTTCAACTCTGCGAGTTGAAAGCACACATCACGAAGAAGTTTATGAGAATTCTTCTGTCTAGTTTTGTATGAAGAAGTCACGTCTCAAACGAAGGCCACAAAGAGGTCCAAATATCCACTTGGAGATTCAACAAAAAGAGTTTTTAAAAACTGCTCCATCAAGAGGAATATTCAACTCTGAGAGTTGAAGGCAGGTATCACAAAGTAGTTTCCGACAATGCTTATCTGTCTAGATTTTATGTGAGGACATTCCCTTTTGTACCACAGGCCTGAAAGCACTCTAAATATAGAATTGCAAATTCCACAAAAAGAGTGTTTAAAACCGCTCGATCCAAAGAAAGCTTAAACTCTGTAAGCTGAATGCGCAGATCACAAAGTAGCTTCAGAGAACAATTATGTCTAGTTTTTCTGTGAAGATAGTTTCTCTTATACATAGGCCTGAAACCGCTCTAAATATTCACTTGGAAATTCTACAAAAAGAATATTTCAACACTCTTCTATCCAAAGGAAGGTTGAACTCTGAGAGTTAAACGCACACATCACAGAGAAGTTTCTGAGAATTCTTCTGTCAAGGTTTCTATGAAGAAATCCCGTTTCCAATGAAGGCCTCAAAAAAGTCCAAATATTTACTTGCAGATTCTACAAAAACAGTGTTTCGTAACTGGTCTATCAAAAGAAAGGTTAAACTCAGTGAGTTGAACCCACACATCACAAAGTAGTTTCTGAGAATAATTCTGTCTAGTTTTCCTACGAAGATATTGCCTTTTCTACCTTAGGCCTCAAACGGCGCTAAATATCCACCTGGAAATTCTACAAAAACTGAGTTTCAAAAGTGCTCTATTGAAAGGAAGCTTCAACTCTGTGAGTTGAAGGTACACATCACAAAGAAGTTTCTGAGAATTCTTCTGTCTAGTTGTAAATGAAGAAATCACGCTTCAAACGAAGGCCACAAAGAGGTCCAAATATCCACCTGCAGATTCTGCAAAAAGAGGGTTTCAAATCTGCTCCATCAAGAGGAATGTTCAACTCTGTGCGTTGAATGCAAATATCACAAATAAGTTTCTGACAATACTTCTGTCTAGTTTTTAGGTGAAGATATTTCCTTTCCTACTGTAGGCCTCAAAACGCTCTAAATATACACTTGCAAATTCCACAAAAAGAGTGTTTCCAAACTGCTCTATCAAAGGAAGTTTAAACTCTGTCAGCTTAATGCAAGCATCACAAAACAGCTTCGGAGAATGAATCTGCCTAGTTTTTCTGTGAAGATGTTTCTTTTTCTGCCATAGACCTCAAACCGCTTTAAAAATCCACTTGGAAATTCTACAAAAAGAGTATTTCAAAACTCTTCTATCGAAAGGAAGTTTCAACTCCATGAGTTAAACGCACATATCACAAATAATTTTCTGAGGATTCTTCTTTCAAGTTTTATATGAAGAAATCCAGTTTCCAAAGATGGCCTCAGAAAAGTCCCAATATACACTTGCAGATTCTACAAAAAGAGTTTTTCAAAACTGCTCTATCAAAAGAAAGGTTAAACTCTGTGAGTTGAAGGCACACATCACACAGTAGTTTCTGAGAATCATTCTGTCCAGTTTTTCTAGGAAGATATCGCCTTCTCCACCATAGGCCTCAAACGGCGCTAAATATCCACTTGGAAATTCTACAAAAAGAGAGTTACAAGACTGCTCTATCGAAAGGAAGCTTCAACTCTGCGAGTTGAAAGCACAAATCACGAAGAAGTTTATGAGAATTCTTCTGTCTAGTTTTGTATGAAGAAGTCACGGCTCAAACGAAGGCCACAAAGAGGTCCAAATATCCACTTGGAGATTCCACAAAAAGCGTTTTTCAAAACTGCTCCGTCAAGAGGAATGTTCAACTCTGAGAGTTGAAGGCAGGTATCACAAAGTAGTTTCCGACAACGCTTCTGTCTAGATTTTATGTGAGGACATTCCCTTTTGTACCACAGGCCTGAAAGCACTCTAAATATAGAATTGCAAATTCCACAAAAAGAGTGTTTAAAACCGCTCGATCCAAAGAAAGGTTAAACTCTGTAAGCTGAATGCGCACATCACAAAGAAGCTTCAGAGAACAATTGTGTCTAGTTTTTCTGTGAAGATATTTTCTCTTCTAGATAGGCCTGAAACCGCTCTAAATATTCACTTGGAAATTCTACAAAAAGAATATTTCAACACTCTTCTATCAAAAGGAAGGTTGAACTCTGAGAGTTAAATGCACACATCACAAAGAAGTTTCTGAGAATTCTTCTGTCAAGGTTTCTATGAAGAAATCCCGTTTCCAATGAAGGCCTCAAAAAAGTCCAAATATTTACTTGCAGATTCTACAAAAAGAGTGTTTCATAACTGGTCTAGTAAAAGAAAGGTTAAACTGAGTGAGTTGAACCCACACATCACAAAGTAGTTTCTGAGAATCATTCTGTCTAGTTCTCCTACGAAGATATAGCCTTTTCCACCATAGGCCTAAAACGGCGCTAAATATCCACCTGGAAATTCTACAAAAACTGAGTTTCAAAAGTGCTCTATTGAAAGGAAGCTTCACCACTGTGAGTTGAAGGTACACATCACAAAGAAGTTTCTGAGAATACTTCTGTCTACTTGTAAATGAAGAAATCACGTTTCAAACGAAGGCCACAAAGAGGTCCAAATATCCACTTGCAGATTCTACAAAAAGAGTGTTTCAAACTGCTCCATCAAGAGGAATGTTCAACTCTGTGCGTTGAATGCAAATATCACAAATAAGTTTCTGACAATACTTCTGTGTAGTTTTTATGTGAAGATATTTCCTTTCCTACTGTAGGCCTCAAAACTCTCTAAATATACACTTGCAAATTACACAAAAAGAGTGTTTCCAAACTGCTCTATCAAAGGAAGTTTAAACTCTGTCCGCTTAATGCAAGCATCACAAAACAGCTTCAGAGAATGAATCTGCCTAGTTTTTCTGTGAAGATATTTCTTTTTCTGTCATAGACCTCAAACCGCTGTGAAAATCTACTTGGAAATTCTACAAAAAGAGTATGTCAAAACTCTTCTATCGAAAGGAAGTTTCAACTCCATGAGGTAATTGCACATATCACAAATAATTTTCTGAGGATTCTTCTTTCAAGTTTTATATGAAGAAATCCCGTTTCCAAAGATGGCCTCAGAAAAGTCCCAATATACACTTGCAGATTCTACAAAAAGAGTTTTTCAAAACTGCTCCATCAAAAGGAAGGTTAAACTCTGTGAATTGAAGGCACACATCACAGAGTAGTTTCTGAGAATCATTCTGTCTAGTTTTTCTATGAAGATATCGCCTTCTCCACCATAGGCCTCAAACGGTGCTAAATATCCACTTGGAAATTCTACAAAAAGAGAGTTACAAGACTGCTCTATCGAAAGGAAGCTTCAACTCTGCGAGTTGAAAGCACACATCACGAAGAAGTTTATGAGAATTCTTCTGTCTACTTTTGTATGAAGCAGTCACGTTTCAGACGAAGGCCACAAAGAGGACCAAATATCCACTTGGAGATTCAACAAAAAGAGTTTTACAAAACTGCTCCATCAAGAGGAATATTCAACTCTGAGAGTTGAAGGCAGGTATCACAAAGTAGTTCCCGACAATGCTTCTGTCTAGATTTTATGTGAAGACATTCCCTTTTGTACCACAGGCCTGAAAGCACTCTATATACAGAATTGCAAATTCCACAAAAAGAGTGTTTAAAACCGCTCTATCCAAAGAAAGGTTGAACTCTGTCAGCTGAATGCGCACATCACAGAGTAGCTTCAGAGAACAATTGTGTCAAGTTTTTCTGTGAAGATATTTTCTCTTCTACATAGGCCTGAAACCGCTCTAAATATTCACTTGGAAATTCTACAAAAAGAATATTTCAACACTCTTCTATCAAAAGGAAGGTTGAACTCTGAGAGTTAAACGCACACATCACAGAGAAGTTTCTGAGAATTCTTCTGTCAAGGTTTCTATGAAGAAATCCCGTTTCCAATGAAGGCCTCAAAAAAGTCCAAATATTTACTTGCAGATTCTACAAAAAGAGTGTTTTGTAACTGGTCTATCAAAAGAAAGGTTAAACTCAGTGAGTTGAACCCACACATCACAAAGTAGTTTCTGAGAATCATTCTGTCTAGTTTTCCTATGAAGATATTGCCTTTTCTACCATAGGCCTCAAACGGCGCTAAATATCCCCCTGGAAATTCTACAAAAACTGAGTTTCAGAAGTGCTCTATTGAAAGGAAGCTTCAACTCTGTGAGTTGAAGGTACACATCACAAAGAAGTCTCTGAGAATTCTTCTGTCTAGTTGTAAATGAAGAAGTCACGTTTCACACGAAGGCCACAAAGAGGTCCAAATATCCACTTGCAGATTCTACAAAAAGAGTGTTTCAAAACGGCTCCATCAAGAGGAACGTTCAAATGTGTGCGTTGAATGCAAATATCACAAATAAGTTTCTGACAATACTTCTGTCTAGTTTTTATGTGAAGATATTTCCTTTCCTACTGTAGGCCTGAAAACGCTCTAAATATACACTTGCAAAATCCACAAAAAGAGTGTTTCAAAACTGCTCTATCAAAGGAATTTTAAACTCTGTAATCTTAATGCAAGCATCACAAAACTGCTTCGGAGAATGAATCTGCCTAGTTTTTCTGTGAAGATATTTCTTTTTCTGCCATAGACCTCACACCGCTGTAAAAATCCACTTGGAAATTCTACAAAAAGAGTATTTCAAAACTCTTCTATCGAAAGGAAGTTTCAACTCCATGAGTTAAATGCACATATCACAAATAATTTTCTGAGGATTCTTCTTTCAAGTTTTATATGAAGAAATCCCGTTTCCAAAGATAGCCTCAGAAAAGTCCCAATATACACTTGCAGATTCTACAAAAAGAGTTTTTCAAAACTGCTCTATCAAAAGAAAGGTTAAACTCTGTGAGTTGAAGGCACACATCACAAAGTAGTTTCTGAGAATGATTCGGTCTAGTTTTTCTATGAAGATATTGCCTTTTCCACCATAGGCCTCAAAAGGCGCTAAATATCCACCGGGAAATTCTACAAAAAGAGAGTTACAAAACTGCTCTATCGAAAGGAAGCTTCAACGCTGCCAGTTGAAAGCACACATCACGAAGAAGTTTATGAGAATTCTTCTGTCCAGTTTTGTATGAAGCAGTCACGTCTCAAACGAAGGCCACAAAGAGGTCCAAATATCCACTTGGAGATTCAACAAAAAGAGTTTTTCAAAACTGCTCCATCAAGAGGAATATTCAACTCTGAGAGTTGAAGGCAGGTATCACAAAGTAGTTTCCGACAATGCTTCTGTCTAGATTTTATGTGAAGACATTCCCTTTTGTACCACAGGCCTGAAAGCACTCTAAATATAAAATTGCAAATTCCACAAAAAGAGTGTTTAAAACCGCTCTATCCAAAGAAAGGTTAAACTCTGTCAGCTGAATGCGCACATCACAGACTAGCTTCAGAGAACAATTATGTCTAGTTTTTCTGTGAAGATAGTTTCTCTTCTACATAGGCCTGAGACCGCTCTAAATATTCACTTGGAAATTCTACAAAAAGAATATTTCAACACTCTTGTATCAAAAGGAATGTTGAACTCTGAGAGTTAAACGCACACATCACAGAGAAGTTTCTGAGAATTCTTCTGTCAAGGTTTATATGAGGAAACCCCGTTTCCAATGAAGGCCTCAAAAAAGTCCAAATATTTACTTGCAGATACCACAAAAAGAGTGTTTCATAACTGGTCTATCAAAAGAAAGGTGAAACTCAGTGAGTTGAACCCACACATCACAAAGTAGCTTCTGAGAATCATTCTGTCTTGTTTTTCTACGAAGATATTGCCTTTTCCACCATAGGCCTCAAACGGCGCTAAATATCCACCTGGAAATTCTACAGAAACTGAGTTTCAAAAGTGCTCTATTGAAAGGAAGCTTCAACTCTGTGAGTTGAAAGTACACATCACAAAGAAGTTTCTGAGAATTCTTCTGTCTAGTTGTAAATGAAGAAATCACGTTTCAAACGAAGGCCACAAAGAGGTCCAAATATCCACTTGCAGATTCTACAAAAAGAGTGTTTCAAAACTGCTCCATCAAGAGGAATGTTCAACTCTGTGCGTTGAATGCAAATATCACAAATAAGTTTCTGACAATACTTCTGTCTAGTTTTTATGTGAAGATATTTCCTTTCCTACTGTAGGCCTCAAAACGCTCTAAATAAACACTTGCAAACTCCACAAAAAGAGTGTTTCCAAACTGCTCTATCAAACGAAGTTTAAACTCTGTCAGCTGAATGCAAGCATCACAAAACAGCTTCGGAGAATGAATCTGCCTAGTTTTTCTGTGAAGATATTTCTTTTTCTGCCATAGACCTCAAACCGCTGTGAAAATCCACTTGGAAATCCTACAAAAAGAGTATGTCAAAACTCTTCTAGCGAAAGGAAGTTTCAACTCCATGAGTTAAATGCACATACCACAAATAATTTTCTGAGGATTCTTCTTTGAAGTTTTATATGAAGAAATCCCGTTTCCAAAGATGGCCTCAGAAAAGTCCCAATATACCCTTGCAGATTCTACAAAAAGAGTTTTTCAAAACTGCTCTATCCAAAGAAAGGTTAAACTCTGTGAGTTGAAGGCACACATCACAAAGTAGTTTCTGAGAATCATTCTGTATAGTTTTTCTATGAAGATATCGCCTTCTCCACCATAGTCCTCAAGCGGCGCTAAATATCCACTTGGAAATTCTACAAAAAGAGAGTTACAAGACTGCTCTATCGAAAGGAAGCTTCAACTCTGCGAGTGGAAAGCACACATCACGAAGAAGTTTATGAGAATTCTCCTTTCTAGTTTTGTATGAAGAAATCACGTTTCAAACGAAGGCCACAAAGAGGTCCAAATATCCACTTGGAGATTCAACAAAAAGAGTTTTTCAAAACTGCTCCATCAAGAGGAATATTCAACTCTGAGAGTTGAAGGCAGGTATCACAAAGTAGTTTCCGACAATGCTTCTGTCTAGATTTTATGTGAGGACATTCCCTTTTGTACCACAGGCCTGAAAGCACTCTAAATATAGAATTGCAAATTCCACAAAAAGAGTGTTTAAAACCACTCGATCCAAAGAAAGGTTAAACTCTGTAAGATGAATGCGCACATCACAAAGTAGCTTCAGAGAACAATTATGTCTAGTTTTTCTGTGAAGATAGATTCTCTTCTACATAGGCCTGAAACCGCTCTAAATATTCACTTGGAAATTCTACAAAAAGAATATTTCAACACTCTTCTATCAAAAGGAAGGTTGAACTCTGAGAGTTAAGCGCACACATCACAGAGAAGTTTCTGAGAATTCTTCTGTCAAGGTTTATATGAAGAAACCCCGTTTCCAAAGAAGGCCTCCAAAAAGTCCAAATATTTACTTGCCGATTCCACAAAAAGAGTGTTTCATAACTGGTCTATCAAAAGAAAGGTTAAACTCAGTGAGTTGAACCCACACATCACAAAGTAGCTTCTGAGAATCATTGTGTCTAGTTCTCCTACGAAGAATATTGCCTTTTCTACCATAGGCCTCAAACGGCGCAAAATATCCACCTGGAAATTCTACCAAAACTGAGTTTCAAAAGTGCTCTATTGAAAGGAAGCTTCACCTCTGTGAGTTGAAGGTACACATCACAAAGAAGTTTCTGAGAATTCTTCTGTCTAGTTGTAAATGAAGAAATCACGTTTCAAAAGAAGGCCACAAAGAGGTCCAAATATCCACCTGCAGATTCTACAAAAAGAGTGTTTCAAAACTGCTCCATCAAGAGGAATGTTCAACTCTGTTCGTTGAATGCAAATATCACAAGTAAGTTTCTGAGAATACTTCTGTATAGTTTTTATGTGAAGATATTTCCTTTCCTACTGTAGGCCTCAAAACGCTCTAAATATACACTTGCAAATTCCACAAAAAGAGTGTTTCCAAACTGCTCTATCAAAGGAGGTTTAAACTCTGTCCGCTTAATGCAAGCATCACAAAACAGCTTCGGAGAATGAATCTGCCTAGTTTTTCTGTGAAGATATTTCTTTTTCTGCCATAGACCTCAAACCGCTGTGAAAATCCACTTGGAAATCCTACAAAAAGAGTATGTCAAAACTCTTCTAGCGAAAGGAAGTTTCAACTCCATGAGTTAAATGCACATACCACAAATAATTTTCTGAGGATTCTTCTTTGAAGTTTTATATGAAGAAATCCCGTTTCCAAAGATGGCCTCAGAAAAGTCCCAATATACCCTTGCAGATTCTACAAAAAGAGTTTTTCAAAACTGCTCTATCCAAAGAAAGGTTAAACTCTGTGAGTTGAAGGCACACATCACAAAGTAGTTTCTGAGAATCATTCTGTCTAGTTTTTCTATGAAGATATTGCCTTTTCCACAATAGGCCTCAAACGGCGCTAAATATCCACTTGGAAATTCTACAAAAAGAGAGTTACTAAACTGCTCTATCGAAAGGAAGCTTCAACGCTGCGAGTTGAAAGCACACATCACGAAGAAGTTTATGAGAATTCTTCTGTCTACTTTTGTATGAAGCAGTCACGTTTCAAACGAAGGCCACAAAGAGGTCTAAATATCCACTTGCACATTCAACAAAAAGAGTTTTACAAAACTGCTCCATCAAGAGGAATATTCAACTCTGAGAGTTGAAGGCAGGTATCCCAAAGTAGTTCCCGACAATGCTTCTGTCTAGATTTTATGTGAAGACATTCCCTTTTGTACCACAGGCCTGAAAGCACTCTAAATATAGAATTGCAAATTCCACAGAAAGAGTGCTTAAAACCGCTCTATCCAAAGAAAGGTTAAACTCTGTCCGCTGAAGGCGCACATCACAAAGTAGCTGCAGAGAACAATTATGTCTAGTTTCTCTGTGAAGATATTTTCTCTTCTACATAGGCCTGAAACCGCTCTAAATATTCACTTGGAAACTCTAGAAAAAGAATATTTCAACACTCTTCTGTCAAAAGGAAGGTTGAACTCTGAGAGTTAAATGCACACATCACAAAGAAGTTTCTGGGAATTCTTCTGTCAAGGTTTCTATGAAGAAATCCCGTTTCCAATGAAGGCCTCAAAAAAGTCCAAATATTTACTTGCAGATTCTACAAAAAGAGTGTTTCATAACTGGTCTATCAAAACAAAGGTTAAACTCAGTGAGTTGAACCCACACATCACAAAGTAGTTTCTGAGAATCATTCTGTCTAGTTCTCCTACGAAGATATTGCCTTTTCTACCATAGGCCTCAAACGGCGCTAAATATCCACCCGGAAATTCTACCAAAACTGAGCTTCAAAAGTGCTCTATTGAAAGGAAGCTTCACCTCTGTGAGTTGAAGGTACACATCACAAAGAAGTTTCTGAGAATTCTTCTGTCTAGTTGTAAATGAAGAAATCACGTTTCAAACGAAGGCCACAAAGAGGTCCAAATATCCACCTGCAGATTCTGCAAAAAGAGGGTTTCAAAACTGCTCCATCAAGAGGAATGTTCAACTTTGTGCGTTGAATGCAAATATCACAAATAAGTTTCTGACAATACTTCTGTCTAGTTTTTATGTGAAGATATTTCCTTTCCTACTGTAGGC
This sequence comes from Homo sapiens, assembly GCF_000001405.40. Lineage (NCBI taxonomy): Eukaryota > Metazoa > Chordata > Mammalia > Primates > Hominidae > Homo > Homo sapiens. The sequence goes on along the minus strand of NC_000003.12, from coordinate 90,856,516 downwards.
CTCAAAACGCTCTAAATATACACTTGCAAATTCCACAAAGAGAGTGTTTCCAAACTGCTCTATCAAAGGAAGTTTAAACTCTGTCAGCTTAATGCAAGCATCACAAAACAGCTTCGGAGAATGAATCTGCCTAGTTTTTCTGTGAAGATATTTCTTTTTCTGCCATAGACCTCAAACCGCCGTAAAAATCCACTTGGAAATTCTACGAAAAGAGTATTTCAAAACTCTTCTATCGAAAGGAAGTCTCAACTGCATGAGTTAAATGCACATATCACAAATAATTTTCTGAGGATTCTTCTTTCAAGTTTTATAGGAAGAAATCCCGTTTCCAAAGATGGCCTCAGAAAAGTCCCAATATACACTTGCAGATTCTACAAAAAGAGTTTTTCAAAACTGCTCTATCAAAAGAAAGGTTAAACTCTGTGAGTTGAAGGCACACATCACAAAGTACTTTCTGAGAATCATTCTGTCTAGTTTTTCTATGAAGATATTGCCTTTTCCACCATAGGCCTCAAACGGCGCTAAATATCCACTTGGAAATTCTACAAACAGAGAGTTACAAGACTGCTCTATCGAAAGGAAGCTTCAACTCTGCGAGTTGCAAGCACACATCCCAAAGAAGTTTATGAGAATTCTTCTGTCTAGTTTTGTATGAAGAAGTCACGTTTCAAACGAAGGCCACAAAGAGGTCCAAATATCCACTTGGAGATTCAACAAAAAGAGTTTTTCAAAACTGCTCCATCAAGAGGAATATTCAACTCTGAGAGTTGAAGGCAGGTATCACACAGTAGTTTCCGACAATACTTCTGTCTAGATTTTATGTGAAGACATTCCCTTTTGTACCACAGGCCTGAAAGCACTCTAAATATAGAATTGCAAATTCCACAAAAAGAGTGTTTAAAACCGCTCGATCCAAAGAAAGGTTAAACTCTGTAAGCTGAATGCGCACATCACAAAGTAGCTTCAGAGAACAATTGTGTCTAGTTTTTCTGTGAAGATATTTTCTCTTCTACATAGGCCTGAAACCGCTCTAAATATTCACTTGGAAATTCTACAAAACGAATATTTCAACACTCTTCTATCAAAAGGAAGGTTGAACTCTGAGAGTTAAATGCACACATCACAAAGAAGTTTCTGAGAATTCTTCTGTCAAGGTTTCTATGAAGAAATCCCGTTTCCAATGAAGGCCTCAAAAAAGTCCAAATATTTACTTGCAGATTCTACAAAAAGAGTGTTTTATAACTGGTCTATCAACAGAAAGGTTAAACTCAGTGAGTTGAACCCACACATCACAAAGTAGTTTCTGAGAATCATTCTGTCTAGTTTTCCTACAAAGATATGGCCTTTTCTACCATAGGCCTCAAGCGGCGCTAAATATCCACCTGGAAATTCTACAAAAACTGAGATTCAAAAGTGCTCTATTGAAAGGAAGCTTCAAATCTGTGAGTTGAAGGCACACATCACAAAGAAGTTTCTGAGAATTCCTCTGTCTAGTTGTAAATGAAGAAATCACGTTTCACACGAAGGCCACAAAGAGGTCCAAATATCCACTTGCAGATTCCACAAAAAGAGTGCTTCAAAACGGCTCCATCAAGAGGAATGTTCAACTCCGTGCGTTGAATGCAAATATCACAAATAAGTTTCTGACAATACTTCTGTCTAGTTTTTAGGTGAAGATGTTTCCTTTCCTACTGTAGGCCTCAAAACGCTCTAAATATACACTTGCAAATTCCACAAAAAGAGGGTTTCAAAACTGCTCTATCAAAGGAAGTTTAAACTCTGTCAGCTGAATGCAAGCATCACAAAACAGCTTCGGAGAATGAATCTGCCTAGTTTTTCTGTGAAGATATTCCTTTTTCTGCCATAGACCTCAAACCGCTGTAAAAATCCACTTGGAAATTCTACAAAAAGAGTGTTTCAAAACTCTTCTATCGAAAGGAAATCTCAACTCCATGAGTTAAATGCAGATATCACAAATAATTTTCTGAGGATTCTTCTTTCAAGTTTTATATGAAGAAATCCCGTTTCCAAAGATGGCCTCAGAAAAGTCCCAATATACACTTGCAGATTCTACAAAAAGAGTTTTTCAAAACTGCTCTATCAAAAGAAAGTTAAACTCTGTGAGTTGAAGGCACACATCACAAAGTAGTTTCTGAGAATCATTCTGTCTAGTTTGTCTATGAAGATATTGCCTTTTCCATCATAGGCCTCAAACGGCGCTAAATATCCACTTGGAAATTCTACAAAAAGAGAGTTACAAAACTGCTCTATCGAAAGGAAGCTTCAACGCTGCGAGTTGAAAGCACACATCACGAAGAAGTTTATGAGAATTCTTCTGTCTACTTTTGTATGAAGCAGTCACGTCTCAAACGAAGGCCACAAAGAGGTCCAAATATCCACTTGGAGATTCAACAAAAAGAGTCTTTCAAAACTGCTCCATCAAGAGGAATATTCAACTCTGAGAGTTGAAGGCAGGTATCACAAAGTAGTTTCCGACAATGCTTCTGTCTAGATTTTATGTGAAGACATTCCCTTTTGTACCACAGGCCTGAAAGCACTCTAAATATAGAATTGCAAATTCCACAAAAAGAGTGTTTAAAACCGCTCGATCCAAAGAAAGGTTAATCTCTGTAAGCTGAATGCACACATCACAAAGTAGCTTCAGAGAACAATTATGTCTAGTTTTTCTGTGAAGATATTTTCTCTTCTACATAGGCCTGAAACCGCTCTAAATATTCACTTGGAAATTCTACAAAAAGAATATTTCATCCCTCTTCTATCAAAAGGAAGGTTGAACTCTGAGAGTTAAATGCACACATCACAGAGAAGTTTCTGGGAATTCTTTTGTCAAGGTTTATATGAAGAAACCCCGTTTCCAATGAAGGCCTCAAAAAAGTCCAAATATTTACTTGCAGATTCCACAAAAAGAGTGTTTCATAACTGGTCTATCAAAAGAAAGGTTAAACTCAGTGAGTTGAACCCACACATCACAAAGTAGCTTCTGAGAATCATTCTGTCTAGTTCTCCTACGAAGATATTGCCTTTTCTACCATACGCCTCAAACGGCGCTAAATATCCACCTGGAAATTCTACCAAAACTGAGCTTCAAAAGTGCTCTATTGAAAGGAAGCTTCAACTCTGTGAGTTGTAGGTACACATCACAAAGAAGTTTCTGAGAATTCTTCTGTCTAGTTGTAAATGAAGAAATCACGTTTCACATGAAGGCCACAAAGAGGTCCAAATATCCACTTGCAGATTCCACAAAAAGACTGCTTCAAAACGGCTCCATCAAGAGGAATGTTCAACTCCGTGCGTTGAATGCAAATATCACAAATAAGTTTCTGACAATACTTCCGTCTAGTTTTTATGTGAAGATATTTCCTTTCCTACTGTAGGCCTCAAAACGCTCTAAAGAGACACTTGCAAATTCCACAAAAAGAGGGTTTCAAAACTGCTCTATCAAAGTAAGTTTAAACTCTGTAAGCTGAATGCAAGCATCACAAAACAGCTTCGGAGAATGAATCTGCCTAGTTTTTCTGTGAAGATATTTCTTTTTCTGCCATAGACCTCAAACCGCTGTGAAAATCCACTTGGAAATCCTACAAAAACAGTATGTCAAAACTCTTCTAGCGAAAGGAAGTTTCAACTCCATGAGTTAAATGCACATACCACAAATAATTTTCTGAGGATTCTTCTTTCAAGTTTTATATGAAGAAATCCCGTTTCCAAAGATGGCCTCAGAAAAGTCCCAATATACACTTGCAGATTCTACAAAAAGAGTTTTTCAAAACTGCTCTATCAAAAGAAAGGTTAAACTCAGTGAGTTGAAGGCACACATCACAAAGTAGTTTCTGAGAATCATTCTGTCTAGTTTTTCTATGAAGATATCGCCTTCTCCACCATAGTCCTCAAGCGGCGCTAAATATCCACTTGGAAATTCTACAAAAAGAGAGTTACAAGACTGCTCTATCGAAAGGAAGCTTCAACTCTGCGAGTTGAAAGCACACATCACGAAGAAGTTTATGAGAATTCTTCTCTCTAGTTTTGTATGAAGAAGTCACGTCTCAAACGAAGGTCACAAAGACGTCCAAATATCCACTTGGAGATTCAACAAAAAGAGTTTTTCAAAACTGCTCCATCAAGAGGAATATTCAACTCTGAGAGTTGAAGGCAGTTATCACAAAGTAGTTTCCGACAATGCTTCTGTCTAGATTTTATGTGAGGACATTCCCTTTTGTACCACAGGCCTGAAAGCACTCTAAATATAGAATTGCAAATTCCACAAAAAGAGTGTTTAAAACCGCTCTATCCAAAGAAAGGTTAAACTCTGTAAGATGAATGCGCACATCACAAAGTAGCTTCAGAGAACAATTATGTCTAGTTTCTCTGTGAAGAAATTTTCTCTTCTACATAGGCCTGAAACCGCTCTAAATATTCACTTGGAAATTCTAGAAAAATAATATTTCAACACTCTTCTATCAAAAGGAAGGTTGAACTCTGAGAGGTCAATGCACACATCACAAAGTAGTGTCTGAGAATCATTCTGTCAAGGTTTATATGAGGAAACCCCGTTTCCAATGAAGGCCTTAAAAAAGTCCAAATATTTACTTGCAGATTCCACAAAAAGAGTGTTTCATAACTGGTCTATCAAAAGAAAGGTGAAACTCAGTGAGTTGAACCCACACATCACAAAGTAGCTTCTGAGAATCATTGTGTCTAGTTCTCCTACGAAGATATTGCCTTTTCTACCATAGGCCACAAACGGCGCTAAATATCCACCTGGAAATTCTACCAAAACTGAGCTTCAAAAGTGCTCTATTGAAAGGAAGCTTCACCTCTGTGAGTTGAAGGTACACATCACAAAGAAGTTTCTGAGAATTCTTCTGTCTAGTTGTAAATGAAGAAATCACGTTTCAAACGAAGGCCACAAAGAGGTCCAAATATCCACCTGCAGATTCTTGCAAAAAGAGGGTTTCAAAACTGCTCCATCAAGAGGAATGTTCAACTCTGTGCGTTGAATGCAAATATCACAAATAAGTTTCTGACAATACTTCTGTCTAGTTTTTAAGTGAAGATATTTCCTTTCCTACTGTAGGCCTCAAAACGCTCTAAATATACACTTGCAAATTCCACAAAAAGAGTGTTTCCAAACTGCTCTATCAAAGGAAGTTTAAACTCTGTCAGCTTAATGCAAGCATCACAAAACAGCTTCGGAGAATGAATCTGCCTAGTTTTTCTGTGAAGATATTTCTTTTGCTGCCATAGACCTCAAACCGCTGTAAAAATCCACTTGGAAATTCTACAAAAAGAGTATTTCAAAACTCTTCTATCGAAAGGAAGTTTCAACTCCATGAGTTAAATGCACAGATCACAAATAATTTTCTGAGGATTCTTCCTTCAAGTTTTATATGAAGAAATCCCGTTTCCAAAGATGGCCTCAGAAAAGTCCCAATATACACTTGCAGATTCTACAAAAAGAGTTTTTCAAAACTGCTCTACCAAAAGGAAGGTTAAACTCTGTGAGTTGAAGGCACACATCACAAAGTAGTTTCTGAGAATCATTCTGTCTAGTTTTTCTATGAAGATATTGCCTTTTCCACCATAGGCCTCAAACGGCGCTAAATATCCACTTGGAAATTCTACAAAAAGAGAGTTACTAAACTGCTCTATCGAAAGGAAGCTTCAACGCTGCGAGTTGAAAGCACACATCACGAAGAAGTTTATGAGAATTCTTCTGTCTACTTTTGTATGAAGCAGTCACGTTTCAAACGAAGGCCACAAAGAGGTCCAAATATCCACTTGGAGATTCAACAAAAAGAGTTTTTCAAAACTGCTCCATCAAGACGAATATTCAAATCTGAGAGTTGAAGGCAGGTATCACAAAGTAGTTCCCGACAATGCTTCTGTCTAGATTTTATGTGAAGACATTCCCTTTTGTACCACAGGCCTGAAAGCACTCTAAATATAGAATTGCAAATTCCACAAAAAGAGTGTTTCCAAACTGCTCTATCAAAGGAAGTTTAAACTCTGTCAGCTTAATGCAAGCATCACTAAACAGCTTCGGAGAATGAATCTGCCTGGTTTTTCTGTGAAGATATTCCATTTTCTGCCATAGACCTCAAACCGCTGTAAAAATCCACTTGGAAATTCTACAAAAAGAGTATTTCAAAACTCTTCTATCGAAAGGAAGTCTGAACTCCATGAGTTAAATGCACATATCACAAATAATTTTCTGAGGATTCTTCTTTCAAGTTTTATATGAAGAAATCCCGTTTCCAAAGATGGCCTCAGAAAAGTCCCAATAAACACTTGCAGATTTTACAAAAAGAGTTTTCCAAAACTGCTCTATCAAAAGAAAGGTTAAACACTGTGAGTTGAAGGCACACATCACAAAGTAGTTTCTGAGAATCATTCTGTCTAGTTTTTCTATGAAGATATTGCCTTTTCCACCATAGGCCTCAAACGGCGCTAAATATCCACTTGGAAATTCTACAAAAAGAGAGTTACTAAACTGCTCTATCGAAAGGAAGCTTCAACGCTGCGAGTTGAAAGCACACATCACGAAGTAGTTTATGAGAATTCTTCTGTCTACTTTTGTATGAAGCAGTCACGTTTCAAACGAAGGCCACAAAGAGGTCCAAATATCCACTTGGAGATTCAACAAAAAGAGTTTTTCAAAACTGCTCCGTCAAGAGGAATATTCAACTCTGAGAGTTGAAGGCTGGTATCACAAAGTAGTTCCCGACAATGCTTCTGTCTAGATTTTATGTGAAGACATTCCCTTTTGTACCACAGGCCTGAAAGCACTCTAAATATAGAATTGCAAATTCCACAAAAAGAGTGTTTAAAACCGCTCTATCCAAAGAAAGGTTAAACTCTGTCAGCTGAATGCGCACATCACAGAGCAGCTTCAGAGAACAATTATGTCTAGTTTTTCTGTGAAGATAGTTTCTCTTCTACATAGGCCTGAAACCGCTCTAAATATTCACTTGGAAATTCTGCAAAAAGAATATTTCAACACTCTTCTATCAAAAGGAAGGTTGAACTCTGAGAGTTAAACGCACACATCACAGAGAAGTTTCTGAGAATTCTTCTGTCAAGGTTTATATGAAGAAACCCCGTTTCCAATGAAGGCCTCAAAAAAGTCTAAATATTTATTGCAGTTTCCACAGAAAGAGTGTTTCATAACTGGTCTATCAAAAGAAAGGTTAAACTCAGTGAGTTGAACCCACACATGACAAAGTAGCTTCTGAGAATCATTCTGTCTAGTTCTCCTACGAAGATATTGCCTTTTCTACCATAGGCCTCAAACGGCGCTAAATATCCACCTGGAAATTCTACCAAAACTGAGTTTCAAAAGTGCTCTATTGAAAGGAAGCTTCACCTCTGTGGGTTGAAGGTACACATCACAAAGAAGTTTCTGAGAATTCTTCTGTCTAGTTGTAAATGCAGAAATCACGTTTCAAACGAAGGCCACAAAGAGGTCCAAATATCCAGCTGCAGATTCTGCAAAAAGAGGGTTTCAAATCTGCTCCATCAAGAGGAATGTTCAACTCTGTGCGTTGAATGCAAATATCACAAATAAGTTTCTGACAATACTTCTGTCTAGTTTATATATGAAGATATTTCCTTTCCTACTGTAGGCCTCAAAACGCTCTAAATATACACTTGCAAATTCCACAAAAAGAGTGTTTCCAAACTGCTCTATCAAAGGAAGTTTAAACTCTGTCAGCTGAATGCAAGCATCACAAAACAGCTTCGGAGAATGAATCTGCCTAGTTTTTCTGTGAAGATATTTCTTTTTCTGCCATAGACCTGAAACCGCTGTAAAAATCCACTTGGAAATTCTACAAAAAGAGTATTTCAAAACTCTTCTATCGAAAGGAAGTCTCAACTCCATGAGTTAAATGCACATATCACAAATAATTTTCTGAGGATTCTCTTTCAAGTTTTATATGAAGAAATCCCGTTTCCAAAGTTGGCCTCAGAAAACTCCCAATATACACTTGCAGATTCTACAAAAAGAGTTTTTCAAAACTGCTCTATCAAAAGGAAGGTTAAACTCTGTGAGTTGAAGGCACACATCACAGAGTAGTTTCTGAGAATCATTCTGACTAGTTTTTCTATGAAGATATTGCCTTTTCCACCATAGGCCTCAAACGGCGCTAAATATCCACTTGGAAATTCTACAAAAAGAGAGTTACTAAACTGCTCTATCGAAAGGAAGCTTCAACGCTGCGACTTGAAAGCACACATCACGAAGAAGTTTATCAGAATTCTTCTGTCTACTTTTGTATGAAGCAGTCACGTTTCAAACGAAGGCCACGAAGAGGTCCAAATATCCACATGGAGATTCAACAAAAAGAGTTTTACAAAACTGCTCCATCAAGAGGAATATTCAACTCTGAGAGTTGAAGGCAGGTATCACAAAGTAGTTCCCGACAATGCTTCTGTCTAGATTTTATGTGAGGACATTCCCTTTTGTACCACAGGCCTGAAAGCACTCTAAATATAGAATTGCAAATTCCACAAAAAGAGTGTTTAAAACCGCTCGATCCAAAGAAAGGTTAAACTCTGTAAGCTGAATGAGCACATCACAAAGTAGCTTCAGAGAACAATTATGTCTAGTTTTTCTGTGAAGATAGTTTCTCTTCTACATAGGCCTGAAACCGCTCTAAATATTCACTTGGAAATTCTACAAAAAGAATATTTCAACACTCTTCTATCAAAAGGAAGGTTGAACTCTAAGAGTTAAACGCACACATCACAGAGAAGTTTCTGAGAATTCTTCTGTCAAGGTTTATATGAAGATACCGCGTTTCCAATGAAGGCCTCCAAAAAGTCCAAATATTTACTTGCCGATTCCACAAAAAGTGTGTTTCATAACTGGTCTATCAAAAGAAAGGTTAAACTCAGTGAGTTGAACCCACACATCACAAAGTAGCTTCTGGGAATCATTCTGTCTAGTTCTCCTACGAAGATATTGCCTTTTCTACCATAGGCCTCAAACGGCGCTAAATATCCACCTGGAAATTCTACCAAAACTGAGCTTCAAAAGTGCTCTATTGAAAGGAAGTTTCACCTCTGTGAGTTGAAGGTACACATCACAAAGAAGTTTCTGAGAATTCTTCTGTCTAGTTGTAAATGAAGAAATCACGTTTCAAACGAAGGCCACAAAGAGGTCCAAATATCCACGTGCAGATTCTGCAAAAAGAGGGTTTGAAAACTGCTCCATCAAGAGGAATGTTCAACTCTGTGCGTTGAATGCAAATATCACAAGTAAGTTTCTGACAATACTTCTGTCTAGTTTTTATGTGAAGTTATTTCCTTTCCTACTGTAGGCCTCAAAACGCTCTAAATATACACTTGCAAATTCCACAAAAAGAGTGTTTCCAAACTGCTCTATCAAAGGAAGTTTAAACTCTGTCAGCTTAATGCAAGCATCACGAAACAGCTTCGGAGAATGAATCTGCCTAGTTTTTCTGTGAAGATATTTCTTTTTCTGCCATAGACCTCAAACCGCTGGGAAAATCCACTTGGAAATTCTACAAAAAGAGTATTTCAAAACTCTTGTGTCGAAAGGAAGTTTCAACTCCATGAGTTAAATGCACATATCAAAAATAATTTTCTGAGGATTCTTCTTTGAAGTTTTATATGAAGAAATCCCGTTTCCAAAGATGGCCTCAGATAAGTCCAAATATACACTTGCAGATTCTACAAAAAGAGCTTTTCAAAACTGCTCTACCAAAAGAAAGTTTAAACTCTGTGAGTTGAAGGCACACATGACAAAGCAGTTCCTGAGAATCATTCTGTCTAGTTTTTCTATGAAGATATTGCCTTTTCCACCATAGGCCTCAAACGGCGCTAAATATCCACTTGGAAATTCTACAAAAAGAGAGTTACAAAACTGCTCTATCGAAAGGAAGCTGCAACTCTGCGAGTTGAAAGCACACATCGCGAAGAAGTTGATGAGAATTCTTCTGTCTAGTTTTGTATGAAGAAGTCACGTCTCAAACGAAGGCCACAAAGAGGTCCAAATATCCACTTGGAGATTCCACAAAAAGCGTTTTTCAAAACTGCTCCGTCAAGAGGAATATTCAACTCTGAGAGTTGAAGGCAGGTATCACAAAGTAGTTTCCGACAACGCTTCTGTCTAGATTTTATGTGAAGACATTCCCTTTTGTACCACAGGCCTGAAAGCACTCTAAATATAGAATTGCAAATTCCACAAAAAGAGTGTTTAAAACCGCTCTATCCAAAGAAAGGTTAAACTCTGTCAGCTGAAGGCGCCCATCACAAAGTAGCTTCAGAGAACAATTATGTCTAGTTTCTCTGTGAAGATATTTTCTCTTCTACATAGGCTTGAAACCGCTCTAAATATTCACTTGGAAATTCTACAAAAAGAATATTTCAACACTCTTCTATCAAAAGGAAGGTTGAACTCTGAGAGTTAAATGCACACATCACAAAGAAGTTTCTGGGGATTCTTCTGTCAAGGTTTCTATGAAGAAATCCCGTTTCCAATGAAGGCCTCAAAAAAGTCCAAATATTTACTTGCAGATTCTACAAAAAGAGTGTTTCATAACTGGTCTATCAAAAGAAAGGTTAAACTCAGTGAGTTGAACCCACACATCACAAAGTAGTTTCTGAGAATCATTCTGTCTAGTTCTCCTACGAAGATATTGCCTTTTCTACCATAGGCCTCAAACGGCGCAAAACATCCACCTGGAAATTCTACCAAAACTGAGTTTCAAAAGTGCTCTATTGAAAGGAAGCTTCACCTCTGTGAGTTGAAGGTACACATCACTAAGAAGTTTCTGAGAATTCTTCTGTCTAGTTCTAAATGAAGAAATCACGTTTCAAACGAAGGCCACAAAGAGGTCCAAATATCCACCTGCAGATTCTACAAAAAGAGGGTTTCAAAACTGCTCCATCAAGAGGAATGTTCAACTCTGTGCGTTGAATGCAAATATCACAAATCAGTTTCTGACAATACTTCTGTCTAGTATTTTGTGAAGATATTTCCTTTCCTACTGTAGGCCTCAAAACGCTCTAAATATACACTTGCAAATTCCACAAATGAGTGTTTCCAAACTGCTCTCTCAAAGGAAGTTTAAACTCTGTCAGCTTAATGCAAGCATCACAAAACAGCTTCGGAGAATGAATCTGCCTAGTTTTTCTGTGAAGATATTCCTTTTGCAGCCATAGACCTCAAACCGTTGTAAAAATCCACTTGGAAATTCTACAAAAAGAGTATTTCAAAACTCTTCTATCGAAAGGAAGTTTCAACTCCATGAGTTAAATGCACATATCACAAATAATTTTCTGAGGATTCTTCTTTCAAGTTTTATATGAAGAAATCCCGTTTCCAAAGTTGGCCTCAGAAAAGTCCCAATATACACTTGCAGATTCTACAAAAAGAGTTTTTCAAAACTGCTCTATCAAAAGGAAGGTTAAACTCTGTGAGTTGAAGGCACACATCACAGAGTAGTTTCTGAGAATCATTCCGTCTAGTTTTTCTAGGGAGATATCGCCTTTTCCACCATAGGCCTCAAATGGTGCTAAATATCCACTTGGAAATTCTACAAAAAGAGAGTTACAAGACTGCTCTATCGAAAGGAAGCTTCAACTCTGCGAGTTGAAAGCACGCATCACGAAGAAGTTTATGAGAATTCTTCTGTCTACTTTTGTATGAAGCAGTCACGTTTCAAACGAAGGCCACAAAGAGGTCCAAATATCCACTTGGAGATTCAACAAAAAGAGTTTTTCAAAACTGCTCCATCAAGAGGAATATTCAACTCTGAGAGTTGAAGGCAAGTATCTCAAAGTAGTTCCCGACAATGCTTCTGTCTAGATTTTATGTGAAGACATTCCCTTTTGTACCACAGGCCTGAAAGCACTCTAAATACAGAATTGCAAATTCCACAAAAAGAGGGTTTAAAACCGCTCTATCCAAAGAAAGGTTAAACTCTGTCAGCTGAATGCGCACATCACAGAGTAGCTTCAGAGAACAATTATGTCTAGTTTTTCCGTGAAGATAATTTCTCTTCCACATAGGCCTGAGACCGCTCTAAATATTCACTTGGAAATTCTGCAAAAAGAATATTTCAACACTCTTCTATCAAAAGGAAGGTTGAACTCTGAGAGTTAAACGCACACATCACAGAGAAATTTCTGAGAATTCTTCTGTCAAGGTTTATATGAAGAAACCCCGTTTCCAATGAAGGCCTCAAAAAAGTCCAAAGATTTACTTGCAGATTCTACAAAAAGAGTGTTTCATAAACTGGTCTATCAAAAGAAAGGTTAATCTCAGTGAGTTGAACCCACACATCACAAAGTAGCTTCTGAGAATCATTGTGTCTAGTTCTCCTACGAAGATATTGCCTTTTCTACCATAGGCCTCAAACGGCGAAAAATATCCACCTGGAAATTCTACCAAAACTGAGTTTCAAAAGTGCTCTATTGAAAGGAAGCTTCACCTCTGTGAGTTGAAGGTACACATCACAAAGGAGTTTCTGAGAATTCTTCTGTCTAGTTGTAAATGAAGAAATCACGTTTCAAAAGAAGGCCACAAAGAGGTCCAAATATCCACCTGCAGATTCTACAAAAAGAGTGTTTCAAAACTGCTCCATCAAGAGCAATGTTCAACTCTGTGCGTTGAATGCAAATATCACAAGTAAGTTTCTGAGAATACTTCTGTCTAGTTTTTATTTGAAGATATTTCCTTTCCTACTGTAGGCCTCAAAACGCTCTAAAGAGACACTTGCAAATTCCACAAAAAGAGGGTTTCAAAACTGCTCTATCAAAGGAAGTTTAAACTCTGTAAGCTGAATGCAAGCATCACAAACAGCTTCGGAGAATGAATCTGCGTAGTTTTTCTGTGAAGATATTTCTTTTTCTGCCATAGACCTCAAACGGCTGTGAAAATCCACTTGGAAATTCTACAAAAAGAGTATTTAAAAACTCTTCTGTTGAAAGGAAGTTTCAACTCCATGAGTTAAATGCACATATCAAAAATAATTTTCTGAGGATTCTTCTTTGAAGTTTTATATGAAGAAATCCCGTTTCCAAAGATGGCCTCAGATAAGTCCCAATATACACTTGCAGATTCTACAAAATGAGCTTTTCAAAACTGCTCTACCAAAAGAAAGTTTAAGCTCTGTGAGTTGAAGGCACACATGACAAAGCAGTTTCTGAGAATCATTCTGTCTAGTTTTTCTATGAAGATATTGCCTTTTCCACCATTGGCCTCAAACGGCGCTAAATATCCACTTGGAAATTGTACAAAAAGAGAGTTACAGAACTGCTCTATCGAAAGGAAGCTTCAACGACTGCTGAGTTGAAAGCACACATCACGAAGAAGTTGATGAGAATTCTTCTGTCTAATTTGTATGAAGAAGTCACGTCTCAAACGAAGGCCACAAAGAGGTCCAAATATCCACTTGGAGATTCAACAAAAAGAGTTTTTCAAAACTGCTCCATCAAGAGGAACATTCAACTCTGAGAGTTGAAGGCAGGTATCACAAAGTAGTTCCCGACAATGCTTCTGTCTAGATTTTAAGTGAGGACATTCCCTTTTGTACCACAGGCCTGAAAGCACTCTAAATATAGAATTGCAAATTCCACAAAAAGAGTGTTTAAAACCGCTCGATCCAAAGAAAGGTTAAACTCTGTAAGCTGAATGCGCACATCACAAAGTAGCTTCAGAGAACAATTATGTCTAGTTTTTCTGTGACGATATTTTCTCTTCTACTTAGGCCTGAAACCGCTCTAAATATTCACTTGGAAATTCTACAGAAAGAATACTTCAACACTCTTCTATCAAAATGAAGGTTGAACTCTGAGAGTTAAATGCACACATCACAGAGAAGTTTCTGGGAATTCTTCTGTCAAGGTTTATATGAAGAGATCCCGTTTCCAATGAAGGCCTCAAAAAAGTCCAAATATTTACTTGCAGATTCTACAAAAAGAGTGTTTCATAACTGGTCTATCAAAAGAAAGGTTAAACTCCGTGAGTTGAACGCACACATCACAAAGTTGTTTCTGAGAATCATTGTGTCTAGTTCTCCTACGAAGATATTGCCTTTTCTACCTTAGGCCTCAAACGGCGCTAAATATCCACCTGGAAATTCTACCAAAGCTGAGCTTCAAAAGTGCTCTATTGAAAGGAAGCTTCACCTCTGTGAGTTGAAGGTACACATCACAAAGAAGTTTCTGAGAATTCTTCTGTCGAGTTGTAAATGAAGAAATCACGTTTCAAACGATGGCCACAAAGAGGTCCAAATATCCACCTGCAGATTCTGCAAAAAGAGGGTTTCAAAACTGCTCCATCAAGAGGAATGTTCAACTCTGTGCGTTGAATGCAAATATCACAAATAAGTTTCTGACAATACTTCTGTGTAGTTTTTATGTGAAGATATTTCCTTTCCTACTGTAGGCCTCAAAACGCTCTAAATATACACTTGCAAATTCCACAAAAAGAGTGTTTCCAAACTGCTCTATCAAAGGAAGTTTAAACTCTGTCAGCTTAATGCAAGCATCACAAAACAGCTTCAGAGAATGAATCTGCCTAGTTTTCCTGTGAAGATATTTCTTTTTCTGCCATAGACCTCAAACCGCTGTAAAAATCCACTTGGAAATTCTACAAAAAGAGTATTTCAAAACTCTTCTATCGAAAGGAAGTCTCAACTCCATGAGTTAAATGCACATATCACAAATAATTTTCTGAGGATTCTTCTTTCAAGTTTTATATGAAGAAATCCCGTTTCCAAAGATGGCCTCAGAAAAGTCCCAATATACACTTGCAGATTCTACAAAAAGAGTTTTTCAAAACTGCTCTATCAAAAGAAAGCTTAAACTTTGTGAGTTGAAGGCACACATCACAAAGTAGTTTCTGAGAATCATTCTGTCTAGTTTCTCTATGAAGATATTGCCTTTTCCACCATAGGCCTCAAACGGCGCTAAATATCCACTTGGAAATTCTACAAAAAGAGGGTTACAAAACTGCTCTATCGAAAGGAAGCTTCAACTCTGCGAGTTGAAAGCACACATCACGAAGAAGTTTATGAGAATTCTTCTGTCTACTTTTGTATGAAGCAGTCACGTTTCAAACGAAGGCCACAAAGAGGTCCAAATACCCACGTGGAGATTCAACAAAAAGAGTTTTTCAAAACTGCTCCATCAAGAGGAACATTCAACTCTGAGAGTTGAAGGCAGGTATCACCAAGTCGTTTCCGACAATGCTTCTATCTAGATTTTATGTGAAGACATTCCCTTTTGTACCACAGGCCTGCAAGCACTCTAATTATAGAATTGCAAATTCCACAAAAAGAGTGTTTAAAACCGCTCTATCCAAAGAAAGGTTAAACTCTGTCAGCTGAATGCGCACATCACAGAGTAGCTTCAGAGAACAATTATGTCTAGTTTTTCTGTGAAGATATTTTCTCTTCTACATAGGCCTGAAACCGCTCTAAATATTCACTTGGAAATTCTACAAAAAGAATATTTCAACCCTCTTCTATCAAAAGGAAGGTTGAAATCTGAGAGTTAAATGCACACATCACAGAGAAGTTTCTGGGAATTCTTCTGTCAAGGTTTATATGAAGAAATCCCGTTTCCAATGAAGGCCTCAAAAAAGTCCAAATATTTACTTGCAGATTCTACAAAAAGAGTGTTTCATAACTGGTCTATCAAAAGAAAGGTTAAACTCCGTGAGTTGAACGCACACATCACAAAGTTGTTTCTGAGAATCATTCTGTCTAGTTTTTCTACGAAGATATTGCCTTTTCCACCATAGGCCTCAAACGGCGCTAAATATCCACCTGGAAATTCTACAGAAACTGAGTTTCAAAAGTGTTCTATTGAAAGGAAGCTTCAACTCTGTGAGTTGAAAGTACACATCACAAAGAAGTTTCTGAGAATTCTTCTGTCTAGTTGTAAATGAAGAAATCACGTTTCCCACGAAGGCCACAAAGAGGTCCAAATATCCACTTGCAGATTCCACAAAAAGAGTGCTGCAAAACGGCTCCATCAAGAGGAATGTTCAACTCCGTGCGTTGAATGCAAATATCACAAATAAGTTTCTGACAATACTTCTGTCTAGTTTTTATGTGAAGATATTTCCTTTCCTACTGTAGGCCTCAAAACGCTCTAAATATACACTTGCAAATTCCACAAAAAGAGTGTTTCAAAACTGCTCTCTCAAAGGAAGTTTAAACTCTGTCAGCTTAATGCAAGCATCACAAAACAGCTTCGGAGAATGAATCTGCCTAGTTTTTCTGTGAAGATATTTCTTTTTCAGCCATAGACCTCAAACCGGGTTAAAAATCCACTTGGAAATTCTACAAAAAGAGTATTTCAAAACTCTTCTATCGAAAGGAAGTTTCAACTCCATGAGTTAAATGCACATATCAGAAATAATTTTCTGAGGATTCTTCTTTCAAGTTTTATATGAAGAAATCCCGTTTCCAAAGTATGGCCTCAGAAAAGTCCCAATATACACTTGCAGATTCTACAAAAAGAGTTTTTCAAAACTGCTCTATCAAAAGGAAGGTTAAACTCTGTGAGTTTAAGGCACACATCACAGAGTAGTTTCTGAGAATCATTCTGTCTAGTTTTTCTATGAAGATATCGCCTTCTCCACCATAGGCCTCAAACGGCGCTAAATATCCACTTGGAAATTCTACAAAAAGAGAGTTACAAGACTGCTCTATCGAAAGGAAGCTTCAACTCTGCGAGTGGAAAGCACACATCACGAAGAAGTTTATGAGAATTCTTCTGTCTACTTTTGTATGAAGCAGTCACGTTTCAAACGAAGGCCACAAAGAGGTCCAAATATCCACTTGGAGATTCAACAAAAAGAGTTTTACAAAACTGCTCCATCAAGAGGATTATTCAACTCTGAGAGATGAAGGCAGGTATCACCAAGTAGTTTCCGACAATGCTTCTGTCTAGATTTTATGTGAGGACATTCCCTTTTGTACCACAGGCCTGAAAGCACTCTAAATATAGAATTGCAAATTCCTCAAAAAGAGTGTTTAAAACCGCTCCATCCAAAGAAAGGTTAAACTCTGTAAGCCGAATGCGCACATCACAAAGTAGCTTCAGAGAGCAATTATGTCTAGTTTTTCTGTGAAGATAGTTTCTCTTCTACATAGGCCTGAAACCGCTCTAAATATTCACTTGGAAATTCTACAGAAAGAATACTATAACAATCTTCTATCAAAAGGAAGGTTGAACTCTGAGAGTTAAATGCACACACCACAGAGAAGTTTACTGGGAATTCTTCTGTCAAGGTTTCTATGGAGAAATCCCGTTTCCAATGAAGGCCTCAAAAAAGTCCAAATATTTACTTGCAGATTCTACAAAAAGAGTGTTTCATAACTGGTCTATCAAAAGAAAGGTTAAACTCAGTGAGGTGAACCCACACATCACAAAGTAGTTTCTGAGAATCATTCTGTCTAGTTTTTCTACGAAGATATTGCCTTTTCCACCATAGGCCTCAAACGGCGCAAAATATCCACCTGGAAATTCTACAGAAACTGAGTTTCAAAAGTGCTCTATTGAAAGGAAGCTTCAACTCTGTGAGTTGAAAGTACACATCACAAAGAAGTTTCTGAGAATTCTTCTGTCTAGTTGTAAATGAAGAAATCACGTTTCCCACGAAGGCCACAAAGAGGTCCAAATATCCACTTGCAGAATCCACAAAAAGAGTGCTTCAAAACGGCTCCATCAAGAGGAATGTTCAACTCCGTGCGTTGAATGCAAATATCACAAATAAGTTTCTGACAATACTTCTGTCTAGTTTTTAGGTGAAGATATTTCCTTTCCTACTGTAGGCCTCAAAACGCTCTAAATATACACTTGCAAATTCCACAAAAAGAGTGTTTCCAAACTGCTCTCTCAAAGGAAGTTTAAACTCTGTCAGCTGAATGCGAGCATCACAAAACAGCTTCGGAGAATGAATCTGTCTAGTTTTTCTGTGAAGATATTTCTTTTTCTGCCATAGACCTCAAACCACTGTAAAAATCCACTTGGAAATTCTACAAAAACAGTATTTCAAAGCTCTTCTATCGAAAGGAAGTTTCAGCTCCATGAGTTAAATGCACATATCACAAATAATTTTCTGAGGATTCTTCTTTGAAGTTTTATATGAAGAAATCCCGTTTCCAAAGATGGCCTCAGATAAGTCCCAATATACACTTGCAGATTCTACAAAAAGAGTTTTTCAAAACTGTTCTATCAAAAGAAAGGTTAAACTCTGTGAGTTGAAGGCACACATCACAAAGTAGTTTCTGAGAATCATTCCGTCTAGTTTTTCTATGAAGATATCGCCTTCTCCACCATAGGCCTCAAGCGGCGCTAAATATCCACTTGGAAATTCTACAAAAAGAGAGTTACAAGACTGCTCTATCGAAAGGAAGCTTCAACTCTGCGAGTTGAAAGCACACATCACGAAGAAGTTTATGAGAATTCTTCTGTCTAGTTTTGTATGAAGAAGTCACGTCTCAAACGAAGGCCACAAAGAGGTCCAAATATCCACTTGGAGATTCCACAAAAAGAGTTTTTCAAAACTGCTCCGTCAAGAGGAATATTCAACTCTGAGAGTTGAGGGCAGGTATCACAAACTAGTTTCCGACAACGCTTCTGTCTAGATTTTATGTGAGGACATTCCCTTTTGTACCACAGGCCTGAAAGCACTCTAAATATAGAATTGCAAATTCCACAAAAAGAGTGTTTAAAACCGCTCGATCCAAAGAAAGGTTAAACTCTGTAAGCTGAATGCGCACATCACAAAGTAGCTTCAGAGAACAGTTATGTCTAGTTTTTCTGTGAAGATATTTTCTCTTCTACTTAGGCCTGAAACCGCTCTAAATATTCACTTGGAAATTCTACAAAAAGAAAATTTCAACCCTCTTCTATCAAAAGGAAGGTTGAACTCTGAGAGTTAAATGCACACATCACAGAGAAGTTTCTGGGAATTCTTCTGTCAAGGTTTATATGAAGAAACCCCGTTTCCAATGAAGACCTCAAAAAAGTCCAAAAATTTACTTGCAGATTCCACAAAAAGAGTGTTTCATAACTGGTCTATCAAAAGAAAGGTTAAACTCAGTGAGTTGAACCCACACATCACAAAGTAGCTTCTGAGAATCATTGTGTCTAGTTCTCCTACGAAGATATTGCCTTTTCTACCATAGGCCTCAAACGGCGCTAAATATCCACCTGGAAATTCTACCAAAACTGAGCTTCAAAAGTGCTCTATTGAAAGGAAGCTTCACCTCTGTGAGTTGAAGGTACACATCACAAAGAAGTTTCTGAGAATTCTTCTGTCTAGTTGTAAATGAAGAAATCACGTTTCAAAGGAAGGCCACAAAGAGGTCCAAATATCCACCTGCAGATTCTGCAAAAAGAGTGTTTCAAAACTGCTCCATCAAGAGGAATGTTCAACTCTGTGCGTTGAATGCAAATATCACAAGTAAGTTTCCGACAATATTTCTGTGTAGTTTTTATGTGAAGATATTTCCTTTCCTACTGTAGGCCTCAAAACCCTCTAAATATACACTTGCAAATTCCACAAAAACAGTGTTTCCAAACTGCTCTATCAAAGGAAGTTTAAACTCTGTCCGCTTAATGCAAGCATCACAAAACAGCTTCGGAGAATGAATCTGCCTAATTTTTCTGTGAAGATATTTCTTTTTCTGCCATAGACCTCAAACCGCTGTAAAAATCCACTTGGAAATTCTACAAAAAGAGTATTTCAAAGCTCTTCTATCGAAAGGAAGTTTCAGCTCCATCAGTTAAATGCACATATCACAAATAATTTTCTGAGGATTCTTCTTTCAAGTTTTCTATGAAGAAATCCCGTTTCCAAAGATGGCCTCAGAAAAGTCCCAATATACACTTGCAGATTCTACAAAAAGAGTTTTTCAAAACTGCTCTATCAAAAGGAAGATTAAACTCTGTGAGTTGAAGGCACACATCACAGAGTAGTTTCTGAGAATCATTCTGTCTAGTTTTTCTATGAAGATATTGCCTTTTCCACCATAGGCCTCAAACCGCGCTAAATATCCACTTGGAAATTCTACAAAAAGAGAGTTACTAAACTGCTCTATCGAAAGGAAGCTTCAACGCTGCGAGTTGAAAGCACACATCACGAAGAAGTTTATGAGAATTCTTCTGTCTACTTTTGTATGAAGCAGTCACGTTTCAAACGAAGGCCACAAAGAGGTCCAAATATCCACTTGGAGATTCAACAAAAAGAGTTTCTCAAAACTGCTCCATCAAGAGGAATATTCAACTCTGAGAGTTGAAGGCAGGTATCCCAAAGTAGTTCCCGACAATGCTTCTGTCTAGATTTTATGCGAAGACATTCCCTTTTGTACCACAGGCCTGAAAGCACTCTAAATATAGAATTGCAAATTCCACAAAAAGAGTGTTGAAAACCGCTCTATCCAAAGAAAGGTTAAACTCTGTCAGCTGAATGCGCACATCACAGAGCAGCTTCAGAGAACAATTATGTCTAGTTTTTCTGTGAAGATAGTTTCTCTTCTACATAGGCCTGAAACCGCTCTAAATATTCACTTGGAAATTCTACAAAAAGAATATTTCAACACTCTTCTATCAAAAGGAAGGTTGAACTCTGAGAGTTAAACGCACACACCACAGAGAAGTTTCTGAGAATTCTTCTGTCAAGGTTTATATGAAGAAACCCCGTTTCCAATGAAGGCCTCAAAAAAGTCCAAATATTTACTTGCCGATTCCACAGAAAGAGTGTTTCATAACTGGTCTATCAAAAGAAAGGTTAAACTCAGTGAGTTGAACCCACACATCACAAATTAGCTTCTGAGAATCATTCTGTCTAGTTCTCCTGCGAAGATATTGCCTTTTCTACCATAGGCCTCAAATGGCGCAAAATATCCACCTGGAAATTCTACCAAAACTGAGTTTCAAAAGTGCTCTAGTGAAAGGAAGCTTCACCTCAGTGAGTTGAAGGTACACATCACAAAGAAGTTTCTGAGAATTCTTCTGTCTAGTTGTAAATGAAGAAATCACGCTTCAAACGAAGGCCACAAAGAGGTCCAAATATCCACCTGCAGATTCTGCAAAAAGAGGGTTTCAAAACTGCTCCATCAAGAGGAATGTTCAACTCTGTGCGTTGAATGCAAATATCACAAAGAAGTTTCTGACAATACTTCTGTCTAGTTTTTAGGTGAAGATATTTCCTTTCCTACTGTAGGCCTCAAAACGCTCTAAATATACACTTGCAAATTCCACAAAAAGAGTGTTTCCAAACTGCTCTATCAAAGGAAGTTTAAACTCTGTCAGCTGAATGCAAGCATCACAAAACAGCTTCGGAGAATGAATCTGCCTAGTTTTTCTGTGAAGATATTTCTTTTTCGGCCATAGACCTCAAACCGCTGTAAATATCCACTTGGAAATTCTACAAAAAGAGGATGTCAAAACTCTTCTATCGAAAGGAAGTTTCAACTCCATGAGTTAAATGCACATATCACAAATAATTTTCCCAGGATTCTTCTTTCAAGTTTTATATGAAGAAATCCCGTTTCCAAAGTTGGCCTCAGAAAAGTCCCAATATACACTTGCAGATTCTACAAAAAGAGTTTTTCAAAACTGCTCTATCAAAAGGAAGGTTAAACTCTGTGAGTTGAAGGCACACATCACAGAGTAGTTTCTGAGAATCATTCTGTCTAGTTTTTCTATGAAGATATTGCCTTTTCCACCATTGGCCTCAAACGGCGCTAAATATCCACTTGGAAATTCTACAAAAAGAGAGTTACCGAACTGCTCTATCGAAAGGAAGCTTCAACGCTGCGAGTTGAAAGCACACATCACGAAGAAGTTGATGAGAATTCTTCTGTCTAGTTTTCTATGAAGAAGTCACGTTTCAAACGAAGGCCACAAAGAGGTCCAAATATCCACTTGGAGATTCAACAAAAAGAGTTTTTCAAAACTGCTCCATCAAGAGGAATATTCAACTCTGAGAGTTGAAGGCAGGTATCACAATATAGTTTCCGACAATGCTTCTGTCTAGATTTTATGTGAAGACATTCCCTTTTGTACCACAGGCCTGAAAGCACTCTAAATACAGAATTGCAAATTCCACAAAAAGAGGGTTTAAAACCACTCTATCCAAAGAAAGGTTAAACTCTGTCAGCTGAATGCGCACATCACAGAGTAGCTTCAGAGAACAATTATGTCTAGTTTTTCCGTGAAGATAGTTTCTCTTCCACATAGGCCTGAGACCGCTCTAAATATTCACTTGGAAATTCTGCAAAAAGAATATTTCAACACTCTTCTATCAAAAGGAAGGTTGAACTCTGAGAGGTAAATGCACACATCACAGAGAAGTTTCTGAGAATTCTTCTGTCAAGGTTTATATGAAGAAACCCCGTTTCCAATGAAGGCCTCAAAAAAGTCCAAAAATTTACTTGCAGATTCCACAGAAAGAGTGTTTCATAACTGGTCTATCAAAAGAAAGGTTAAACTCAGTGAGTTGAACCCACACATCACAAAGTAGCTTCTGAGAATCATTCTGTCTAGTCCTCCTATGAAGATATTGCCTTTTCTACCATAGGCCTCAAACGGCGCTAAATATCCACCTGGAAATTCTACAAAAACTGAGTTTCTAAGGTGCTCTATTGAAAGGAAGCTTCAACTCTGTGAGTTGAAGGTACACATCACAAAGAAGTTTCTGAGAATTCTTCTGTCTAGTTGTAAATGAAGAAATCACGTTTCAAACGAAGGCCACAAAGAGGTCCAAATATCCACTTGCAGATTCTACAAAAAGAGTGTTTCAAAACTGCTCCATCAAGAGGAATGTTCAACTCTGTGCATTCCATGCAAATATCACAAATAAGTTTCTGACAATACTTCTGTCTAGTTTTTATGTGAAGATATTTCCTTTCCTACTGTAGGCCTCAAAACGCTCTAAATATACACTTGCAAATTCCACAAAAAGAGTGTTTCAAAACTGCTCTATCAAAGGAAGTTTAAACTCTGTAAGCTTAATGCAAGCATCACAAAACAGCTTCGGAGAATGAATCTGCCTAGTTTTTCTGTGAAGATATTTCTTTTTCTGCCATAGACCTCAAACCGCTGTAAAAATCCACTTGGAAATTCTACAAAAAGAGTATTTCAAAGCTCTTCTATCGAAAGGAAGTTTCAGCTCCATGAGTTAAATGCACATATCACAAATAATTTTCTGAGGATTCTTCTTTCAAGTTTTATATGAAGAAATCCCGTTCCCAAATTTGGCCTCAGAATAGTCCTAATATACACTTGCAGATTCTACAAAAAGAGTTTTTCAAAACTGCTCTATCAAAAGGAAGGTTAAACTCTGTGAGTTGAAGGCACACATCACAGAGTAGTTTCTGAGAATCATTCTGTCTAGTTTTTCTATGAAGATATTGCCTTTTCCACCATTGGCCTCAAACGGCGCTAAATATCCAATTGGAAATTCTACAAAAAGAGAGTTACAGAACTGCTCTATCGAAAGGAAGCTTCAACGCTGCGAGTTGAAAGCACACATCACGAAGAAGTTGATGAGAATTCTTCTGTCTACTTTTGTATGAAGCAGTCACGTCTCAAACGAAGGCCACAAAGAGGTCCAAATATCCACTTGGAGATTCAACAAAAAGAGTCTTTCAAAACTGCTCCATCAAGAGGAATATTCAACTCCTGAGAGTTGAAGGCAGGTATCACAAAGTAGTTTCCGACAATGCTTCTGTCTAGATTTTATGTGAAGACATTCCCTTTTGTACCAAAGGCCTGAAAGCACTCTAACCATAGAATTGCAAATTCCACAAAAAGAGTGTTTAAAACCGCTCGATCCAAAGAAAGGTTAAACTCTGTAAGCTGAATGCGCACATCACAGAGTAGCTTCAGAGAACAATTGTGTCTAGTTTTTCTGTGAAGATAGTTTCTCTTCTACATAGGCCTGAAACCGCTCTAAATATTCACTTGGAAATTCTACAAAAAGAATATTTCAACACTCTTCTATCAAAAGGAAGGTTGAACTCTGAGAGTTAAACGCACACATCACAGAGAAGTTTCTGAGAATTCTTCCGTCAAGGTTTATATGAAGAAACCCCGTTTCCAATGAAGGCCTCAAAAAAGTCCAAAAATTTACTTGCAGATTCCACAAAAAGAGTGTTTCATAACTGGTCTATCAAAAGAAAGGTTAAACTCAGTGAGTTGAACCCACACATCACAAAGTAGCTTCTGAGAATCATTCTGTCTAGTTTTTCTACGAAGATATTGCCTTTTCCACCATAGGCCTCAAACGGCGCTAAATATCCACCTGGAAATTCTACAGAAACTGAGTTTCAAAGGTGCTCTATTGAAAGGAAGCTTCAACTCTGTGAGTTGAAAGTACACATCACAAAGAAGTTTCTGAGAATTCTTCTGTCTAGTTGTAAATGAAGAAATCACGTTTCAAACGAAGGCCACAAAGAGGTCCAAATATCCACCTGCAGATTCTGCAAAAAGAGGGTTTCAAAACTGCTCCATCAAGAGGAATGTTCAACTCTGTGCGTTGAATGCAAATATCACAAATAAGTTTCTGACAATACTTCTGTGTAGTTTTTATGTGAAGATATTTCCTTTCCTACTGTAGGCCTCAAAACGCTCTAAATATACACTTGCAAATTCCACAAAAAGAGTGTTTCCAAACTGCTCTATCAAAGGAAGTTTAAACTGTGTCCGCTTAATGCAAGCATCACAAAACAGCTTCGGAGAATGAATCTGCCTAGTTTTTCTGTGAAGATATTTCTTTTGCTGCCATAGACCTCAAACCGCTGTAAAAATCCACTTGGGAATTCTACAAAAAGAGTATTTCAAAACTCTTCTATCGAAAGGAAGTTTCAACTCCATGAGTTAAATGCACATATCACAAATAATTTTGCTGAGGATTCTTCTTTCAAGTTTTATATGAAGAAATCCCGTTTCCAAAGATGGCCTCAGAAAAGTCCCAATATACACTTCCAGATTCTACAAAAAGAGCTTTTCAAAACTGCTCTATCAAAAGAAAGGTTAAACTCTGTGAGTTGAAGGCACACATCACAAAGTAGTTTCTGAGAATCATTCTGTCTAGTTTTTCTATGAAGATATTGCCTTTTCCACCATTGGCCTCAAACGGCGCTAAATATCCACTTGGAAATTCTACAAAAAGAGAGTTACAGAACTGCTCTATCGAAAGGAAGCTTCAACGCTGCGAGTTGAAAGCACACATCACGAAGCAGTTGATGAGAATTCTTCTGTCTAGTTTTGTATGAAGAAGTCACTTTTCAAACGAAGACCACAAAGAGGCCCAAATATCCACTTGGAGATTCAACAAAAAGAGATTTTCAAAACTGCTCCATCACGAGGAATATTCAACTCGGAGAGTTGAAGGCAGGTATCACAAAGTAGTTTCCGACAATGCTTCTGTCTAGATTTTATGTGAAGACATTCCCTTTTGTACCACAGGCCTGAAAGCACTCTAAGTATAGAATTGCAAATTCCACAAAAAGAGTGTTTAAAACCGCTCTATCCAAAGAAAGGTTCAACTCTGTCAGCTGAAGGCGGACATCACAAAATAACTTCAGAGAACAATTATGTCTAGTTTTTCTGTGAAGATATTTTCTCTTCTACTTAGGCCTGAAACCGCTCTAAATATTCACTTGGAAATTCTACAAAAAGAATATTTCAACCCTCTTCTATCAAAAGGAAGGTTGAACTCTGAGAGTTAAATGCACACATCACAGAGAAGTTTCTGGGAATTCTTCTGTCAAGGTTTATATGAAGAAACCCCGTTTCCAATGAAGGCCTCAAAAAAGTCCAAATATTTAGTTGCCGATTCCACAGAAAGAGTGTTTAATAACTGGTCTATCAAAAGAAAGGTTAAACTCAGTGAGTTGAACCCACACATCACAAAGTAGCTTCTGAGAATCATTCTGTCTAGTTCTCCTACGAAGATATTGCCTTTTCTACCATAGGCCTCAAACGGCGCAAAATATCCACCTGGAAATTCTACCAAAACTGAGTTTCAAAAGTGCTCCATTGAAAGGAAGCTTCACCACTGTGAGTTGAAGGTACACATCACAAAGAAGTTTCTGAGAATTCTTCTGTCTAGTTGTAAATGTAGAAATCACGTTTCAAACGAAGGCCACAAAGAGGTCCAAATATCCACCTGCAGATTCTGCAAAAAGAGGGTTTGAAAACTGCTCCATCAAGAGGAATGTTCAACTCTGTGCGTTGAATGCAAATATCACAAATAAGTTTCTGACAATACTTCTGTCTAGTTTTTAGGTGAAGATATTTCCTTTCCCAATGTAGGCCTCAAAACGCTCTAAATATACACTTGCAAATTCCACAAAAAGAGTGTTTCAAAACTGCTCTTTCAAAGGAAGTTTAAACTCTGTCAGCTGAATGCAAGCATCACAAAACAGCTTCGGAGAATGAATCTGCCCAGTTTTTCTGTGAAGATATTTCTTTTGCTGCCATAGACCTCACACCGCTGTAAAAATCCACTTGGAAATTCTACAAAAAGAGTATTTCAAAACTCTTCTATCGAAAGGAAGTTTCAACTCCATGAGTTAAATGCACATATCACAAATAATTTTCTGAGGATTCTTCTTTCAAGTTTAATATGAAGAAATCCCGTTTCCAAAGATGGCCTCAGAAAAGTCCCAATATACACTTGCAGATTCTACAAAAAGAGTTTTTCAAAACTGCTCTATCAAAAGAAAGGTTAAACTCTGTGAGTTGAAGGCACACATCACAAAGTAGTTTCTGAGAATCATTCTGTCTAGTTTCTCTATGAAGATATTGCCTTTTCCACCATAGGCCTCAAACGGCGCTAAATATCCACTTGGAAATTCTACAAAAAGAGGGTTACAAAACTGCTCTATCGAAAGGAAGCTTCAACTCTGCGAGTTGAAAGCACACATCACGAAGAAGTTTATGAGAATTCTTCTGTCTACTTTTGTATGAAGCAGTCACATTTCAAACGAAGGCCACAAAGAGGTCCAAATATCCACTTGGAGATTCAACAAAAAGAGTTTTTCAAAACTGCTCCATCAAGAGGAATATTCAACTCTGAGAGTTGAAGGCAGGTATCACAAAGTAGTTTCCGACAATGCTTCTGTCTAGATTTTATGTGAAGACATTCCCTTTTGTACCAGAGGCCTGAAAGCACTCTAAAGATAGAATAGCAAATTCCACAAAAAGAGGGTTTAAAACCGCTCTATCCAACGAAAGGTTAAACTCTGTCAGCTGAATGCGCACATCACAGAGTAGCTTCAGAGAACAATTATGTCTAGTTTTTCTGTGAAGATAGTTTCTCTTCTACATAGGCTTAAAACCGCTCTAGATATTCACTTGGAAATTTTACAAAAGGAATATTTCAACACTCTTCTATCAAAAAGAAGGTTGAACTCTGAGAGTTAAAGGCACACATCACAGTGAAGTTTCTGAGAATTCTTCTGTCAAGGTTTATATGAAGAGATCCCGTTTCCAATGAAGGCCTCAAAAAAGTCCAAATATTTACTTGCAGATTCTACAAAAAGAGTGTTTCATAACTGGTCTATCAAAAGAAAGGTTAAACTCCGTGAGTTGAACGCACACATCACAAAGTTGTTTCTGAGAATCATTCTGTCTAGTTTTTCTACGAAGATATTGCCTTTTCCACCATAGGCCTCAAACGGCGCTAAATATCCACCTGGAAATTCTACAGAAACTGAGTTTCAAAAGTGCTCTATTGAAAGGAAGCTTCAACTCTGTGAGTTGAAAGTACACATCACAAAGACGTTTCTGAGAATTCTTCTGTCTAGTTGTAAATGCAGAAATCACGTTTCAAACGAAGGCCACAAAGAGGTCCAAATATCCACCTGCAGATTCTGCAAAAAGAGGGTTTCAAAACTGCTCTATCAAGAGGAAGGTTCAACTCTGTGCGTTGAATGCAAATATCACAAATAAGTTTCTGACAATACTTCTGTCTAGTTTTTATGTGAAGATATTTCCTTTCCTACTGTAGGCCTCAAAACGCTCTAAATATACACTTGCAAATTCCACAAAAAGAGTGTTTCCAAACTGCTCTATCAAAGGAAGTTTAAACTCTGTCAGCTTAATGCAAACATCACCAAACAGCTTCGGAGAATGAATCTGCCTAGTTTTTCTGTGAAGATATTTCTTTTTCTGCCATAGACCTCAAACCGCTGTAAAAATCCACTTGGAAATTCTACAAAAAGAGTATTTCAAAGCTCTTCTATCGAAAGGAAGTTTCAGCCCCATGAGCTAAATGCACATATCACAAATAATTTTCTGAGGATTCTTCTTTCAAGTTTTATATGAAGAAATCCCGTTTCCAAAGATGGCCTCAGAAAAGTCCCAATATACACTTGCAGATTCTACAAAAAGAGTTTTTCAAAACTGCTCTACCAAGAGGAAGGTTAAACTCTGTGAGTTGAAGGCACACATCACAAAGTAGTTTCTGAGAATCATTCTGTCTAGTTTTTCTATGAAGATATTGCCTTTTCCACCATAGGCCTCAAACGGCGCTAAATATCCACTTGGAAATTCTACAAAAAGAGAGTTACTAAACTGCTCTATCGAAAGGAAGCTTCAACGCTGCGAGTTGAAAGCACACATCACCAAGAAGTTTATGAGAATTCTTCTGTCTACTTTTGTATGAAGCAGTCACGTTTCAAACGAAGGCCACAAAGAGGACCAAATATCCACTTGGAGATTCAACAAAAAGTGTTTTTCAAAACTGCTCCTTCAAGAGGAATATTCAACTCTGAGAGTTGAAGCCATGTATCACAAAGTAGTTACCGACAATGCTTCTGTCTAGATTTTATGTGAAGACATTCCCTTTTGTACCACAGGCCTGAAAGCACTCTAAATATAGAATTGCAAATTCCACAAAAAGAGTGTTTAAAACCGCTCGATCCAAAGAAAGGTTAATCTCTGTAAGCTGAATGCACAAATCACAAAGTAGCTTCAGAGAACAAATATGTCTAGTTTTTCTGTGAAGATAGTTTCTCTTCTACATAGGCCTGAAACCGCTCTAAATATTCACTTGGAAATTCTACAAAAAGAATATTTCAACACTCTTCTATCAAAAGGAAGGTTGAACTCTGAGAGTTAAACGCACACATCACAGAGAAGTTTCTGAGAATTCTTCTGTCAAGGTTTATATGAAGAGATCCCGTTTCCAATGAAGGCCTCAGAAAAGTCCAAATATTTACTTGCAGATTCTACAAAAAGAGTGTTTCATAACTGGTCTATCAAAAGAAAGGTTAAACTCCGTGAGGTTGAACGCACACATCACAAAGTTGTTTCTGAGAATCATTCTGTCTAGTTCTCCTACGAAGATATTGCCTTTTCTAGCATAGGCCTCAAACGGCGCTAAATATCCACCTGGAAATTCTACCTAAACTGAGTTTCAAAAGTGCTCTATTGAAAGGAAGCTTCACCTCTGTGAGTTGAAGGTACACATCACAAAGAAGTTTCTGAGAATTCTTCTGTCTAGTTGTAAATGAAGAAATCACGTTTCAAACGAAGGCCACAAAGAGGTCCAAATATCCACTTGCAGATTCTACAAAAAGAGTGTTTCAAAACTGCTCCATCAAGAGGAATGTTCAACTCTGTGCGTTCCATGCAAATATCACAAATAAGTTTCTGACAATACTTCTGTCTAGTTTTTATGTGAAGATATTTCCTTTCCTACTGTGGGCCTCAAAACGCTCTAAATATACACTTGCAAATTCCACAAGAAGAGTGTTTCAAAACTGCTCTATCAAAGGAACTTTAAACTCTGTAAGCTTAATGCAAGCATCACAAAACAGCTTCGGAGAATGAATCTGCCTAGTTTTTCTGTGAAGATATTTCTTTTTCTGCCATAGACCTCACACCGCTGTAAAAATCCACTTGGAAATTCTACAAAAAGAGTATTTCAAAACTCTTCTATCGAAAGGAAGTTTCAACTCCATGAGTTAAATGCACATATCACAAATAATTTTCTGAGGATTCTTCTTTCAAGTTTTATATGAAGAAATCCCGTTTCCAAAGATGGCCTCAGAAAAGTCCCAATATACACTTGCAGATTCTACAAAAAGAGTTTTTCAAAACTGCTCTATCAAAAAGAAGGTTAAACTCTGTGAGTTGAAGGCACACATCGCAGAGTAGTTTCTGAGTATCATTCTGTCTAGTTTTTCGATGAAGATATCGCCTTCTCCACCATAGGCCTCAAACGGCGCTAAATATCCACTTGGAAATTCTACAAAAAGAGAGTTACAAGACTGCTCTATCGAAAGGAAGCTTCAACTCTGCGAGTGGAAAGCACACATCACGAAGAAGTTTATGAGAATTCTTCTGTCTACTTTTGTATGAAGCAGTCACGTTTCAAACGAAGGCCACAAAGAGGTCCAAATATCCACTTGGAGATTCAACAAAAGGAGTTTTTCAAAACTGCTCCATCAAGAGGAATATTCAACTCTGAGAGTTGAAGGCAGGTATCCCAAAGTAGTTCCCGACAATGCTTCTGTCTAGATTTTATGTGAGGACATTCCCTTTTGTACCACAGGCCTGAAAGCACTCTAAATATAGAATTGCAAATTCCACAAAAAGAGTGTTTAAAACCGCTCGATCCAAAGAAAGTTTAAACTCTGTAAGCTGAATGCGCACATCACAAAGTAGCTTCAGAGAACAATTATGTCTAGTTTTTCTGTGAAGATATTTTCTCTTCTACTTAGGCCTGAAACCGCTCTAAATATTCACTTGGAAATTCTACAAAAAGAATATTTCAACCCTCTTCTATCAAAAGGAAGGTTGAACTCTGAGAGTTAAATGCACACATCACAGAGAATTTTCTGGGAATTCTTCTGTCAAGGTTTATATGAAGAGATCCCGTTTCCAATGAAGGCCTCAAAAAAGTCCAAATATTTACTTGCAGATTCTACAAAAAGAGTGTTTCATAACTAGTCTATCAAAAGAAAGGTTAAACTCCGAGTGTTGAACGCACACATCACAAAGTTGTTTCTGAGAATCATTCTGTCTAGTTTTTCTACGAAGATATTGCCTTTTCCACCATAGGCCTCAAACGGCGCTAAATATCCACCTGGAAATTCTACAGAAACTGAGTTTCAAAGGTGCTCTATTGAAAGGAAGCTTCAACTCTGTGAGTTGAAAGTACACATCACAAAGAAGTTTCTGAGAATTCTTCTGTCTAGTTGTAAATGAAGAAATCACGTTTCCCACGAAGGCCACAAAGAGGTCCAAATATCCACTTGCAGATTCCACAAAAAGAGTGCTTCAAAACGGCTCCATCAAGAGGAATGTTCAACTCCGTGCGTTGAATGCAAATATCACAAATAAGTTTCTGACAATACTTCTGTCTAGTTTTTAGGTGAAGATATTTCCTTTCCTACTGTAGGCCTCAAAACGCTCTAAAGAGACACTTGCAAATTCCACAAAAAGAGTGTTTCAAAACTGCTCTATCAAAGGAAGTTTAAACTCTGTCAGCTGAATGCAAGCATCACAAAACAGCTTCGGAGAATGAATCTGCCTAGTTTTTCTGTGAAGATATTTCTTTTGCTGCCATAGACCTCAAACCGCTGTAAAAATCCACTTGGAAATTCTACAAAAAGAGTATTTCAAAACTCTTCTATCGAAAGGAAGTTTCAACTCCATGAGTTAAATGCACATATCACAAATAATTTTCTGAGGATTCTTCTTTCAAGTTTTATATGAAGAAATCCCGTTTCCAAAGATGGCCTCAGAAAAGTCCCAATATACACTTGCAGATTCTACAAAAAGAGTTTTTCAAAACTGCTCTATCAAAAGAAAGGTTAAACTCTGTGAGTTGAAGGCACACATCACAAAGTTGTTTCTGAGAATCATTCTGTCTAGTTTTTCTATGAAGATATTGCCTTTTCCACCATTGGCCTCAAACGGCGCTAAATATCCACTTGGAAATTCTACAAAAAGAGAGTTACTGAACTGCTCTATCGAAAGGAAGCTTCAACGCTGCGAGTTGAAAGCACACATCACGAAGAAGTTGATGAGAATTCTTCTGTCTACTTTTCTATGAAGCAGTCACGTTTCAAACGAAGGCCACGAAGAGGTCCAAATATCCACTTGGAGATTCAACAAAAAGAGTTTTAGAAAACTGCTCCTTCAAGAGGAATATTCAACTCTGAGAGTTGAAGGCAGGTATCACAAAGTAGTTCCCGACAATGCTTCTGTCTAGATTTTATGTGAAGACATTCCCTTTTGTACCACAGGCCTGAAAGCACTCTAAATATAGAATTGCAAATTCCAAAAAAAAGAGTGTTTAAAACCGCTCTATCCAAAGAAAGTTTAAACTCTGTCAGCTGAATGCGCACATCACAGAGCAGCTTCAGAGAACAATTATGTCTAGTTTTTCTGTGAAGATAGTTTCTCTTCTACATAGGCCTGAAACCGCTCTAAATATTCACTTGGAAATTCTACAAAAAGAATATTTCAACACTCTTCTATCAAAAGGAAGGTTGAACTCTGAAGTTAAACGCACACATCACAGAGAAGTTTCTGAGAATTCTTCTGACAATGTTTATATGAAGAAACCCCGTTTCCAATGAAGGCCTCCAAAAAGTCCAAATATTTACTTGCCGATTCCACAAAAAGAATGTTTCATAACTGGTCTATCAAAAGAAAGGTTAAACTCAGTGAGTTGAATCCACACATCACAAGGTAGCTTCTGAGAATCATTCTGTCTAGTTTTTCTACGAAGACATTGCCTTTTCCACCATAGACCTCAAACGGCGCTAAATATCCACCTGGAAATTCTACAGAAACTGAGTTTCAAAAGTGCTCTATTGAAAGGAAGCTTCAACTCTGTGAGTTGAAAGTACACATCACAAAGAAGTTTCGGAGAATTCTTCTGTCTAGTTGTAAATGAAGAAATCACGTTTCAAACGAAGGCCACAAAGAGGTCCAAATATCCACCTGCAGATTCTGCAAAAAGAGGGTTTGAAAACTGCTCCATCAAGAGGAATGTTCAACTCTGTGCGTTGAATGCAAATATCACAAATAAGTTTCTGACAATACTTCTGTCTAGTTTTTAGGTGAAGATATTTCCTTTCCTACTGTAGGCCTCAAAACGCTCTAAATATACACTTGCAAATTCCACAAAAAGAGTGTTTCAAAACTGCTCTATCAAAGGAAGTTTAAACTCTGTCAGCTGAATGCAAGCATCACAAAACAGCTCGGAGAATGAATTCTGCCTAGTTTTTCTGTGAAGATATTTCTTTTTCTGCCATAGACCTCAAACCGCTGTAAAAATCCACTTGGAAATTCTACAAAAAGAGTATTTCAAAGCTCTTCTATCGAAAGGAAGTTTCAGCTCCATGAGTTAAATGCACATATCACAAATAATTTTCTGAGGATTCTTCTTTCAAGTTTTATATGAAGAAATCCCGTTTCCAAAGTTGGCCTCAGAAAACTCCCAATATACACTTGCAGATTCTACAAAAAGAGTTTTTCAAAACTGCACTATCAAAAGGAAGGTTAAACTCTGTGAGTTGAAGGCACACATCACAGAGTAGTTTCTGAGAATCATTCTTTCTAGTTTTTCTATGAAGATATTGCCTTTTCCACCATAGGCCTCAAACGGCGCTAAATATCCACTTGGATATTCTTCAAAAAGAGAGCTACAAGACTGCTCTATCGAAAGGAAGCTTCAACTCTGCGAGTTGAAAGCACACATCACAAAGAAGTTTATGGGAATTCTTCTGTCTAGTTTTGTATGAAGAAGTCACGTTTCAAACGAAGGCCACAAAGAGGTCCAAATATCCACTTGGAGATTCAACAAAAAGAGTTTTTCAAAACTGCTCCATCAAGAGGAATATTCAACTCTGAGAGTTGAAGGCAGGTATCACAATATAGTTTCCGACAATGCTTCTGTCTAGATTTTATGTGAAGACATTCCCTTTTGTACCACAGGCCTGAAAGCACTCTAAATATAGAATTGCAAATTCCACAAAAAGAGTGTTTAAAACCGCTCTATCCAAAGAAAGGTTAAACTCTGTAAGCTGAATGCGCACATCACAAAGTAGCTTCAGAGAACAATTGTGTCTAGTTTTTCTGTGAAGATATTTTCTCTTCTACATAGGCCTGAAACCGCTCTAAATATTCACTTGGAAATTCTACAAAAAGAATATTTCAACACTCTTCTATCAAAAGGAAGGTTGAACTCTGAGAGTTAAATGCACACATCACAAAGAAGTTTCTGAGAATTCTTCTGTCAAGGTTTCTATGAAGAAATCCCGTTTCCAATGAAGGCCTCAAGAAAGTCCAAATATTTACTTGCAGATTCCACAAAAAGAGTGTTTCATAACTGGTCTATCAAAAGAAAGGTTATACTCAGTGAGTTGAACGCACACATCACAAAGTAGTTTCTGAGAATCATTCTGTCTAGTTTTCCTACGAAGATATTGCCTTTTCTACCTTAGGCCTCAAACGGCGCTAAATATCCACCTGGAAATTCTACAAAAACTGAGTTTCAAAAGTGCTCTATTGAAAGGAAGCTTCAACTCTGTGAGTTGAAGGTACACATCACAAAGAAGTTTCTGAGAATTCTTCTGTCTAGTTGTAAATGAAGAAATCACGTTTCAAACGAAGGCCACAAAGAGGTCCAAATATCCACTTGCAGATTCTACAAAAAGAGTGTTTCAAAACTGCTCCATCACGAGGAATGTTCAACTCTGTGCGTTGAATGCAAATATCACAAATAAGTTTCTGACAATACTTCTGTCTAGTTTTTACGTGAAGATATTTCCTTTCCTACTGTAGGCCTCAAAACGCTCTAAATATACACTTGCAAATTCCACAAAAAGAGTGTTTCAAAACTGCTCTATCAAAGGAAGTTTAAACTCTGTAAGCCTAATGCAAGCATCACAAAACAGCTTCGGAGAATGAATCTGCCTAGTTTTTCTGTGAAGATATTTCTTTTTCTGCCATAGACCTCACACCGCTGTAAAAATCCACTTGGAAATTCTACAAAAAGAGTATTTCAAAACTCTTCTATCGAAAGGAAGTTTCAACTCCATGAGTTAAATGCACATATCACAAATAATTTTCTGAGGATTCTTCTTTCAAGTTTTATATGAAGAAATCCCGTTTCCAAAGATGGCCTCAGAAAAGTCCCAATATACACTTGCAGATTCTACAAAAAGAGTTTCTCAAAACTGCTCTACCAAAAGGAAGGTTAAACTCTGTGAGTTGAAGGCACACATCACAAAGTAGTTTCTGAGAATCATTCTGTCTAGTTTTTCTATGAAGATATTGCCTTTTCCACCATAGGCCCCAAACGGCACTAAATATCCACTTGGAAATTCTTCAAAAAGAGAGTTACAAGACTGCTCTATCGAAAGGAAGCTTCAACTCTGCGAGTTGAAAGCACACATCACAAAGAAGTTTATGGGAATTCTTCTGTCTACTTTTGTATGAAGCAGTCACTTTTCAAACGAAGGCCACAAAGAGGTCCAAATATCCACTTGGAGATTCAACAAAAAGAGTTTTTCAAAACTGCCCCGTCAAGAGGAATATTCAACTCTGCGAGTTGAAGGCTGGTATCACATAGTAGTTCCCGAGAATGCTTCTGTCTAGATTTTATGTGAAGACATTCCCTTTTGTACCACAGGCCTGAAAGCACTCTAAATATAGAATTGCAAATTCCACAAAAAGAGTGTTGAAAACCGCTCTATCCAAAGAAAGGTTAAACTCTGTCAGCTGAATGCGCACATCACAGAGCAGCTTCAGAGAACAATTATGTCTAGTTTTTCTGTGAAGATATTTTCTCTTCTACATAGGCCTGAAACTGCTCTAAATATTCACTTGGAAATTCTACAAAAAGAATATTTCAACACTCTTCTATCAAAAGGAAGGTTAAACTCTGAGAGTTAAACGCACACATCACAGAGAAGTTTCTGAGAATTCTTCTGTCAAGGTTTATATGAAGAAACACCGTTTCCAATGAAGGCCTCAAGAAAGTCCAAATATTTACTTGCCGATTCCACAGAAAGAGTGTTTCATAACTGGTCTATCAAAAGAAAGGTTAAACTCAGTGAGTTGAACCCACAAATCACAAAGTAGCTTCTGAGAATCATTCTGTCTAGTTCTCCTACGAAGATATTGCCTTTTCTATCATAGGCCTCAAACGGCGCTAAATATCCACCTGGAAATTCTACCAAAACTGAGTTTCAAAAGTGCTCTATTGAAAGGAAGCTTCACCTCTGTGGGTTGAAGGTACACATCACAAAGAAGTTTCTGAGAATTCTTCTGTCTAGTTGTAAATGCAGAAATCACGTTTCAAACGAAGGCCACAAAGAGGTCCAAATATCCAGCTGCAGATTCTGCAAAAAGAGGGTTTCAAATCTGCTCCATCAAGAGGAATGTTCAACTCTGTGCGTTGAATGCAAATATCACAAATAAGTTTCTGACAATACTTCTGTGTAGTTTTTATGTGAAGATATTTCCTTTCCTACTGTAGGCCTCAAAACGCTCTAAATATACACTTGCAAATTCCACAAAAAGAGTGTTTCCAAACTGCTCTCTCAAAGGAAGTTTAAACTCTGTCCGCTTAATGCAAGCGTCACAAAAGAGCTTCGGAGAATGAATCTGCCTAGTTTTTCTGTGAAGATTTCCTTTTTCTGCCATAGACCTCAAACCGCTGTGAAAATCCACTTGGAAATCCTACAAAAAGAGTATGTCAAAACTCTTCTAGCGAAAGGAAGTTTCAACTCCATGAGTTAAATGCACATACCACAAATAATTTTCTGAGGATTCTTCTTTGAAGTTTTATATGAAGAAATCCCGTTTCCAAAGATGGCCTCAGAAAAGTCCCAATATACCCTTGCAGATTCTACAAAAAGTGTTTTTCAAAACTGCTCTATCCAAAGAAAGGTTAAACTCTGTGAGTTGAAGGCACACATCACAAAGTAGTTTCTGAGAATCATTCTGTCTAGTTTTTCTATGAAGATATTGCCTTTTCCATCATAGGCCTCAAACGGCGCTAAATATCCACTTGGAAATTCTACAAAAAGAGAGTTACTAAACTGCTCTATCGAAAGGAAGCTTCAACGCTGCGAGTTTAAAGCACACATCACGAAGAAGTTTATGAGAATTCTTCTGTCTACTTTTGTATGAAGCAGTCACGTTTCAAACGAAGGCCACAAAGAGGTCCAAATATCCACTTGGAGATTCAACAAAAAGAGTTTTTCAAAACTGCTCCGTCAAGAGGAATATTCAACTCTGAGAGTTGAAGGCAGGTATCACAAAGTAGTTCCCGGCAATGCTTCTGTCTAGATTTTATGTGAAGACATTCCCTTTTGTACCAGAGGTCTGAAAGCACTCTAAATACAGAATTGCAAATTCCACAAAAAGAGGGTTTAAAACCGCTCTATCCAAAGAAAGGTTAAACTCTGTCAGCTGAATGCGCACATCACAGAGTAGCTTCAGAGAACAATTATGTCTAGTTTTTCTGTGAAGATATTTTCTCTTCTACATAGGCCTGAAACCGCTCTAAATAATCACTTGGAAATTCTACAAAAAGAATACCTCAACACTCTTCCATCAAAAGGAAGGTTGAACTCTGAGAGTTAAACGCACACATCACAGAGAAGTTTCTGAGAATTCTTCTGTCAAGGTTTATATGAAGAAACCCAGTTTCCAATGAAGGCCTCAAAAAAGTCCAAAAATTTGCTTGCAGATTCCACAAAAAGAGTGTTTCATAACTGGTCTATCAAAAGAAAGGTTAAACTCAGTGAGTTGAACCCACACATCACAAAGTAGCTTCTGAGAATCATTCTGTCTAGTTTTTCTACGAAGATATTGCCTTTTCCACCATAGGCCTCAAACGGCGCTAAATATCCACCTGGAAATTCTACAGAAACTGAGTTTCAAAAGTGCTCTATTGAAAGGAAGCTTCAACTCTGTGAGTTGAAAGTACACATCACAAGAAGTTTCTGAGAATTCTTCTGTCTAGTTGTAAATGCAGAAATCACGTTTCAAACGAAGGCCACAAAGAGGTCCAAATATCCAGCTGCAGATTCTGCAAAAAGAGGGTTTAAAAACTGCGCCATCAAGAGGAACGTTCAACTCTGTGCGTTGAATGCAAATATCACAAATAACTTTCTGACAATACTTCTGTCTAGTTTTTATGTGAAGATATTTCCTTTCCTACTGTAGGCCTCAAAACGCTCTAAATATACACTTGCAAATTCCACAAAAAGAGTGTTTCCAAACTGCTCTATCAAAAAAAGTTTAAACTCTGTCAGCTTAATGCAAGCATCACAAAACAGCTTCGGAGAATGAATCTGCCCAGTTTTTCTGTGAAGATATTTCCTTTGCTGCCATAGACTTCACACCGCTGTAAAAATCCACTTGGAAATTCTACAAAAAGAGTATTTCAAAACTCTTCTATCGAAAGGAAGTTTCAACTCCATGAGTTAAATGCACATATCACAAATAATTTTCTGAGGATTCTTCTTTCAAGTTTTATCTGAAGAAATCCCGTTTCCAAAGATGGCCTCAGAAAAGTCCCAATATACACTTGCAGATTCTACAAAAAGAGTTTTTCAAAACTGCTCTATCAAAAGAAAGGTTAAACTCTGTGAGTTGAAGTCACACATCACAAAGTAGTTTCTGAGAATCATTCTGTCTAGTTTTTCTATGAAGATATTGCCTTTTCCACCATTGGCCTCAAACGGCGCTAAATATCCACTTGGAAATTCTACAAAAAGAGAGTTACAGAACTGCTCTATTGAAAGGAAGCTTCAACGCTGCGAGTTGAAAGCACACATCACGAAGAAGTTGATGAGAATTCTTCTGTCTAATTTGTATGAAGAAGTCACGTCTCAAACGAAGGCCACAAAGAGGTCCAAATATCCACTTGGAGATTCAACAAAAAGAGTTTTTCAAAACTGCTCCATCAAGAGGAACATTCAACTCTGAGAGTTGAAGGCAGGTATCACAAAGTAGTTCCCGACAATGCTTCTGTCTAGATTTTAAGTGAGGACATTCCCTTTTGTACCACAGGCCTGAAAGCACTCTAAATATAGAATTGCAAATTCCACAAAAAGAGTGTTTAAAACCGCTCGATCCAAAGAAAGGTTAAACTCTGTAAGCTGAATGCGCACATCACAAAGTAGCTTCAGAGAACAATTATGTCTAGTTTTTCTGTGAAGATATTTTCTCTTCTACTTAGGCCTGAGACCGCTCTAAATATTCACTTGGAAATTCTACAAAAAGAAAATTTCAACCCTCTTCTATCAAAAGGAAGGTTGAACTCTGAGAGTTAAATGCACACATCACAGAGAAGTTTCTGGGAATTCTTCTGTCAAGGTTTATATGAAGAAACCCCGTTTCCAATGAAGGCCTCAAAAAAGTCCAAAGATTTACTTGCAGATTCTACAAAAAGAGTGTTTCATAAACTGGTCTATCAAAAGAAAGGTTAAACTCAGTGAGTTGAACCCACACATCACAAAGTAGCTTCTGAGAATCATTCTGTCTAGTCCTCCTATGAAGATATTGCCTTTTCTACCATAGGCCTCAAACGGCGCTAAATATCCACCTGGAAATTCTACAAAAACTGAGTTTCTAAGGTGCTCTATTGAAAGGAAGCTTCAACTCTGTGAGTTGAAGGTACACATCACAAAGAAGTTTCTGAGAATTCTTCTGTCTAGTTGTAAATGAAGAAATCACGTTTCAAACGAACGCCACAAAGAGGTCCAAATATCCACCTACAGATTCCACAAAAAGAGTGTTTCAAAACTGATCCATCAAGAGGAATGTTCAACTCCGTGCGTTGAATGCAAATATCACAAATAAGTTTCTGACAATACTTCTGTCTAGTTTTTATGTGAAGATATTTCCTTTCCTACTGTAGGCCTCAAAACGCTCTAAATATACACTTGCAAATTCCACAAAAAGAGTGTTTCAAAACTGCTCTATCAAAGGAACTTTAAACTCTGTAAGCTTAATGCAAGCATCACAAAACAGCTTCGGAGAATGAATCTGCCTAGTTTTTCTGTGAAGATATTTCTTTTTCTGCCATAGACCTCAAACCGCTGTAAAAATCCACTTGGAAATTCTACAAAAAGAGTATTTCAAAGCTCTTCTATCGAAAGGAAGTTTCAGCTCCATGAGCTAAATGCACATATCAGAAATAATTTTCTGAGGATTCTCTTTGAAGTTTTATATGAAGAAATCCCGTTTCCAAAGATGGCCTCAGATAAGTCCCAATATACACTTGCAGATTCTACAAAAAGAGCTTTTCAAAACTGCTCTATCAAAAGAAAGGTTAAATTCTGTGAGTTGAAGGCACACATGACAAAGTAGTTTCTGAGAATCATTCTGTCTAATTTTTCTATGAAGATATTGCCTTTTCCACCGTAGGCCTCAAACGGCGCTAAATATCCACTTGGAAATTCTACAAAAAGAGAGTTACTAAACTGCTCTATCGAAAGGAAGCTTCAACGCTGCGAGTTGAAAGCACACATCACGAAGAAGTTTATGAGAATTCTTCTGTCTACTTTTGTATGAAGAAGTCACGTCTCAAACGAAGGCCACAAAGAGGTCCAAATATCCACTTGGAGATTCAACAAAAAGAGTTTTTCAAAACTGCTCCATCAAGAGGAATATTCAACTCTGAGAGTTGAAGGCAGGTATCACAAAGTAGTTTCCGACAATGCTTCTGTCTAGATTTTATGTGAGAACATTCCCTTTTGTACCACAGGCCTGAAAGCACTCTAAATATAGAATTTCAAATTCCACAAAAAGAGTGTTTAAAACCGCTCTATCCAAAGAAAGGTTAAACTCTGTAAGCTGAATGCGCACATCACAAAGTAGCTTCAGAGAACAATTATGTCTAGTTTTTCCGTGAAGATTGTTTCTCTTCTACATAGGCCTGAGACCGCTCTAAATATTCACTTGGAAATTCTTCAAAAAGAATATTTCAACACTCTTCTATCAAAAGGAAGGTTGAACTCTGAGAGGTAAATGCACACATCACAGAGAAGTTTCTGAGAATTCTTCTGTCAAGGTTTCTATGAAGAAATCCCGTTTCCAATGAAGGCCTCAAAAAAGTCCAAATATTTACTTGCAGATTCTACAAAAAGAGTGTTTCATAACTGGTCTATCAAAAGAAAGGTTAAACTCAGTGAGTTGAACCCACACATCACAAAGTAGTTTCTGAGAATCATTCTGTCTAGTTTTTCTATGAAGATATTGCCTTTTCCACCATAGGCCTCAAACGGCGCTAAATATCCACTTGGAAATTCTACAAAAAGAGAGTTACAAGAGTGCTCTATCGAAAGGAAGCTTCAACTCTGCGAGTTGAAAGCACACATCACAAAGAAGTTTATGAGAATTCTTCTGTCTAGCTGTAAAAGAAGAAATCACGTTTCACACGAAGGCCACAAAGAGGTCCAAATATCCACTTGCAGACTCTACAAAAAGAGTGTCTCAAAACGGCTCCATCAAGAGGAATGTTCAACTCTGTGCGTTGAATGCAAATATCACAAATAAGTTTCTGACAATACTTCTGTCTAGTTTTTATGTGAAGATATTTCCTTTCCTATTGTAGGCCTCAAAACGCTCTAAATATACACTTGCAAATTCCACAAAAAGAGTGTTTCCAAACTGCTCTATCAAAGGAAGTTTAAACTCTGTCCGCTTAATGCAAGCATCACAAAACAGCTTCGGAGAATGAATCTGCCTAGTTTTTCTGTGAAGATATTTCTTTTTCTGCCATAGACTTCAAACCGCTGTAAAAATCCACTTGGAAATTCTACAAAAAGAGTATTTCAAAACTCTTCTATCGAAAGGAAGTCTCAACTCCATGAGTTAAATGCACATATCACAAATAATTTTCTGAGGATTCTTCTTTCAAGTTTTATATGAAGAAATCCCGTTTCCAAAGATGGCCTCAGAAAAGTCCCAATATACACTTGCAGATTCTACAAAAAGAGCTTTTCAAAACTGCTCGTACTCAAAAGGAAGGTTCAAACTCTGTGAGTTGAAGGCACACATCACAAAGTAGTTTCTGAGAATCATTCTGTCTAGTTTTTCTATGAAGATATTGCCTTTTCCACCATAGGCCTCAAACGGCGCTAAATATCCAGTTGGAAATTCCACAAAAAGAGAGTTACTAAACTGCTCTATCGAAAGGAAGCTTCAACGCTGCGAGTTGAAAGCACACATCACGAAGAAGTTTATGAGAATTCTTCTGTCTACTTTTGTATGAAGCAGTCACGTTTCAAACGAAGGCCACAAAGAGGTCCAAATATCCACTTGGAGATTCAACAAAAAGAGTTTTTCAAAACTGCTCCGTCAAGAGGAATATTCAACTCTGAGAGTTGAAGGCAGGTATCACAAAGTAGTTCCCGGCAATGCTTCTGTCTAGACTTTATGTGAAGACATTCCCTTTTGTACCACAGGCCTGAAAGCACTCTAAATATAGAATTGCAAGTTCCACAAAAAGAGTGTTGAAAACCGTTCTATCCTAAGAAAGGTTAAACTCTGTCAGCTGAATGCGCACATCACAGAGCAGCTTCAGAGAACAATTATGTCTGGTTTTTCTGTGAAGATAGTTTCTCTTGTACATAGGCCTGAAACTGCTCTAAATATTCACTTGGAAATTCTACAAAAATAATATTTCAACACTCTTCTATCAAAAGGAAGGTTGAACTCTGAGAGTTAAACGCACACATCACAGAGAAGTTTCTGAGAATTCTTCTGTCATGGTTTATATGAAGAAACACCGTTTCCAATGAAGGCCTCAAAAAAGTCCAAATATTTACTTGCCGATTCCACAGAAAGAGTGTTTCAAAACTGGTCTATCAAAAGAAAGGTTAAACTCAATGAGTTGAACCCACACATCACAAAGTAGCTTCTGAGAATCATTCTGTCTAGTTCTCCTACGAAGATATTGCCTTTTCTACCATAGGCCTCAAACGGCGCAAAATATCCACCTGGAAATTCTACCAAAACTGAGTTTCAAAAGTGCTCTATTGAAAGGAAGCTTCACCTCTGTGAGTTGAAGGTACATATCACAAAGAAGTTTCTGAGAATCCCTCTGTCTAGTTGTAAATGTAGAAATCACGTTTCAAACGAAGGCCACAAAGAGGTCCAAATATCCACCTGCAGATTCTGCAAAAAAAGGGTTTCAAAACTGCTCCATCAAGAGGAATGTTCAACTCTGTGCGTTGAATGCAAATATCACAAATAAGTTTCTGACAATACTTCTGTCTAGTTTTTATGTGAAGATATTTCCTTTCCTACTGTAGGCCTCAAAATGCTCTAAATATACACTTGCAAATTCCACAAAAAGAGTGTTTCCAAACTGCTCTATCAAAGGAAGTTTATACTCTGTCAGCTTAATGCAAGCATCACAAAACAGCTTCGGAGAATGAATCTGCCTAGTTTTTCTGTGAAGATATTTCTTTTTCTGCCATAGACCTCAAACCGCTGTAAAAATCCACTTGGAAATTCTACAAAAAGAGTATTTCAAAGCTCTTCTATCGAAAGGAAGTTTCAACTCCATGAGTAAAATGCACATATCACAAATAATTTTCTGAGGATTCTTCTTTGAAGTTTTATATGAAGAAATCCCGTTTCCAAAGATGGCCTCAGAAAAGTCCCAATATACCCTTGCAGATTCTACAAAAAGAGTTTTTCAAAACTGCTCTATCCAAAGAAAGGTTAAACTCTGTGAGTTGAAGGCACACATCACAAAGTAGTTTCTGAGAATCATTCTGTCTAGTTTTTCTATGAAGATATTGCCTTTTCCACCATAGGCCTCAAACGGCGCTAAATATCCACTTGGAAATTCTACAAAAAGAGAGTTACAAAACTGCTCTATCGAAAGGAAGCTGCAACTCTGCGAGTTGAAAGCACACATCGCGAAGAAGTTGGTGAGAATTCTTCTGTCTACTTTTGTATGAAGAAGTCACGTCTCAAACGAAGGCCACAAGGAGGTCCAAATATCCACTTGGAGATTCAACAAAAAGAGTTTTTCAAAACTGCTCCATCAAGAGGAATATTCAACTCTGAGAGTTGAAGGCAGGTATCACAAAGTAGTTTCCGACAACGCTTCTGTCTAGATTTTATGTGAAGACATTCCCTTTTGTACCACAGGCCTGAAAGCACTCTAAATATAGAATTGCAAATTCCACAAAAAGAGGGTTTAAAACCGCTCTATCCAAAGAAAGGTTAAACTCTGTCAGCTGAAGGCGCCCATCACAAAGTAGCTTCGGAGAACAATTATGTCTAGTTTCTCTGTGAAGATATTTTCTCTTCTACATAGGCCTGAAACCGCTCTAAATATTCACTTGGAAATTCTACAAAAAGAATATTTCAACACTCCTCTATCAAAAGGAAGGTTGAACTCTGAGAGTTAAATGCACACATCACAAAGAAGTTTCTGGGGATTCTTCTGTCAAGGTTTATATGAAGAAATCCCGTTTCCAATGAAGGCCTCAAAAAAGTCCAAATATTTACTTGCAGATTCTACAAAAAGAGTGTTTCATAACTGGTCTATCAAAAGAAAGGTTAAACTCAGTGAGTTGAACCCACACATCAC
Organism: Homo sapiens; assembly: GCF_000001405.40. Classification (NCBI taxonomy): domain Eukaryota; kingdom Metazoa; phylum Chordata; class Mammalia; order Primates; family Hominidae; genus Homo; species Homo sapiens. The sequence goes on along the minus strand of NC_000003.12, from coordinate 90,811,896 downwards.
AAAGTAGTTTCTGAGAATCATTCTGTCTAGTTTTCCTACGAAGATATTGCCTTTTCTACCATAGGCCTCAAACGGCGCTAAATATCCACCTGGAAATTCTACAAAAACTGAGTTTCAAAAGTGCTCTATTGAAAGGAAGCTTCAACTCTGTGAGTTGAAGGTACACATCACAAAGAAGTTTCTGAGAATTCTTCTGTCTAGTTGTAAATGAAGAAATCACGTTTCACACGAAGGCCACAAAGAGGTCCAAATATCCACTTGCAGATTCTACAAAAAGACTGTTTCAAAACGGCTCCATCAAGAGGAATGTTCAACTCTGTGCGTTGAATGCAAATATCACAAATAAGTTTCTGAAAATACTTCTGTCTAGTTTTTATGTGAAGATATTTCCTTTCCTACTGTAGGCCACAAAACGCTCTAAAGAGACACTTGCAAATTCCACAAAAAGAGGGTTTCAAAACTGCTCTATCAAAGGAAGTTTAAACTCTGTAAGCTGAATGCAAGCATCACAAAACAGCTTCGGAGAATGAATCTGCCTAGTTTTTCTGTGAAGATATTTCTTTTGCTGCCATAGACCTCAAACCGCTGTAAAAATCCACTTGGAAATTCTACAAAAAGAGTATTTCAAAACTCTTCTATCGAAAGGAAGTTTCAACTCCATGAGTTAAATGCACATATCACAAATAATTTTCTGAGGATTCTTCTTTCAAGTTTTATATGAAGAAATCCCTTTTCCAAAGATGACCTCAGAAAAGTCCCAATATACACTTGCAGATTCTACAAAAAGAGTTTTTCAAAACTGCTCTATCAAAAGGAAGGTTAAACTCTGTGAGTTGTAGGCACACATCACAGAGTAGTTTCTGAGAATCATTCTGTCTAGTTTTTCTATGAAGATATTGCCTTTTCCACCATAGGCCTCAAACGGCGCTAAATATCCACTTGGAAATTCTACAAAAAGAGAGTTACAAAACTGCTCTATCGAAAGGAAGCTTCAGCTCCGCGAGTTGAAAGCACACATCACGAAGAAGTTTATGAGAATTCTTCTGTCTACTTTTGTATGAAGCAGTCACGTCTCAAACGAAGGCCACAAAGAGGTCCAAATATCCACTTGGAGATTCAACAAAAAGAGTTTTTCAAAACTGCTTCATCAAGAGGAATATTCAACTCTGAGAGTTGAAGGCAGGTATCACAAAGTAGTTTCCGACAATGCTTCTGTCTAGATTTTATGTGAAGACATTCCCTTTTGTACCACAGGCCTGAAAGCACTCTAAATACAGAATTGCAAATTCCACAAAAAGAGGGTTTAAAACCGCTCTATCCAAAGAAAGGTTAAACTCTGTCAGCTGAATGCGCACATCACAGAGTAGCTTCAGAGAACAATTACGTCTAGTTTTTCCGTGAAGATAGTTTCTCTTCCACATAGGCCTGAGACCGCTCTAAATATTCACTTGGAAATTCTGCAAAAAGAATATTTCAACACTCTTCTATCAAAAGGAAGGTTGAACTCTGAGAGTTAAACGCACACATCACAGAGAAGTTTCTGAGAATTCTTCTGTCAAGGTTTATATGAAGAATCCCCGTTTCCAAAGAAGGCCTCAAAAAAGTCCAAATATTTACTTGCCGATGCCACAGAAAGAGTGGTTCATAACTGGTCTATCAAAAGAAAGGTTAAACTCAGTGAGTTGAGCCCACACATCACAAAGTAGCTTCTGAGAATCATTGTGTCTAGTTCTCCTACGAAGATATTGCCTTTTCTACCATAGGCCTCAAACGGCGCTAAATATCCACCTGGAAATTCTACCAAAACTGAGCTTCAAAAGTGCTCTATTGAAAGGAAGCTTCACCTCTGTGAGTTGAAGGTACACATCACAAAGAAGTTTCTGAGAATTCTTCTGTCTAGTTGTAAATGAAGAAATCACGTTTCAAGCGATGGCCACAAAGAGGTCCAAATATCCACCTGCAGATTCTGCAAAAAGAGGGTTTCAAAACTGCTCCATCAAGAGGAATGTTCAACTCTGTGCGTTGAATGCAAATATCACAAAGAAGTTTCTGACAATACTTCTGTCTAGTTTTTATGTGAAGATATTTACTTTACTACTGTAGGCCTCAAAAGGCTCTAAATATACACTTGCAAATTCCACAAAAAGAGTGTTTCCAAACTGCTCTATCAAAGGAAGTTTAAACTCTGTCAGCTTAATGCAAGCATCACAAAACAGCTTCGGAGAATGAATCTGCCTAGTTTTTCTGTAAGGATATTTCTTTTTCTGCCATAGACCTCAAACCGCAGTAAAAATCCACTTGGAAATTCTACAAAAAGAGTATTTCAAAACTCTTCTATCGAAAGGAAGTCTCAACTCCATGAGTTAAATGCACATATCACAAATAATTTTCTGAGGATTCTTCTTTCAAGTTTTATATGAAGAAATCCCGTTTCCAAAGATGGCCTCAGAAAAGTCCCAATACACACTTGCAGATTCTACAAAAAGAGTTTTTCAAAACTGCTCTACCAAAAGGAAGGTTAAACTCTGTGAGTTGAAGGCACACATCACAAAGTAGTTTCTGAGAATCATTCTGTCTAGTTTTTCTATGAAGATATCGCCTTCTCCACCATAGGCCTCAAGAGGAACTAAATATCCACTTGGAAATTCTACAAAAAGAGAGTTACAAGACTGCTCTATCGAAAGGAAGCTTCAACTCTGCGAGTTGAAAGCACACATCACGAAGAAGTTTATGAGAATTCTTCTGTCTAGTTTTCTATGAAGAAGTCACGTTTCAAACGAAGGCCACAAAGAGGTCCAAATGTCCACTTGGAGATTCAACAAAAAGAGTTTTTCAAAACTGCTCCATCAAGAGGAATATTCAACTCTGAGAGTTGAAGGCAGGTATCACCAAGTAGTTTCCGACAATGCTTCAGTCTAGATTTTATGTGAAGACATTCCCTTTTGTACCAGAGGCCTGAAAGCACTCTAAAGATAGAATAGCATATTCCACAAAAAGAGGGTTTAAAACCGCTCTATCCAATGAAAGGTTAAACTCTGTCAGCTGAATGCGCACATCACAGAGTAGCTTCAGAGAACAATTATGTCTAGTCTTTCTCGGAAGATATTTTCTCTTCTACATAGGCCTGAAACCGCTCTAAATACTCACTTGGAAATTCTACAAAAAGAATAATTCAACACTCTTCCATCAAAAGGAAGGTTGAAATCTGAGAGTTAAACGCACACATCACAGAGAAGTTTCTGAGAATTCTTCTGTCAAGGTTTCTATGAAGAAATCCCGTTTCCAATGAAGGCCTCAAAAAAGTCCAAATATTTACTTGCAGATTCTACAAAAAGAGTGTTTCATAACTGGTCTATCAACAGAAAGGTTAAACTCAGTGAGTTGAACCCACACATCACAAAGTAGTTTCTGAGAATCATTCTGTCTAGTTTTCCTACGAAGATATTGCCTTTTCTACCATAGGCCTCAAACGGCGCTAAATATCCACCTGGAAATTCTACAAAAACTGAGTTTCAAAAGTGCTCTATTGAAAGGAAGCTTCAACTCTGTGAGTTGAAGGTGCACATCACAAAGAAGTTTCTGAGAATTCTTCTGTCTAGTTGTAAATGAAGAAATCACGTTTCAAACGAAGGCCACAAAGAGGTCCAAATATCCACTTGCAGATTCTACAAAAGGAGTGTTTCAAAACTGCTCCATCAAGAGGAATGTTCAACTCGGTGCGTTGAATGCAAATATCACAAATAAGTTTCTGACAATACTTCTGTCTAGTTTTTATGTGAAGATATTTACTTTCCTACTGTAGGCCTCAAAAGGCTCTAAATATACACTTGCAAATTCCACAAAAAGAGTGTTTCCAAACTGCTCTATCAAAGGAAGTTTAAACTCTGTCAGCTGAATGCAAGCATCACAAAACAGCTTCGGAGAATGAATCTGCCTAGTTTTTCTGTGAAGATATTTCTTTTTCTGCCATAGACCTCAAACCGCTGTAAAAATCCACTTGGAAATTCTACAAAAAGAGGATGTCAAAACTCTTCTATCGAAAGGAAGTTTCAACTCCATGAGTTAAATGCACATATCACAAATAATTTTCTGAGGATTCTTCTTTCAAGTTTTATATGAAGAAATCCCGTTTCCAAACATGGCCTCAGAAAAGTCCCAATATACACTTGCAGATTCTACAGAAAGAGTTTTTCAAAACTGCTCTATCAAAAGAAAGGTTAAACTCTGTGAGTTGAAGGCACACATCACAAAGTAGTTTCTGAGAATCATTCTGTCTAGTTTTTCTATGAAGATATTGCCTTTTCCACCATTGGCCTCAAACGGCGCTAAATATCCACTTGGAAATTCTACAAAAACAGAGTTACAGAACTGCTCTATCGAAAGGAAGCTTCAACGCTGCGAGTTGAAAGCACACATCACGAAGAAGTTGATGAGAATTCTTCTGACTACATTTGTGTGAAACAGTCACGTTTCAAACGAAGGCCACAAAGAGGTCCAAATATCCACTTGGAGATTCAACAAAAAGAGTTTTTCAAAACTGCTCCATCAAGAGGAATATTCAACTCTGAGAGTTGAAGGCAGGTATCCCAAAGTAGTTCCCGACAATGCTTCTGTCTAGATTTTATGTGAGGACATTCCCTTTTGTACCACAGGCCTGAAAGCACTCTAAATATAGAATTGCAAATTCCACAAAAAGAGTGTTTAAAACCGCTCTATCCAAAGAAAGGTTAAACTCTGTAAGCTGAATGCGCACATCAAAAAGTAGCTTCAGAGAACAATTATGTCTAGTCTTTCTGGGAAGATATTTTCTCTTCTACATAGGCCTGAAACCGCTCTAAATACTCACTTGGAAATTCTACAAAAAGAATACTTCAACACTCTTCCATCAAAAGGAAGGTTGAACTCTGAGAGTTAAACGCACACATCACAGAGAAGTTTCTGAGAATTCTTCTGTCAAGGTTTATATGAAGAAACCCCGTTTCCAATGAAGGCCTCAAAAAAGTCCAAAGATTTACTTGCAGATTCTACAAAAAGAGTGTTTCATAAACTGGTCTATCAAAAGAAAGGTTAAACTCAGTGAGTTGAACCCACACATCACAAAGTAGCTTCTGAGAATCATTCTGTCTAGTCCTCCTACGAAGATATTGCCTTTTCTACCATAGGCCTCAAACGGCGCTAAATATCCACCTGGAAATTCTACAAAAACTGAGTTTCTAAGGTGCTCTATTGAAAGGAAGCTTCAACTCTGTGAGTTGAAGGTACACATCACAAAGAAGTTTCTGAGAATTCTTCTGTCTAGTTGTAAATGAAGAAATCACGTTTCAAACGAAGGCCACAAAGAGGTCCAAATATCCACCTGCAGATTCTACAAAAAGAGTGTTTCCAAACTGCTCCATCAAGAGGAATGTTCAACTCTGTGCGTTGAATGCAAATATCACAAATAAGTTTCTGACAATACTTCTGTCTAGTTTTTATGTGAAGATATTTCCTTTCCTACTGTAGGCCTCAAAACGCTCTAAATAAACACTTGCAAACCCCACAAAAAGAGTGTTTCCAAACTGCTCTATCAAACGAAGTTTAAACTCTGTCAGCTGAATGCAAGCATCACAAAACAGCTTCGGAGAATGAATCTGCCTTGTTTTTCTGTGAAGATATTTCTTTTTCTGCCATAGACCTCAAACCGCTGTAAAAATCCACTTGGAAATTCTACAAAAAGAGGATGTCAAAACTCTTCTATCGAAAGGAAGTTTCAATTCCATGAGTTAAATGCACATATCACAAATAATTTTCTGAGGATTCTTCTTTCAATTTTATATGAAGAAATCCCGTTTCCAAAGATGGCCTCAGAAAAGTCCCAATATACACTTGCAGATTCTATAAAAAGAGTTTTTCAAAACTGCTCTATCAAAAGGAAGGTTAAACTCTGTGAGTTGAAGGCACACATCACAGAGTAGTTTCTGAGAATCATTCTGTCTAGTTTTTCTATGAAGATATTGCCTTTTCCACCATAGGCCTCAAACGGCGCTAAATATCCCCTTGGAAATTCTACAAAAAGAGGGTTACAAAACTGCTCTATCGAAAGGAAGCTTCAACTCTGCGAGTTGAAGCACACATCACAAAGAAGTTTATGAGAATTCTTCTCTCTAGTTTTGTATGAAGAAGTCACGTCTCAAACGAAGGCCACAAAGAGGTCCAAATATCCACTTGGAGATTCAACAAAAAGCGTTTTTCAAAACTGCTCCGTCAAGAGGAATATTCAACTCTGAGAGTTGAAGGCAGGTATCACAAAGTAGTTTCCGACAACGCTTCTGTCTAGATTTTATGTGAAGACATTCCCTTTTGTACCACAGGCCTGAAAGCACTCTAAATATAGAATTGCAAATTCCACAAAAAGAGTGTTTAAAACCGCTCTATCCAAAGAAAGGTTAAACTCTGTCAGCTGAAGGCGCCCATCACAAAGTAGCTTCAGAGAACAATTGTGTCTAGTTTTCCTGTGAAGATATTTTCTCTTCTACATAGGCCTGAAACCGCTCTAAATATTCACTTGGAAATTCTACAAAAAGAATATTTCAACACTCTTCTATCAAAAGGAAGGTTGAACTCTGAGAGTTAAATGCACACATCACAAAGAATTTTCTGAGAATTCTTCTGTCAAGGTTTCTATGAAGAAATCCCGTTTCCAATGAAGGCCTCAAAAAAGTCCAAATATTTACTTGCAGATTCTACAAAAAGAGTGTTTCATAACTGGTCTATCAAAAGAAAGGTTAAACTCAGTGAGTTGAACCCACACATCACAAAGTAGTTTCTGAGAATCATTCTGTCTAGTTTTCCTACGAAGATATTGCCTTTTCTACCTTAGGCCTCAAACGGCGCTAAATATCCACCTGGAAATTCTACAAAAACTGAGTTTCAAAAGTGCTCTATTGAAAGGAAGCTTCAACTCTGTGAGTTGAAGGTACACATCACAAAGAAGTTTCTGAGAATTCTTCTGTCTAGTTGTAAATGAAGAAATCACGTTTCACACGAAGGCCACAAAGAGGTCCAAATATCCACTTGCAGATTCTACAAAAAGAGTGTTTCAAAACGGCTCCATCAAGAGGAATGTTCAACTCTGTGCGTTGAATGCAAATATCACAAATAAGTTTCTGACAATACTTCTGTCTAGTTTTTATGTGAAGATATTTCCTTTCCTACTGTAGGCCTCAAAACGCTCTAAAGAGACACTTGCAAATTCCACAAAAAGAGGGTTTAAAAACTGCTCTATCAAAGGAAGTTTAAACTCTGTAAGCTGAATGCAAGCATCACAAACAGCTTCGGAGAATGAATCTGCCTAGTTTTTCTGAGAAGATATTTCTTTTTCTGCCATAGACCTCAAACCGCTGTAAAAATCCACTTGGACATTCTACAAAAAGAGTATGTCAAAACTCTTCTATCGAAAGGAAGTCTCAACTCCATGAGTTAAATGCTCATATCACAAATAATTTTCTGAGGATTCTTCTTTGAAGTTTTATATGAAGAAATCCCGTTTCCAAAGATGGCCTCAGATAAGTCCCAATATACACTTGCAGATTCTACAAAAAGAGCTTTTCAAAACTGCTCTATCAAAAGAAAGGTTAAACTCTGTGAGTTGAAGGCACACATGACAAGAGCAGTTTCTGAGAATCATTCTTTCTAGTTTTTCTATGAAGATATTGCCTTTTCCACCATAGGCCTCAGGCAGCGCTAAATATCCACTTGGAAATTCTACAAAAAGAGAGTTACTAAACTGCTCTATCGAAAGGAAGCTTCAACGCTGCGAGTTGAAAGCACACATCACGAAGAAGTTTATGAGAATTCTTCTGTCTACTTTTGTATGAAGCAGTCACGTTTCAAACGAAGGCCACAAAGAGGTCCAAATATCCACTTGGAGATACAACAAAAAGAGTTTTTCAAAACTGCTCCGTCAAGAGGAATATTCAACTCTGCGAGTTGAAGGCTGGTATCACAAAGTAGTTCCCGACAATGCTTCTGTCTAGATTTTATGTGAAGACATTCCCTTTTGTACCACAGGCCTGAAAGCACTCTAAATATAGAATTGCAAATTCCACAAAAAGAGTGTTGAAAACCGCTCTATCCAAAGAAAGGTTAAACTCTGTCAGCTGAATGCGCACATCACAGAGCAGCTTCAGAGAACAGTTTATGTCAAGTTTTTCTGTGAAGATAGTTTCTCTTCTACATAGGCCTGAAACCGCTCTAAATATTCACTTGGAAATTCTACAAAAAGAATATTTCAACACTCTTCTATCAAAAGGAATGTTGAACTCTGAGAGTTAAACGCACACATCACAGAGAAGTTTCTGAGAATTCTTCTGTCAAGGTTTATATGAGGAAACGCCGTTTCCAATGAAGGCCTCAAAAAAGTCCAAATATTTACTTGCCGATTCCACAAAAAGAGTGTTTCATAACTGGTCTATCAAAAGAAAGGTTAAACTCAGTGAGTTGAACCCACACATCACAAAGTAGCTTCTGAGAATCATTCTGTCTAGTTCTCCTACGAAGGTATTGCCTTTTCTACCATAGGCCTCAAACGGCGCTAAATATCCACCTGGAAATTCTACCAAAACTGAGTTTCAAAAGTGCTCTATTGAAAGGAAGCTTCACCACTTTGAGTTGAAGGTACACATCACAAAGAAGTTTCTGAGAATTCTTCTGTCTAGTTGTAAATGAAGAAATCACGTTTCACACGAAGGCCACAAAGAGGTCCAAATATCCACTTGCAGATTCCACAAAAAGAGTGCTCAAAACGGCTCCATCAAGAGGAATGTTCAACTCCGTGCGTTGAATGCAAATATCACAAATAAGTTTCTGACAATACTTCTGTCTAGTTTTTAGGTGAAGATATTTCCTTTCCTACTGTAGGCCTCAAAACGCTCTAAATATACACTTGCAAATTGCACAAAAAGAGTGTTTCCAAACTGCTCTCTCAAAGGAAGTTTAAACTCTGTCAGCTGAATGCGAGCATCACAAAACAGCTTCGGAGAATGAATCTGCCTAGTTTTTCTGTGAAGATATTTCTTTTTCTGCCATAGACCTCAAACCGCTGTAAAAATCCATTTGGAAATTCTACAAAAAGAGTATTTCAAAACTCTTCTATCGAAAGGAAGTCTCAACTCCATGAGTTAAATGCACATATCACAAATAATTTTCTGAGGATTCTTCTTTCAAGTTTTATCTGAAGAAATCCCGTTTCCAAAGATGGCCTCAGAAAAGTCCCAATATACACTTGCAGATTCTACAAAAAGAGTTTTTCAAAACTGCTCTATCAAAAGAAAGGTTAAACTCTGTGAGTTGAAGGCACACATCACAAAGTAGTTTCTGAGAATCATTCTGTCTGGTTTTTCTATGAAGATATTGCCTTTTCCACCATAGGCCTCAAACGGCGCTAAATATCCACTTGGGAATTCTACAAAAAGAGAGTTACAAAACTGCTCTATCGAAAGGAAGATGCAACTCTGCGAGTTGAAAGCACACATCGCGAAGAAGTTGATGAGAATTCTTCTGTCTAGTTTTGTAGGAAGAAGTCACGTCTCAAACGAAGGCCACAAAGAGGTCCAAATATCCACTTGGAGATTCAACAAAAAGAGTTTTTCAAAACTGCTCCGTCAAGAGGAATATTCAACTCTGAGAGTTGAAGGCAGGTATCACAAAGTAGTTTCCGACAACGCTTCTGTCTAAGTTTTATGTGAGGACATTCCCTTTTGTACCACAGGCCTGAAAGCACTCTAAATATAGAATTGCAAATTCCACAAAAAGAGTGTTTAAAACCGCTCTATCCAAAGAAAGGTTAAACTCTGTAAGCTGAATGCGCACATCACAAAGTAGCTTCAGAGAACAATTATGTCTAGTTTTTCTGTGAAGATATTTTCTCTTCTACTTAGGCCTGAAACCGCTCTAAATATTCACTTGGAAATTCTACAAAAAGAAAATTTCAACCCTCTTCTATCAAAAGGAAGGTTGAACTCTGAGAGTTAAATGCACACATCACAGAGAAGTTTCTGGGAATTCTTCTGTCAAGGTTTATATGAGGAGATCCCGTTTCCAATGAAGGCCTCAAAAAAGTCCAAATATTTACTTGCAGATTCTACAAAAAGAGTGTTTCATAACTGGTCTATCAAAAGAAAGGTTAAACTCCGTGAGTTGAACGCACACATCACAAAGTTGTTTCTGAGAATCATTCTGTCTAGTTTTCCTACGAAGATATTGCCTTTTCTACCATAGGCCTCAAACGGCGCTAAATATCCACCTGGAAATTCTACAAAAACTGAGTTTCAAAAGTGCTCTATTGAAAGGAAGCTTCAACTCTGTGAGTTGAAGGTACACATCACAAAAAAGTTTCTGAGAATTCTTCTGTCTAGTTGTAAATGAAGAAATCACGTTTCACACGAAGGCCACAAAGAGGTCCAAATATCCACTTGCAGATTCCACAAAAAGAGTGCTTCAAAACGGCTCCATCAAGAGGAATGTTCAACTCCGTGCGTTGAATGCAAATATCACAAATAAGTTTCTGACAATACTTCTGTCTAGTTTTTAGGTGAAGATATTTCCTTTCCTACTGTAGGCCTCAAAACGCTCTAAAGAGACACTTTCAAATTCCACAAAAAGAGTGTTTCAAAACTGCTCTATCAAAGGAAGTTTAAACTCTGTCAGCTGAATGCAAGCATCACAAAACAGCTTCGGAGAATGAATCTGCCTAGTTTTTCTGGGAAGATATTTCTTTTTCTGCCATAGACCTCAAACCGCGGTAAAAATCCACCTGGAAATTCTACAAAAAGAGTATTTCAAAACTCTTCTATCGAAAGGAAGTCTCAACTCCATGAGTTAAATGCACATATCACAAATAATTTTCTGAGGATTCTTCTTTGAAGTTTTATATGAAGAAATCCCGTTTCCAAAGATGGCCTCAGAAAAGTCCCAATATACACTTGCAGATTCTACAAAAAGAGTTTTTCAAAACTGCTCTACCAAAAGGAAGGCTAAACTCTGTGAGTTGAAGGAACACATCACAAAGTAGTTTCTGAGAATCATTCTGTCTAGTTTTTCTATGAAGATATTGCCTTTTCCACCATAGGCCTCAAACGGCGCTAAAGATCCACTTGGAAATTCTACAAAAAGAGAGTTACAAGACTGCTCTATCAAAAGAAGGCTTCAACTCTGCGAGTTGCAAGCACACATCCCAAAGTAGTTTATGAGAATTCTTCTGTCTACTTTTGTATGAAGCAGTCACGTTTCAAACGAAGGCCACAAAGAGGTCCAAATATCCACTTGGAGATTCAACAAAAAGAGTTTTTCAAAACTGCTCCATCAAGAGGAATATTCAACTCTGAGAGTTGAAGGCAGGTATCACAAAGTAGTTTCCGACAATGCTTCTGTCTAGATTTTATGTGAGGACATTCCCTTTTCTACCACAGGCCTGAAAGCACTCTAAATATAGAATTGCAAATTCCACAAAAAGAGTGTTTAAAACCGCTCTATCCAAAGAAAGGTTAAACTCTGTAAGCTGAATGCGCACATCACAAAGTAGCTTCAGAGAACAATTATGTCTAGTTTTTCTGTGAAGATAGTTTCTCTTCTACATAGGCCTGAAACCGCCCTAAATATTCACTTGGAAATTCTACAAAAAGAATATTTCAACCCTCTTCTATCAAAAGGAAGGTTGAACTCTGAGAGTTAAATACACACATCACAGAGAAGTTTCTGGGAATTCTTCTGTCAAGGTTTATATGAAGAGATCCCGTTTCCAATGAAGGCCTCAAAAAAGTCCAAATATTTACTTGCAGATTCTACAAAAAGAGTGTTTCATAACTGGTCTATCAAAAGAAAGGTTAAACTCCGTGAGTTGAACGCACACATCACAAAGTTGTTTCTGAGAATCATTCTGTCTAGTTTTTCTACGAAGATATTGCCTTTTCCACCATAGGCCTCAAACGGCGCTAAATATCCACCTGGAAATTCTACAGAAACTGAGTTTCAAAAGTGCTCTATTGAAAGGAAGCTTCAACTCTCTGAGTTGAAAGTACACATCACAAAGAAGTTTCTGAGAATTCTTCTGTCTAGTTGTAAATGAAGAAATCACGTTTCAAACGAAGGCCACAAAGAGGTCCAAATATCCACCTGCAGATTCTACAAAAAGAGTGTTTCAAAAGTGCTGCATCAAGAGGTATGTTCAACTCTGTGCGTTGAATGCAAATATCACAAGTAAGTTTCTGACAATACTTCTGTCTAGTTTTTATGTGAAGATATTTCCTTTCCTACTGTAGGCCCCAAAACGATCTAAATAAACACTTGCAAACTCCACAAAAAGAGTGTTTCCAAACTGCTCTATCGAAGGAAGTTTAAACTCTGTCAGCTGAATGCAAGCATCACAAAACAGCTTCGGAGAATGAATCTGCCTAGTTTTTCTGTGAAGATATTTCTTTTTCTGCCATAGACCTCAAACCGCTGTAAAAATCCACTTGGAAATTCTACAAAAAGAGGATGTCAAAACTCTTCTATCGAAAGGAAGTTTCAACTCCATGAGTTAAATGCACATATCACAAATAATTTTCTGAGGATTCTTCTTTCAAGTTTTATATGAAGAAATCCCGTTTCCAAAGATGGCCTCAGAAAAGTCCCAATATACACTTGCAGATTCTAAAAAAAGAGTTTTTCAAAACTGCTCTACCAAAAGGAAGGTTAAACTCTGTGAGTTGAAGGCACACATCACAAAGTAGTTTCTGAGAATCATTCTGTCTAGTTTTTCTATGAAGATATTGCCTTTTCCACCATAGGCCTCAAACGGCGCTAAATATCCAGTTGGAAATTCCACAAAAAGAGAGTTACTAAACTGCTCTATCGAAAGGAAGCTTCAACGCTGCGAGTTGAAAGCACACATCACGAAGAAGTTTATGAGAATTCTTCTGTCTAGTTTTGTATGAAGAAGTCACGTCTCAAACGAAGGCCACAAAGAGGTCCAAATATCCACTTGGAGATTCCACAAAAAGAGTTTTTCAAAACTGCTCCGTCAAGATTAATATTCAACTCTGAGAGTTGAGGGCAGGTATCACAAACAAGTTTCCGACAACGCTTCTCTCTAGATTTTATGTGAAGACATTCCCTTTTGTACCACAGGCCTGAAAGCACTCTAAATATAGAATTGCAAATTCCACAGAAAGAGTGCTTAAAACCGCTCTATCCAAAGAAAGGTTAAACTCTGTCCGCTGAAGGCGCACATCACAAAGTAGCTTCAGAGAACAATTATGTCTAGTTTCTCTGTGAAGATATTTTCTCTTCTACATAGGCCTGAAACCGCTCTAAATATTCACTTGGAAACTCTAGAAAAAGAATATTTCAACACTCTTCTGTCAAAAGGAAGGTTGAACTCTGAGAGTTAAATGCTCACATCACAAAGAAGTTTCTGGGAATTCTTCTGTCAAGGTTTCTATGAAGAAATCCCGTTTCCAATGAAGGCCTCAAAAAAGTCCAAATATTTACTTGCAGATTCTACAAAAAGAGTGTTTCGTAACTGGTCTATCAAAAGAAAGGTTAAACTCAGTGAGTTGAACCCACACATCACAAAGTAGTTTCTGAGAATCATTCTGTCTAGTTTTCCTACGAAGATATTGCCTTTTCTACCATAGGCCTCAAACGGCGCTAAATATCCACCTGGAAATTCTACAAAAACTGAGTTTCAAAAGTGCTCTATTGAAAGGAAGCTTCAACTCTGTGAGTTGAAGGTACACATCACAAAGAAGTTTCTGAGAATTCTTCTGTCTAGTTGTCAATGAAGAAATCACGTTTCACACGAAGGCCACAAAGAGGTCCAAATATCCACTTGCAGATTCTACAAAAAGAGTGTCTCAAAACGGCTCCATCAAGAGGAATGTTCAACTCTGTGCGTTGAATGCAAATATCACAAATAAGTTTCTGACAATACTTCCGTCTAGTTTTTATGTGAAGATATTTCCTTTCCTACTGTAGGCCTCAAAACGCTCTAAAGAGACACTTGCAAATTCCACAAAAAGAGGGTTTCAAAACTGCTCTATCAAAGTAAGTTTAAACTCTGTAAGCTGAATGCAAGCATCACAAAACAGCTTCGGAGAATGAATCTGCCTAGTTTTTCTGTGAAGATATTTCTTTTTCTGCCATAGACCTCAAACCGCCGTAAAAATCCACTTGGAAATTCTACAAAAAGAGTATTTCAAAACTCTTCTATCGAAAGGAAGTCTCAACTCCATGAGTTAAATGCACATATCACAAATAATTTTCTGAGGATTCTTCTTTGAAGTTTTATATGAAGAAATCCCGTTTCCAAAGATGGCCTCAGAAAAGTCCCAATATACCCTTGCAGATTCTACAAAAAGAGTTTTTCAAAACTGCTCTATCCAAAGAAAGGTTAAACTCTGTGAGTTGAAGGCACACATCACAAAGTAGTTTCTGAGAATCATTCTGTCTAGTTTTTCTATGAAGATATTGCCTTTTCCACCATAGGCCTCAAACGGCGCTAAATATCCACTTGGAAATTCTACAAAAAGAGAGTTACAAAACTGCTCTATCGAAAGGAAGCTGCAACTCTGCGAGTTGAAAGCACACATCGTGAAGAAGTTGATGAGAATTCTTCTGTCTACTTTTGTATGAAGCAGTCACGTTTCAAACGAAGGCCACAAAGAGGTCCAAATATCCACTTGGAGATTCAACCAAAAGTGTTTTACAAAACTGCTCCATCAAGAGGAATATTCAACTCTGAGAGTTGAAGGCAGGTATCACAAAGTAGTTCCCGACAATGCTTCTGTCTAGATTTTATGTGAAGACATTCCCTTTTGTACCACAGGCCTGAAAGCACTCTAAATACAGAATTGCAAATTCCACAAAAAGAGGGTTTAAAACCGCTCTATCCAAAGAAAGGTTAAACTCTGTCAGCTGAATGCGCACATCACAGAGTAGCTTCAGAGAAGAATTATGTCTAGTCTTTCTGGGAAGATATTTTCTCTTCTACATAGGCCTGAAACCGCTCTAAATATTCACTTGGAAATTCTACAAAAAGAATATTTCAACACTCTTCCATCAAAAGGAAGGTTGAACTCTGAGAGTTAAACGCTCACATCACAGAGAAGTTTCTGAGAATTCTTCTGTCAAGGTTTATATGAAGAAACCCCGTTTCCAATGAAGGCCTCAAAAAAGTCCAAATATTAACTTGCCGATTCCACAGAAAGAGTGTTTCATAACTGGTCTATCAAAAGAAAGGTTAAACTCAGTGAGTTGAACCCACACATCACAAAGTAGCTTCTGAGAATAATTCTGTCTAGTCCTCCTATGAAGATATTGCCTTTTCTACCATAGGCCTCAAACGGCGCTAAATATCCACCTGGAAATTCTACAAAAACTGAGTTTCTAAGGTGCTCTATTGAATGGAAGCTTCAACTCTGTGAGTTGAAGGTACACATCACAAAGAAGTTTCTGAGAATTCTTCTGTCTAGTTGTAAATGAAGAAATCACGTTTCAAACGAAGGCCACAAAGAGGTCCAAATATCCACCTGCAGATTCTACAAAAAGAGTGTTTCCAAACTGCTCCATCAAGAGGAATGTTCAACTCGGTGCGTTGAATGCAAATATCACAAATAAGTTTCTGACAATACTTCTGTCTAGTTTTTATGTGAAGATATTTCCTTTCCTACTGTAGGCCTCAAAACGCTCTAAATAAACACTTGCAAACTCCACAAAAAGAGTGTTTCCAAACTGCTCTATCAAACGAAGTTTAAACTCTGTCAGCTGAATGCAAGCATCACAAAACAGCTTCGGAGAATGAATCTGCCTAGTTTTTCTGTGAAGATATTTCTTTTTCTGCCATAGACCTCAAACCGCTGTAAAAATCCACTTGGAAATTCTACAAAAAGAGGATGTCAAAACTCTTCTATCGAAAGGAAGTTTCAACTCCATGAGTTAAATGCAGATATCACAAATAATTTTCTGAGGATTCTTCTTTCAAGTTTTATATGAAGAAATCCCGTTTCCAAACATGGCCTCAGAAAAGCCCCACTATACACTTGCAGATTCTACAGAAAGAGTTTTTCAAAACTGCTCTATCAAAAGGAAGGTTAAACTCTGTGAGTTGAAGGCACACATCACAAATTAGTTTCTGAGAATCATTCTGTCTAGTTTCTCTATGAAGATATTGCCTTTTCCACCATAGGCCTCAAACGGCGCTAAATATCCACTTGGAAATTCTACAAAAAGAGGGTTACAAAACTGCTCTATCGAAAGGAAGCTTCAACTCTGCGAGTTGAAAGCACACATCACGAAGAAGTTTATGAGAATTCTTCTGTCTACTTTTGTATGAAGCAGTCACATTTCAAACGAAGGCCACAAAGAGGTCCAAATATCCACTTGGAGATTCAACAAAAAGAGTTTTTCAAAACTGCTCCATCAAGAGGAATATTCAACTCTGAGAGTTGAAGGCAGGTATCACAAAGTAGTTTCCGACAATGCTTCTGTCTAGATTTTATGTGAAGACATTCCCTTTTGTACCACAGGCCTGAAAGCACTCTAAATATAGAATTGCAAATTCCACAGAAAGAGTGTTTAAAACCGCTCTATCCAAAGAAAGGTTCAACTCTGTCAGCTGAAGGCGCACATCACAAAGTAGCTTCAGAGAACAATTATGTCTAGTCTTTCTGGGAAGATATTTTCTCTTCTACATAGGCCTGAAACCGCTCTAAATACTCACTTGGAAATTCTACAAAAAGAATACTTCAACACTCTTCCATCAAAAGGAAGGTTGAACTCTGAGAGTTAAACGCACACATCACAGAGAAGTTTCTGAGAATTCTTCTGTCAAGGTTTATATGAAGAAACCCCGTTTCCAATGAAGGCCTCAAAAAAGTCCAAAGATTTACTTGCAGATTCTACAAAAAGAGTGTTTCATAAACTGGTCTATCAAAAGAAAGGTTAAACTCAGTGAGTTGAACCCACACATCACAAAGTAGCTTCTGAGAATCATTCTGTCTAGTCCTCCTACGAAGATATTGCCTTTTCTACCATAGGCCTCAAACGGCGCTAAATATCCACCTGGAAATTCTACAAAAACTGAGTTTCTAAGGTGCTCTATTGAAAGGAAGCTTCAACTCTGTGAGTTGAAGGTACACATCACAAAGAAGTTTCTGAGAATTATTCTGTCTAGTTGTAAATGAAGAAATCACGTTTCAAACGAAGGCCACAAAGAGGTCCAAATATCCACCTGCAGATTCTACAAAAAGAGTGTTTCCAAACTGCTCCATCAAGAGGAATGTTCAACTCGGTGCGTTGAATGCAAATATCACAAATAAGTTTCTGACAATACTTCTGTCTAGTTTTTATGTGAAGATATTTCCTTTCCTACTGTAGGCCTCAAAACGCTCTAAATAAACACTTGCAAACTCCACAAAAAGAGTGTTTCCAAACTGCTCTATCAAAGGAAGTTTAAACTCTGTCAGCTGAATGCAAGCATCACAAAACAGCTTCGGAGAATGAATCTGCCTAGTTTTTCTGTGAAGATATTTCTTTTTCTGCCATAGACCTCAAACCGCTGTAAAAATCCACTTGGAAATTCTACAAAAAGAGGATGTCAAAACTCTTCTATCGAAAGGAAGTTTCAACTCCATGAGTTAAATGCAGATATCACAAATAATTTTCTGAGGATTCTTCTTTCAAGTTTTATATGAAGAAATCCCGTTTCCAAACATGGCCTCAGAAAAGCCCCACTATACACTTGCAGATTCTACAGAAAGAGTTTTTCAAAACTGCTCTATCAAAAGGAAGGTTAAACTCTGTGAGTTGAAGGCACACATCACAAATTAGTTTCTGAGAATCATTCTGTCTAGTTTCTCTATGAAGATATTGCCTTTTCCACCATAGGCCTCAAACGGCGCTAAATATCCACTTGGAAATTCTACAAAAAGAGGGTTACAAAACTGCTCTATCGAAAGGAAGCTTCAACTCTGCGAGTTGAAAGCACACATCACGAAGAAGTTTATGAGAATTCTTCTGTCTACTTTTGTATGAAGCAGTCACATTTCAAACGAAGGCCACAAAGAGGTCCAAATATCCACTTGGAGATTCAACAAAAAGAGTTTTTCAAAACTGCTCCATCAAGAGGAATATTCAACTCTGAGAGTTGAAGGCAGGTATCACAAAGTAGTTTCCGACAATGCTTCTGTCTGGATTTTATGTGAAGACATTCCCTTTTGTACCACAGGCCTGAAAGCACTCTAAATATAGAACTGCAAATTCCACAAAAGGAGTGTTTAAAACCGCTCTATCCAAAGAAAGGTTAAACTCTGTCAGCTGAATGCGCACATCACAGAGTAGCTTCAGAGAACAATTATGTCTACTCTTTCTGGGAAGATATTTTCTCTTCTACATAGGCCTGAAACCGCTCTAAATATTCACTTGGAAATTCTACAAAAAGAATATTTCAACACTCTTCTATCAAAAGGAAGGTTGAACTCTGAGAGTTAAACGCTCACATCACAGAGAAGTTTCTGAGAAATCTTCTGTCAAGGTTTATATGAAGAAACCCCGTTTCCAATGAAGGCCTCAAAAAAGTCCAAAGATTTACTTGCAGATTCTACAAAAAGAGTGTTTCATAAACTGGTCTATCAAAAGAAAGGTTAAACTCAGTGAGTTGAACCCACACATCACAAAGTAGCTTCTGAGAATCATTCTGTCTAGTCCTCCTACGAAGATATTGCCTTTTCTACCATAGGCCTCAAACGGCGCTAAATATCCACCTGGAAATTCTACAAAAACTGAGTTTCTAAGGTGCTCTATTGAAAGGAAGCTTCAACTCTGTGAGTTGAAGGTACACATCACAAAGAAGTTTCTGAGAATTCTTCTGTCTAGTTGTAAATGAAGAAATCACGTTTCAAACGAAGGCCACAAAGAGGTCCAAATATCCACCTGCAGATTCTACAAAAAGAGTGTTTCCAAACTGCTCCATCAAGAGGAATGTTCAACTCTGTGCGTTGAATGCAAATATCACAAATAAGTTTCTGACAATACTTCTGTCTAGTTTTTAGGTGAAGATATTTCCTTTCCTACTGTAGGCCTCAAAACGCTCTAAATATACACTTGCAAATTCCACAAAAAGAGTGTTTCCAAACTGCTCTCTCAAAGGAAGTTTAAACTCCGTCAGCTGAATGCGAGCATCACAAAACAGCTTCGGAGAATGAATCTGCCTTGTTTTTCTGTGAAGATATTTCTTTTTCTGCCATAGACCTCAAACCGCTGTAAAAATCCACTTGGAAATTCTACAAAAAGAGGATGTCAAAACTCTTCTATCGAAAGGAAGTTTCAATTCCATGAGTTAAATGCACATATCACAAATAATTTTCTGAGGATTCTTCTTTCAAGTTTTATATGAAGAAATCCCGTTTCCAAACATGGCCTCAGAAAAGTCCCAATATACACTTGCAGATTCTACAGAAAGAGTTTTTCAAAACTGCTCTATCAACAGAAAGGTTAAACTCTGTGAGTTGAAGGCACACATCACAAAGTAGTTTCTGAGAATCATTCTGTCTAGTTTTTCTATGAAGATATTGCCTTTTCCACCATAGGCCTCAAACGGCGCTAAATATCCACTTGGAAATTCTACAAAAATAGGGTTACAAAACTGCTCTATCGAAAGGAAGCTTCAACTCTGCGAGTTGAAGCACACATCACAAAGAAGTTTATGAGAATTCTTCTGTCTACTTTTGTATGAAGCAGTCACGTTTCAAACGAAGGCCACAAAGACGTCCAAATATCCACTTGGAGATTCAACAAAAAGAGTTTTACAAAACTGCTCCATCAAGAGGAATATTCAACTCTGAGAGTTGAAGGCAGGTATCACAAGGTAGTTTCCGACAATGCTTCTATCAAGATTTTATGTGAAGACATTCCCTTTTGTACCACAGGCCTGAAAGCACTCTAAAGATAGAATAGCAAATTCCACAAAAAGAGGGTTTAAAACCGCTCTATCCAACGAAAGGTTAAACTCTGTCAGCTGAATGCGCACATCTCAGAGTAGCTTCAGAGAACAATTATGTCTAGTCTTTCTGGGAAGATATTTTCTCTTCTACATAGGCCTGAAACCGCTCTAAATATTCACTTGGAAATTCTACAAAAAGAATACTTCAACACTCTTCCATCAAAAGGAAGGTTGAACTCTGAGAGTTAAACGGACACATCACAGAGAAGTTTCTGAGAATTCTTCTGTCAAGGTTTGTATGAAGAGATCCCGTTTCCAATGAAGGCCTCAAAAAAGTCCAAATATTTACTTGCAGATTCTACAAAAAGAGTGTTTCATAACTGGTCTATCAAAAGAAAGGTTAAACTCCGTGAGTTGAACGCACACATCACAAAGTTGTTTCTGAGAATCATTCTGTCTAGTTCTCCTACGAAGATATTGCCTTTTCTACCATAGGCCTCAAACGGCGCTAAATATCCACCTGGAAATTCTACCAAAACTGAGTTTCAAAAGTGCTCTATTTAAAGGAAGCTTCACCTCTGTGAGTTGAAGGTACACATCACAAAGAAGTTTCTGAGAATTCTTCTGTCTAGTTGTAAATGCAGAAATCACGTTTCAAACGAAGGCCACAAAGAGGTCCAAATATCCAGCTGCAGATTCTGCAAAAAGAGGGTTTGAAAAATGCTCCATCAAGAGGAATGTTCAACTCTGTGCGTTGAATGCAAATATCACAAATAAGTTTCTGACAATACTTCTGTGTAGTTTTTATGTGAAGATATTTCCTTTCCTACTGTAGGCCTCAAAACGCTCTAAATATACACTTGCAAATTCCACAAAAAGAGTGTTTCCAAACTGCTCTATCAAAGGAGGTTTAAACTCTGTCCGCTTAATGCAAGCATCACAAAACAGCTTCGGAGAATGAATCTGCCCAGTTTTTCTGTGAAGATATTTCTTTTGCTGCCATAGACCTCACACCGCTGTAAAAATCCACTTGGAAATTCTACAAAAAGAGTATTTCAAAACTCTTCTATCGAAAGGAAGTTTCAACTCCATGAGTTAAATGCACATATCACAAATAATTTTCTGAGGATTCTTCTTTCAAGTTTTATATGAAGAAATCCCGTTTCCAAAGATGGCCTCAGAAAAGTCCCAATATACACTTGCAGATTCTACAAAAAGAGTTTTTCAAAACTGCTCTATCAAGGAAAGGTTAAACTCTGTGAGTTGAAGGCACACATCACAAAGTAGTTTCTGAGAATCATTCTGTCTACTTTTTCTATGAAGATATTGCCTTTTCCACCATTGGCCTCAAACGGCGCTAAATATCCACTTGGAAATTCTACAAAAAGAGAGTTACACAACTGCTCTATCGAAAGGAAGCTTCAACGCTACGAGTTGAAAGCACACATCACGAAGTAGTTGATGAGAATTCTTCTGTCAATTTTTGTATGAAGCAGTCAAGTCTCAAACGAAGGCCACAGAGAGGTCCAAATATCCACTTGGAGATTCAACAAAAAGAGTTTTTCAAAACTGCTCCATCAAGAGGAACATTCAACTCTGAGAGTTGAAGGCAGGTATCACAAAGTTGTTTCCGACAATGCTTCTGTCTAGATTTTATGTGAGGACGTTCCCTTTTGTACCAGAGGCCTGAAAGCACTCTAAATATAGAATTGCAAATTCCACAAAAAGAGTGTTTAAAACCGCTCGATCCAAGGAAAGGTTAAACTCTGTAAGCTGAATGCGCACATCACAAAGTAGCTTCAGAGAACAATTATGTCTAGTTTTTCTGTGAAGATAGTTTCTCTTCTACATAGGCCTGAAACCGCTCTAAATATTCACTTGGTAATTCTACAAAAAGAATATTTCAACACTCTTCTATCAAAAGGAAGGTTGAACTCTGAGAGTTAAACGCACACATCACAGAGGAGTTTCTGAGAATTCTTCTGTCAAGGTTTATATGAAGAAACCCCGTTTCCAATGAAGGCCTCAAAAAAGTACAAAAATTTGCTTGCAGATTCCACAAAAAGAGTGTTTCATAACTGGTCTATCAAAAGAAAGGTGAAACTCAGTGAGTTGAACCCACACATCACAAAGTAGCTTCTGAGAATCATTCTGTCTAGTTTTTCTACGAAGATATTGCCTTTTCCACCATAGGCCTCAAACGGCGCTAAATATCCACCTGGAAATTCTACAGAAACTGAGTTTCAAAAGTGCTCTATTGAAAGGAAGCTTCAAATCTGTGAGTTGAAAGTACACATCACAAAGAAGTTTCTGAGAATTCTTCTGTCTAGTTGTAAATGCAGAAATCACGTTTCAAACGAAGGCCGCAAAGAGGTCCAAATATCCAGCTGCAGATTCTGCAAAAAGAGGGTTTCAAATCTGCTCCATCAAGAGGAATGTTCAACTCTGTGCGTTGAATGCAAATATCACAAATAACTTTCTGACAATACTTCTGTCTAGTTTTTAGGTGAAGATATTTCCTTTCCTACTGTAGGCCTCAAAGCGCTCTAAATATACACTTGCAAATTCCACAAAAAGAGTGTTTCAAAACTGCTCTATCAAAGGAAGTTTAAACTCTGTCAGCTGAATGCAAGCATCACAAAACAGCTTCGGAGAATGAATCTGCCTAGTTTTTCTGTGAAGATATTTCTTTTGCTGCCATAGACCTCAAACCGCTGTAAAAATCCACTTGGAAATTCTACAAAAAGAGTATTTTAAAACTCTTCTATCGAAAGGAAGTTTCAACTCCATGAGTTAAATGCACATATCACAAATAATTTTCTGAGGATTCTTCTTTCAAGTTTTATATGAAGAAATCCCGTTTCCAAAGATGGCCTCAGAAAAGTCCCAATATACACTTGCAGATTCTACAAAAAGAGTTTTTCAAAACTGCTCTATCAAAAGAAAGGTTAAACTCCGTGAGTTGAAGGCACACATCACAAAGTAGTTTCTGAGAATCGTTCTGTCTAGTTTTTCTATGAAGATATCGACTTCTCCACCATAGGCCTCAAGTGGCGCTAAATATCCACTTGGAAATTCTACAAAAAGAGAGTTACAAGACTGCTCTATCGAAAGGAAGCTTCAACTCTGCAAGTTGAAAGCACACATCACGAAGAAGTTTATGAGAATTCTTCTGTCTACTTTTGTATGAAGAAGTCACGTCTCAAACGAAGGCCACAAAGAGGTCCAAATATCCACTTGGAGATTCAACAGAAAGAGTTTTTCAAAACTGCTCCATCAAGAGGAATATTCAACTCTGAGAGTTGAAGGCAGGTATCACAAAGTAGTTTCCGACAATGCTTCTGTCTAGATTTTATGTGAGGACATTCCCTTTTGTACCACAGGCCTGAAAGCACTCTAAATATAGAATTGCAAATTCCACAAAAAGAGTGTTTAAAACCGCTCGATCCAAAGAAAGGTTAAACTCTGTAAGCTGAATGAGCACATCACAAAGTAGCTTCAGAGAACAATTATGTCTAGTTTTTCTGTGAAGATATTTTCTCTTCTACTTAGGCCTGAAACCGCTCTAAATATTCACTTGGAAATTCTACAAAAAGAATATTTCAAGCCTCTTCTATCAAAGGGAAGGTTGAACTCTAAGAGTTAAATGCACACATCACAGAGAAGTTTCTGGGAATTCTTCTGTCAAGGTTTATATGAAGAGATCCCGTTTCCAATGAAGGCCTCAAAAAAGTCCAAATATTTACTTGCAGATTCTACAAAAAGAGTGTTTCATAACTGGTCTATCAAAAGAAAGGTTAAACTCCGTGAGTTGAACGCACACATCACAAAGTTGTTTCTGAGAATCATTGTGTCTAGTTCTCCTACGAAGATATTGCCTTTTCTACCATAGGCCTCAAACGGCGCTAAATATCCACCCGGAAATTCTACCAAAACTGAGCTTCAAAAGTGCTCTATTGAAAGGAAGCTTCACCTCTGTGAGTTGAAGGTACACATCACAAAGAAGTTTCTGAGAATTCTTCTGTCTAGTTGTAAATGAAGAAATCACGTTTCACACGAAGGCCACAAAGAGGTCCAAATATCCACTTGCAGATTCCACAAAAAGAGTGCTTCAAAACGGCTCCATCAAGAGGAATGTTCAACTCCGTGCGTTGAATGCAAATATCACAAATAAGTTTCTGACAATACTTCTGTCTAGTTTTTATGTGAAGATATTTCCTTTCCTACTGTAGGCCTCAAAACGCTCTAAATATACACTTGCAAATTCCACAAAAAGAGTGTTTCCAAACTGCTCTATCAAAGGAAGTTTATACTCTGTCAGCTTAATGCAAGCATCACAAAACAGCTTCGGAGAATGAATCTGCCTAGTTTTTCTGTGAAGATATTCCTTTTTCTGCCATAGACCTCAAACCGCTGTAAAAATCCACTTGGAAATTCTACAAAAAGAGTATTTCAAAACTCTTCTATCGAAAGGAAATCTCAACTCCATGAGTTAAATGCAGATATCACAAATAATTTTCTGAGGATTCTTCTTTCAAATTTTATATGAAGAAATCCCGTTTCCAAAGATGGCCTCAGAAAAGTCCCAAGATACACTTGCAGATTCTACAAAAAGAGTTTTTCAAAACTGCTCTATCAAAAGAAAGGTTAAACTCTGTGAGTTGAAGGCACACATCACAAAGTAGTTTCAGAGAATCATTCTGTCTAGTTTTTCTATGAAGATATTGCATTTTCTTCCATAGGCCACAAACGGTGCTAAATATCCACTTGGAAACACTACAAAAAGAGAGTTTCAAAACTCCTCTATCGAAAGGAAGGTTCAACTCTGTGAGTTGAAAGCACACATCACAAAGAAGTTTCTGAGAATTCTTCTGTCTAGTTGTAAATGAAGAAATCACGTTTCACACGAAGGCCACAAAGAGGTCCAAATATCCACTTGCAGATTCAACAAAAAGAGTTTTTCAAAACTGCTCCACCAAGAGGAATATTCAACTCTGAGAGTTGAAGGCAGGTATCACAAAGTAGTTTCCGACAATGCTTCTGTCTAGATTTTATGTGAAGACATTCCCTTTTGTACCACAGGCCTGAAAGCACTCTAAATATAGAATTGCAAATTCCACAAAAAGAGTATTTAAAGCCGCTCGATCCAAAGAAAGGTTAAACTCTGTCAGCTGAAGGCGCACATCACAAAGTAGCTTCAGAGAACAATTATGTCTAGTTTTTCTGTGAAGATATTTTCTCTTCTACATAGGCCTGAAACCGCTCTAAATATTCACTTGGAAATTCTACAAAAAGAATATTTCAACACTCCTCTATCAAAAGGAAGGCTGAACTCTGAGAGTTAAATGCACACATCACAAAGAAGTTTCTGAGAATTCTTCTGTCAAGGTTTCTATGAAGAAATCCCGTTTCCAATGAAGGCCTCAAAAAAGTCCAAATATTTACTTGCAGATTCTACAAAAAGAGTGTTTCATAACTGGTCTATCAAAAGAAAGGTTAAACTCAGTGAGTTGAACCCACACATCACAAAGTAGTTTCTGAGAATCATTCTGTCTAGTTTTTCTACGAAGATATTTCCTTTTCTACCGTAGGTTTCAAACTGCACTAAATATCCACTTGAAAATACTTCAAAAAGAGTATTTCAAAACTGCTCTATCGAAAAGAAGGTTCAACTCTGAGAGTTAAATGCACAAGTCACAAAGAAGTGTCTCTGAATTCTTCTCTCTAGTTTTGTATGAAGAAGTCACGTCTCAAACGAAGGTCACAAAGAGGTCCAAATATCCACTTGGAGATTCAACAAAAAGAGTTTTTCAAAACTGCTCCATCAAGAGGAATATTCAACTCTGAGAGTTGAAGGCAGTTATCACAAAGTAGTTTCCGACAATGCTTCTGTCTAGATTTTATGTGAGGACATTCCCTTTTGTACCACAGGCCTGAAAGCACTCTAAATATAGAATTGCAAATTCCACAAAAAGAGTGTTTAAAACCGCTCTATCCAAAGAAAGGTTAAACTCTGTAAGCTGAATTCGCACATCACAAAGTAGCTTCAGAGAACAATTATGTCTAGTTTTTCCGTGAAGATAGTTTCTCTTCCACATAGGCCTGAGACCGCTCTAAATATTCACTTGGAAATTCTGCAAAAAGAATATTTCAACACTCTTCTATCAAAAGGAAGGTTGAACTCTGAGAGTTAAATGCACACATCACAGAGAAGTTTCTGAGAATTCTTCTGTCAAGGTTTATATGAAGAGATCCCGTTTCCAATGAAGGCCTCAAAAAAGTCCAAATATTTACTTGCAGATTCTACAAAAAGAGTGTTTCATAACTGGTCTATCAAAAGAAAGGTTAAACTCAGTGAGTTGAACCCACACATCACAAAGTAGTTTCTGAGAATCATTCTGTCTAGTTTTTCTACGAAGATATTTCCTTTTCCACCATAGGCCTCAAACGGCGCTAAATATCCACCTGGAAATTCTACAGAAACTGAGTTTCAAAAGTGCTCTATTGAAAGGAAGCTTCAACTCTGTGAGTTGAAAGTACACATCACAAAGAAGTTTCTGAGAATTCTTCTGTCTAGTTGTCAATGAAGAAATCACGTTTCCCACGAAGGCCACAAAGAGGTCCAAATATCCACTTGCAGATTCCACAAAAAGAGTGCTTCAAAACGGCTCCATCAAGAGGAATGTTCAACTCCGTGCGTTGAATGCAAATATCACAAATAAGTTTCTGGCAATACTTCTGTGTAGT
The DNA here is from genome assembly GCF_000001405.40 of Homo sapiens. NCBI lineage: Eukaryota > Metazoa > Chordata > Mammalia > Primates > Hominidae > Homo > Homo sapiens. The sequence goes on along the minus strand of NC_000003.12, from coordinate 90,785,192 downwards.
TTTTATGTGAAGATATTTCGTTTCCTACTGTAGGCCTCAAAACGCTCTAAATATACACTTGCAAATTCCACAAAAAGAGTGTTTCCAAACTGCTCTATCAAAGGAAGTTTTAACTCTGTCCGCTTAATGCAAGCATCACAAAACAGCTTCGGAGAATGAATCTGCCTAGTTTTTGTGTGAAGATATTTCTTTTTCTGCCATAGACCTCAAACCGCTGTAAAAATCCACATGGACATTCTACAAAAAGAGTATTTCAAAGCTCTTCTATCGAAAGGAAGTTTCAACTCCATGAGTTAAGTGCACATATCACAAATAATTTTCTGAGGATTCTTCTTTCAAGTTTTATATGAAGAAATCCCGTTTCCAAAGATGGCCTCAGAAAATTCCCAATATACACTTGCAGATTCTACAAAAAGCGTTTTTCAAAACTGCTCTACCAAAAGGAAGGTTAAACTCTGTGAGTTGAAGGCACACATCACAGAGTAGTTTCTGAGAATCATTCTGTCTAGTTTTTCTATGAAGATATCGCCTTCTCCACCATAGGCCTCAAACGGCGCTAAATATCCACTTGGAAATTCTACAATAAGAGAGTTACAAGACTGCTCTATCGAAAAGAAGCTTGAACTCTGCGAGTTGAAAGCACACATCACGAAGAAGTTTAGGAGAATTCTTCTGTCTAGTTTTGTAGGAAGAAGTCACGTCTCAAACGAAGGCCACAAAGATGTCCAAATATCCACTTGGAGATTCAACAAAAAGAGTTTTTCAAAACTTCTCCGTCAAGAGGAATATTCAACTCTGAGAGTTGAAGGCAGGTATCACAAAGTAGTTTCCGACAACGCTTCTGTCTAGATTTTATGTGAAGACATTCCCATTTGTACCACAGGCCTGAAAGCACTCTAAATATAGAATTGCAAATTCCACAGAAAGAGGGTTTAAAACCGCTCTATCCAAAGAAAGGTTCAACTCTGTCAGCTGAAGGCGCACATCACAAAGTAGCTTCAGAGAACAATTATGTCTAGTTTTTCTGTGAAGATATTTTCTCTTCTACTTAGGCCTGAAACCGCTCTAAATATTCACTTGGAAATTCTACAAAAAGAAAATTTCAACCCTCTTCTATCAAAAGGAAGGTTGAACTCTCAGAGTTAAATGCACACATCACAGAGAAGTTTCTGGGAATTCTTCTGTCAAGGTTTATATGAAGAAATCCCGTTTCCAATGAAGGCCTCAAAAAAGTCCAAATGTTTACTTGCAGATTCTACAAAAAGAGTGTTTCATAACTGGTCTATCAAAAGAAAGGTTAAACTCCGTGAGTTGAACGCACACATCACAAAGTTGTTTCTGAGAATCATTCTGTCTAGTTTTTCTACGAAGATATTGCCTTTTCCACCATAGGCCTCAAACGGCTCTAAATATCCACCTGGAAATTCTACAGAAACTGAGTTTCAAAAGTGCTCTATTGAAAGGAAGCTTCAACTCTGTGAGTTGAAAGTACACATCACAAAGAAGTTTCTGAGAATTCTTCTGTCTAGTTGTACATGAAGAAATCACGTTTCAAACGAAGGCCACAAAGAGGTCCAAATATCCACCTGCAGATTCTACAAAAAGAGTGTTTCAAAACTGCTCCATCAAGAGGAATGTTCAACTCGGTGCGTTGAATGCAAATATCACAAATAAGTTTCTGACAATACTTCTGTGTAGTTTTTATGTGAAGATATTTCCTTTCCTACTGTAGGCCTCAAAACGCTCTAAAGATACACTTGCAAATTCCACAAAAAGAGTGTTTCCAAACTGCTCTATCAAAGGAAGTTTAAACTCTGTCCGCTTAATGCAAGCATCACAAAACAGCTTCGGAGAATGAATCTGCCTAGTTTTTCTGTGAAGATATTTCTTTTTCTGCCATAGACCTCAAACCGCTGTAAAAATCCACTTGGAAATTCTACAAAAAGAGTATTTCAAAGCTCTTCTATCGAAAGGAAGTTTCAGCTCCATGAGCTAAATTCACATATCACAAATAATTTTCTGAGGATTCTTCTTTCAAGTTTTATATGAAGAAATCCCGTTTCCAAAGATGGCCTCAGAAAAGTCCCAATATACACTTGCAGATTCTACAAAAAGAGTTTTTCAAAACTGCTCTATCAAAAGAAAGGTTAAACTCCGTGAGTTGAAGGCACACATCACAAAGTAGTTTCTGAGAATCATTCTGTCTAGTTTTTCTATGAAGATATTGCCTTTTCCACCATAGGCCTCAAACGGCGCTAAATATCCCCTTGGAAATTCTACAAAAAGAGAGTTACAAGACTGCTCTGTCGAAAGGAAGCTTCAACTCAGCGAGTTGAAAGCACACATCAAGAAGAAGTTTATGAGAATTCTTCTGTCTACTTTTGTATGAAGCAGTCACGTCTCAAACGAAGGCCACAAAGAGGTCCAAATATGCACTTGGAGATTCAACAAAAAGAGTTTTTCAAAACTGCTCCATCAAGAGGAATATTCAACTCTGAGAGTTGAAGGCAGGTATCACAAAGTAGTTTCCGACAATGCTTCTGTCTAGATTTTATGTGAAGACATTCCCTTTTGTACCACAGGCCTGAAAGCACTCTAAGTATAGAATTGCAAATTCCACAAAAAGAGTGTTTAAAACCGCTCTATCCAAAGAAAGGTTAAACTCTGTCAGCTGAATGCGCACATCACAGAGCAGCTTCAGAGAACAATTATGTCTAGTTTTTCTGTGAAGATATTTTCTCTTCTACATAGGCCTGAAAACGCTCTAAATATTCACGTGGAAATTCTACAAAAAGAATATTTCAACCCTCTTCTATCAAAAGGAAGGTTGAACTCTGAGTGTTAAATGCACACATCACAGAGAAGTTTCTGGGAATTCTTCTGTCAAGGTTTCTATGAAGAAATCCCGTTTCCAATGAAGGCCTCAAAAAAGTCCAAATATTTACTTGCAGATTCTACAAAAAGAGTGTTATCCTAACTGGTCTATCAAAAGAAAGGTTAAACTCAGTGAGGTGAACCCACACATCACAAAGTAGTTTCTGAGAATCATTCTGTCTAGTTCTCCTACGAAGATATTGCCTTTTCTACCATAGGCCTCAAACGGCGCAAAATATCCACCTGGAAATTCTACCAAAACTGAGTTTCAAAAGTGCTCCATTGAAAGGAAGCTTCACCTCTGTGAGTTGAAGGTACACATCACAAAGAAGTTTCTGAGAATTCTTCTGTCTAGTTGTAAATGAAGAAATCACGTTTCAAAGGAAGGCCACAAAGAGGTCCAAATATCCACCTGCAGATTCTGCAAAAAGAGTGTTTCAAAACTGCTCCATCAAGAGGAATGTTCAACTCTGTGCGTTGAATGCAAATATCACAAGTAAGTTTCTGACAATACTTCTGTGTAGTTTTTATGTGAAGATATTTCCTTTCCTACTGTAGGCCTCAAAACGCTCTAAATATACACTTGCAAATTCCACAAAAAGAGTGTTTCCAAACTGCTCTATCAAAGGAAGTTTAAACTCTGTCCGCTTAATGCAAGCATCACAAAACAGCTTCGGAGAATGTATCTGCCTAGTTTTTCTGTGAAGATATTTCTTTTTCTGCCATAGACCTCAAACCGCTGTAAAAATCCACTTGGAAATTCTACAAAAAGAGTATTTCAAAGCTCTTCTATCGAAAGGAAGTTTCAGCTCCATGAGTTAAATGCACATATCACAAATAATTTTCTGAGGATTCTTCTTTCAAGTTTTATATAAAGAAATCCCGTTTCCAAAGATGGCCTCAGAAAAGTCCCAATATACACTTGCAGATTCTACAAAAAGAGTTTTTCAAAACTGCTCTACCAAAAGGAAGGTTAAACTCTGTGAGTTGAAGGCACACATCACAAAGTAGTTTCTGAGAATCATTCTGTCTAGTTTTTCTATGAAGATATCGCCTTCTCCAGCATAGGCCTCAAGCGGCGCTAAATATCCACTTGGAAATTCTACAAAAAGAGAGTTACAAGACTGCTCTATCGAAAGGAAGCTTCAACTCTGCGAGTTGAAAGCACACATCACGAAGAAGTTTACGAGAATTCTTCTGTCTACTTTTGTATGAAGCAGTCACGTTTCAAACGAAGGCCACAAAGAGGTCCAAATATCCACTTGGAGATTCAACAAAAAGAGTTTTTCAAAACTGCTCCATCAAGAGGAATATTCAACTCTTGAGAGTTGAAGGCAGGTATCCCAAAGTAGTTCCCGACAATGCTTCTGTCTAGATTTTATGTGAAGACATTCCCTTTTGTACCACAGGCCTGAAAGCACTCTAAATATAGAACTGCAAATTCCACAAAAAGAGTGTTTAAAACCGCTCTATCCAAAGAAAGGTTAAACTCTGTCAGCTGAATGCGCACATCACAGAGTAGCTTCAGAGAACAATTATGTCTAGTTTTTCTGTGAAGATAGTTTCTCTTCTACATAGGCCTGAAACCGCTCTAAATATTCACTTGGTAATTCTACAAAAAGAATATTTCAACACTCTTCTATCAAAAGGAAGGTTGAACTCTGAGAGTTAAACACACACATCACAGAGAAGTTTCTGAGAATTCTTCTGTCAAGGTTTATATGAAGAAACCCCGTTTCCAATGAAGGCCTCAAAAAAGTCCAAAAATTTACTTGCAGATTCCACAAAAAGAGTGTTTCATAACTGGTCTATCAAAAGAAAGGTTAAACTCAGTGAGTTGAACCCACACATCACAAAGTACCTTCTGAGAATCATTCTGTCTAGTTTTTCTACGAAGACATTGCCTTTTCCACCATAGGCCTCAAACGGCGCTAAATATCCACCTGGAAATTCTACAGAAACTGAGTTTCAAAAGTGCTCTATTGAAAGGAAGCTTCAACTCTGTGAGTTGAAAGTACACATCACAAAGAAGTTTCTGAGAATTCTTCTGTCTAGTTGTAAATGAAGAAATCACGTTTCAAACGAAGGCCACAAAGAGGTCCAAATATCCACCTGCAGATTCTGCAAAAAGAGTGTTTCAAAACTGCTCCATCAAGAGGAATGTTCAACTCTGTGCGTTGAATGCAAATATCACAAGTAAGTTTCCGACAATACTTCTGTCTAGTTTTTAGGTGAAGATATTTCCTTTCCTACTGCAGGCCTCAAAACGCTCTAAATATACACTTTCAAATTCCACAAAAAGAGTGTTTCCAAACTGCTCTATCAAAGGAAGATTAAACTCTGTCAGCTGAATGCAAGCATCAGAAAACAGCTTCGGAGAATGAATCTGCCTAGTTTTTCTGTGAAGATATTTCTTTTTCTGCCATAGACCTCAAACTGCTGTAAAAATCCACTTGGAAATTCTACAAAAACAGTATTTCAAAACTCTTCTATCAAAAGGAATTCTGAACTCCATGAGTTAAATGCACATATCACAAATAATTTTCTGAGGATTCTTCTTTCAAGTTTTATATGAAGAAATCCCGTTTCCAAAGATGGCCTCAGAAAAGTCCCAATATACACTTGCAGATTCTACAAAAAGAGTTTTTCAAAACTGCTCTATCAAAAGAAAGGTTAAACTCTGTGAGTTGAAGGCACACATCGCAAAGTAGTTTCTGAGAATCATTCTGTCTAGTTTTTCTATGAAGATATTGTCTTTTCCACCATTGGCCTCAAACGGCGCTAAATATCCACTCGGAAATTCTACAAAAAGAGAGTTACTGAACTGCTCTATCGAAAGGAAGCTTCAACGCTGCGAGTTGAAAGCACACATCACGAAGAAGTTGATGAGAATTCTTCTGTCTACTTTTGTATGAAGAAGTCACGTCTCAAACGAAGGCCCCAAAGAGGTCCAAATATCCACTTGGAGATTCAACAAAAAGAGTTTTTCAAAACTGCTCCATCAAGAGGACCATTCAACTCTGAGAGTTGAAGGCAGGTATCACAAAGTAGTTTCCGACAATGCTTCTGTCTAGATTTTATGTGAGGACATTCCCTTTTGTACCACAGGCCTGAAAGCACTCTAAATGTAGAATTGCAAATTCCACAAAAAGAGTGTTTAAAACCGCTCTATCCAAAGAAAGGTTAAACTCTGTAAGCTGAATGCGCACATCACAAAGTAGCTTCAGAGAACAGTTATGTCTAGTTTTTCTGTGAAGATATTTTCTCTTCTACATAGGCCTGAAACCGCTCTAAATATTCACTTGGAAATTCTACAAAAAGAATATTTCAACCCTCTTCTATCAAAAGGAAGGTTTAACTCTGAGAGTTAAATGCACACATCACAGAGAATTTTCTGGGAATTCTTCTGTCAAGGTTTATATGAAGAAATCCCGTTTCCAATGAAGGCCTCAAAAAAGTCCAAATGTTTACTTGCAGATTCTACAAAAAGAGTGTTTCATAACTGGTCTATCAAAAGAAAGATTAAACTCCGTGAGTTGAACGCACACATCACAAAGTTGTTTCTGAGAATCATTCTGTCTAGTTCTCCTACGAAGATATTGCCTTTTCTACCATAGGCCTCAAACGGCGCTAAATATCCACCTGGAAATTCTACCAAAACGGAGCTTCAAATGTGCTCTATTGAAAGGAAGCTTCACCTCTGTGAGTTGAAGGTACACATCACAAAGAAGTTTCTGAGAATTCTTCTGTCTAGTTGTAAATGAAGAAATCACGTTTCAAACGAAGGCCACAAAGAGGTCCAAATATCCACCTTCAGATTCTACAAAAAGAGTGTTTCAAAACTGCTCCATCAAGAGGAATGTTCAACTCTGGGCGTTGAATGCAAATATCACAAGTAAGTTTCTGATAATACTTCTGTCTAGTTTTTATGTGAAGTTATTTCCTTTCCTACTGTAGGCCTCAAAACGCTCTAAATATACACTTGCAAATTCCACAAAAAGAGTGTTTCCAAACTGCTCTATCAAAGGAAGTTTAAACTCTGTCAGCTTAATGCAAGCATCACAAAACAGCTTCGGAGAATGAATCTGCCTAGTTTTTCTTTGAAGATATTCCTTTTGCTGCCATAGACCTCAAACCGCTGTAAAAATCCACTTGGAAATTCTACAAAAAGAGTATTTCAAAACTCTTCTATCGATAGGAAGTTTCAACTCCATGAGTTAAATGCACATATCACAAATAATTTTCTGAGGATTCTTCTTTCAAGTTTTATATGAAGAAATCCCGTTTCCAAAGATGGCCTCAGAAAAGTCCCAATATACACTTCCAGATTCTACAAAAAGAGCTTTTCAAAACTGCTCTATCAAAAGAAAGTTTAAACTCTGTGAGTTGAAGGCACACATCACAAAGTAGTTTCTGAGAATCATTCTGTCTAGTTTTTCTATGAAGATATTGCCTTTTCCACCATAGGCCTCAAACGGCGCTAAATATCCACTTGGAAATTCTACAATAAGAGATTTACAGAACTGCTCTATCGAAAGGAAGCTTCAACGCTGCGAGTTGAAAGCACACATCACGAAGAAGTTTATGAGAATTCTTCTGTCTACTTTTGTATGAAGCAGTCACGTTTCAAACGAAGGCCACAAAGAGGACCAAATATCCACTTGGAGATTCAACAAAAAGAGTTTTTCAAAAGTGCTCCTTCAAGAGGAATATTCAACTTGAGAGTTGAAGGCAGGTATCACAAAGTAGTTCCCGACAATGCTTCTGTCTAGATTTTATGTGAAGACATTCCCTTTTGTACCACATGCCTGAAAGCCCTCTATATATAGAATTGCAAATTCCACAAAATATTGTTGAAAACCGCTCTATCCAAAGAAAGGTTAAAATCTGTCAGCTGAATGCGCACATCACAGAGCAGCTTCAGAGAACAGTTATGTCTAGTTTTTCTGTGAAGATAGTTTCTCTTCTACATAGGCCTGTAACCGCTCTAAATATTCACTTGGAAATTCTACAAAAAGAATATTTCAACACTCTTCTATCAAAAGGAAGGTGGAACTCTGAGAGTTAAACGCACACATCACAGAGAAGTTTCTGAGAATTCTTCTGTCAAGGTTTATATGAAGAAAGCCCGTTTCCAATGAAGGCCTCAAAAAAGTCCAAATATTTACTTGCCGATTCCACAGAAAGAGTGTTTCATAACTGGTCTATCAAAAGAAAGGTTAAACTCAGTGAGTTGAACCCACACATCACAAAGTAGCTTCTGAGAATCATTCTGTCTAGTTCTCCTACGAAGATATTGCCTTTTCTACCATAGGCCTCAAACGGCGCTAAATATCCACCTGGAAATTCTACCAAAACTGAGTTTCAAAAGTGCTCTATTGAAAGGAAGCTTCACCTCTGTGGGTTGAAGGTACACATCACAAAGAAGTTTCTGAGAATTCTTCTGTCTAGTTGTAAATGAAGAAATCACGTTTCAAAAGAAGGCCACAAAGAGGTCCAAATATCCACCTGCAGATTCTACAAAAAGAGTGTTTCAAAACTGCTTCATCAAGAGGAATGTTCAACTCTGTGCGTTGAATGCAAATATCACAAGTAAGTTTCTGAGAATACTTCTGTGTAGTTTTTATGTGAAGATATTGCCTTTCCTACTGTAGGCCTCAAAACGCTCTAAATATACACTTGCAAATTCCACAGAAAGAGTGTTTCCAAACTGCTCTATCAAAGGAAGTTTAAACTCTGTCAGCTTAATGCAAGCATCACAAAACAGCTTCGGAGAATGAATCTGCCTAGTTTTTCTGTGAAGATATTTCTTTTTCTGCCATAGACCTCAAACCGCTGTAAAAATCCACTTGGAAATTCTACAAAAAGTGTATATCAAAACTCTTCTATCGAAAGGAAGTCTCAACTCCATGAGTTAAATACACATACCACAAATAATTTTCTGAGGATTCTTCTTTCAAGATTTATATGAAGAAATCCCGTTTCCAAAGATAGCCTCAGAAAAGTCCGAATATACACTTGCAGATTCTACAAAAAGAGTTTTTCAAAACTGCTCTATCAAAAGAAAGGTTAAACTCTGTGAGTTGAAGGCACACATCACAAAGTAGTTTCTGAGAATGATTCTGTCTAGTTGTTCTATGAAGATATCGCCTTCTCCACCATAGGCCTCAAGCGGCGCTAAATATCCACTTGGAAATTCTACAAAAAGAGAGTTACAAGACTGCTCTATCGAAAGGAAGCTTCAACTCTGCGAGTTGAAAGCACACATCACGAAGAAGTTTATGAGAATTCTTCTGTCTACTTTTGTATGAAGCAGTCACGTTTCAAACGAAGGCCACAAAGAGGTCCAAATATCCACTTGGAGATTCAACAAAAAGAGTTTTTCAAAACTGCTCCATCAAGAGGAATATTCAACTCTGAGAGTTGAAGGCAAGTATCTCAAAGTAGTTCCCGACAATGCTTCTGTCTAGATTTTATGTGAGGACATTCCCTTTTGTACCACAGGCCTGAAAGCACTCTAAATATAGAATTGCAAATTCCTCAAAAAGAGTGTTTAAAACCGCTCCATCCAAAGAAAGGTTAAACTCTGTAAGCTGAATGCGCACATCACAAAGTAGCTTCAGAGAGCAATTATGTCTAGTTTTTCTTGTGAAGATAGTTTCTCTTCTACATAGGCCTGAAACCGCTCTAAATATTCACTTGGAAATTCTACAAAAAGAATATTTCAACACTCTTCTATCAAAAGGAAGGTTGAACTCTGAGAGTTAAACGCACACATCACAGAGAAGTTTCTGAGAATTCTTCTGTCAAGGTTTATATGAAGAAACCCCGTTTCCAATGAAGGCCTCAAAAAAGTCCAAAGATTTACTTGCAGATTCTACAAAAAGAGTGTTTCATAAACTGGTCTATCAAAAGAAAGTTTAAACTCAGTGAGTTGAACCCACACATCACAAAGTAGCTTCTGAGAATCATTCTGTCTAGTCCTCCTATGAAGATATTGCCTTTTCTACCATAGGCCTCAAACGGCGCTAAATATCCACCTGGAAATTCTACAAAAACTGAGTTTCTAAGGTGCTCTATTGAAAGGAAGCTTCAACTCTGTGAGTTGAAGGTACACATCACAAAGAAGTTTCTGAGAATTCTTCTGTCTAGTTGTAAATGAAGAAATCACGTTTCAAACGAAGGCCACAAAGAGGTCCAAATATCCACCTGCAGATTCTACAAAAAGAGTGTTTCCAAACTGCTCCATCAAGAGGAATGTTCAACTCGGTGCGTTGAATGCAAATATCACAAATAAGTTTCTGACAATACTTCTGTCTAGTTTTTATGTGAAGATATTTCCTTTCCTACTGTAGGCCTCAAAACGCTCTAAATAAACACTTGCAAACTCCACAAAAAGAGTGTTTCCAAACTGCTCTATCAAAGGAAGTTTAAACTCTGTCAGCTGAATGCAAGCATCACAAAACAGCTTCAGAGAATGAATCTGCCTTGTTTTTCTGTGAAGATATTTCTTTTTCTGCCATAGACCTCAAACCGCTGTAAAAATCCACTTGGAAATTCTACAAAAAGAGTATTTCAAAACTCTTCTATCGAAAGGAAGTTTCAACTCCATGAGTTAAATGCACATATCACAAGTAATTTTCTGAGGATTCTTCTTTCAAGTTTTATATAAAGAAATCCTGTTTCCAAAGATGGCCTCAGAAAAGTCCCAATATACACTTGCAGATTCTACAAAAAGAGTTTTTCAAAACTGCTCTATCAAAAGGAAGGTTAAACTCTGTGAGTTGAAGGCACACATCACAGAGTAGTTTCTGAGAATCATTCTGTCTAGTTTTTCTATGAAGATATCGCCTTCTCCACCATAGGCCTCAAACGGCGCTAAATATCCACTTGGAAATTCTACAAAAAGAGAGTTACAAGACTGCTCTATCGAAAGGAAGCTTCAACTCTGCGAGTTGAAAGCACACATCACGAAGAAGTTTATGAGAATTCTTCTGTCTACTTTTGTATGAAGCAGTCACGTATCAAACGAAGGCCACAAAGAGGTCCAAATATCCACTTGGAGATTCATCAAAAAGAGTTTTACAAAACTGCTCCATCAAGAGGAATATTCAACTCGGAGAGTTGAAGGCAGGTATCACAAAGTAGTTCCCAACAATGCTTCTGTCTAGATTTTATGTGAAGACATTCCCTTTTGTACCACAGGACTGAAAGCACTCTAAGTATAGAATTGCAAATTCCAAAAAAAAGAGTGTTTAAAACCGCTCTATCCAAAGAAAGGTTAAACTCTGTCAGCTGAATGTGCACATCACAGAGCAGCTTCAGAGAACAATTATGTCTAGTTTTTCCGTGAAGATAGTTTCTCTTCCACATAGGCCTGAGACCGCTCTAAATATTCACTTGGAAATTCTGCAAAAAGAATATTTCAACACTCTTCTATCAAAAGGAAGGTGGAACTCTGAGAGGTAAACGCACACATCACAGAGAAGTTTCTGAGAATTCTTCTGTCAAGGTTTATATGAAGAAACCCCGTTTCCAATGAAGGCCTCAAAAAAGTCCAAAAATTTACTTGCAGATTCCACAAAAAGAGTGTTTCATAACTGGTCTATCAAAAGAAAGGTTAAACTCAGTGATTTAAACCCACACATCACAAAGTAGCTTCTGAGAATCATTGTGTCTAGTTCTCCTACGAAGATATTGCCTTTTCTATCATAGGCCTCAAACGGCGCTAAATATCCACCTGGAAATTCTACCAAAACTGAGCTTCAAAAGTGCTCTATTGAAAGGAAGCTTCACCTCTGTGAGTTGAAGGTACACATCACAAAGAAGTTTCTGAGAATTCTTCTGTCTAGTTGTAAATGAAGCAATCACGTTTCAAACGAAGGCCACAAAGAGGTCCAAATATCCACCTGCAGATTCTGCAAAAAGAGTGTTTCAAAACTGCTCCATCAAGAGGAATGTTCAACTCTGTGCGTTGAATGCAAATATCACAAGTAATTTCTGACAATACTTCTGTGTAGTTTTTATGTGAAGATATTTCCTTTCCTACTGTAGGCCTCAAAACGCTCTAAATATACACTTGCAAATTCCACAAAAAGAGTGTTTCCAAACTGCTCTCTCAAAGGAAGTTTAAACTCTGTCCGCCTAATGCAAGCATCACAAAACAGCTTCGGAGAATGAATCTGCCTAGTTTTTCTGTGAAGATATTTCTTTTTCTGCCATAGACCTCAAACCGCTGTAAAAATCCACTTGGAAATTCTACAAAAAGAGGATGTCAAAACTCTTCTATCGAAAGGAAGTTTCAATTCCATGAGTTAAATGCACATATCACAAATAATTTTCTGAGGATTCTTCTTTCAAGTTTTATATGAAGAAATCCCGTTTCCAAACATGGCCTCAGAAAAGTCCCAATATACACTTGCAGATTCTACAGAAAGAGTTTTTCAAAACTGCTCTATCAACAGAAAGGTTAAACTCTGTGAGTTGAAGGCACACATCACAAAGTAGTTTCTGAGAATCATTCTGTCTAGTTTTTCTATGAAGATATTGCCTTTTCCACCATAGGCCTCAAACGGCGCTAAATATCCACTTGGAAATTCTACAAAAATAGGGTTACAAAACTGCTCTATCGAAAGGAAGCTTCAACTCTGCGAGTTGAAGCACACATCACAAAGAAGTTTATGAGAATTCTTCTGTCTACTTTTGTATGAAGCAGTCACGTTTCAAACGAAGGCCACAAAGACGTCCAAATATCCACTTGGAGATTCAACAAAAAGAGTTTTACAAAACTGCTCCATCAAGAGGAATATTCAACTCTGAGAGTTGAAGGCAGGTATCACAAAGTAGTTTCCGACAATGCT